>NC_000017.11:11400201-11703232 GCF_000001405.40 Homo sapiens | reverse complement strand
CCAATCCTACTATTAATAAACACCTCTTCTTCTCTGCAGTGTGGACTCCTTTCTCCTCTCTTCTTCGTAGCCAAGTTTCTCCCTGCTATTCACACACATTCACTGTGAATACTTTCTTTTCTTTTCTTTTTTTTTTTTTTTTGAGACAGTCTCGCTCTGTCACCCAGGCTGGAGTGCAGTGGCACGATCTCAGCTTACTGCAAGCTCCGCCTCCCGGGTTCACGCCATTCTCCTGCCTCAGCGTCCTGAGTAGCTGGGACTACAGGTGCCCACCACCACGCCTGGCTAATTTTTTGTATTTTTTAGTAGAGACGGGGTTTCACCGTGTTAGGCAGGATGGTCTCGATCTCCTGACCTCGTGATCCACCCACCTCAGCCTCCCAAAGTGCTGGGATTACAGGCGTGAGCCATCACGCCCAGCCACTGTGAATACTTTCTACCTTTTCCCACTCCTCAGCCCCTGCAATGTGGCCCCTTCCCTACCACTCCCCTGAAATGGCCTCACCAAGTTTATCCATGAACCTTCTTCATCCTCTTTATTTTGCTTCATCTCTTAGAAGTGTTTGACATTTCCTACCTCTTACCTGCTACCAACAGTTTCTTGCTTGGTTTCCATGATTACTGTTTCCCGGTTTTCCTTCTGCTCCCAAAAGACCATTTCTTATTCTGCTTTACTGGTTCCTCCTTCCTCCTCCTCTGGCTCTGAATGATGCTCAAGAATTTGTTCTGCACTCTCTTCTCATTCTACATACTTTGCAAGGGCAATCTTATCTACTCTATGGCTTTGATGACTACTAAATGTCTGCAACCCCCAAACAGAGCAACACTACTACTATACTGTTAACTGAGGGAAGGAGGAGTGGCCTACTGTAGCCAGAGTTACTTTAAACATTTCTTGTTAGGTCTGGCTTCTCTCTTATTATGCTTCTGAGAAACCTATAAGGAATTCCACTCTATCTCAGAATCAAGTCAGACTCTCTCACAAGGTCTACAGAAACTGGCTTCCAGAATCCACCTGCAGCCTTTGCTCCTCCTCCGCTTACTCTGGCTCAGACACACCTGCTCACCCTGTCTTCTGAGCCTGGGCTCTTCCTCCTACTTGGTTGCTCTTTGCTCCCATTTTTAACTTGCTAACTCCTGCTTCACATCTCAGCTTTCATATCATATGCTCAGGGGCGTGTCCCCAGACCTCATGAACTATCTGTATGCTCCCAGAGTACCCTGAGCCTCCCCTATTAAAACACCTGTCATGGCCGGGCGCGGAGGCTCACGTCTGTAATCCCAGCACTTTGGGAGGCCGAGGTGGGCGGATCACTTGAGTTCAGGAGTTTGAGACCAGCCTGGCCAGCATGGTGAAACCCCATCTCTACCAAAAATACAAAAAAAATTAGCCAGCCCTGGTGGCGCATGCCTGTAGTCACAGCTACCTGGGAGGCTGAGGCAGGAGAGTGGCTTGAACTTGGGAGGTGGAGGTTGCAGTGAGCCGACATCGTGGCACTGCACTTCAGCCTGGGCGACAGAGCAACACCCCGTCTTAAACAAACAAACAAAAAACAAAACAAAACAACAACAACAAAACACCAGTCATATGTGTCAGCAGTTCAGTTCCACATGAGTCTGTAAACTCCAGCAAGACAGGTGTCATTGTCTTGTTCCCTACTGGTGTGTCCTGTGCTCAGCACAGAGCTTGGCACATAGAAAGTAGGCTGGCTCAAAGAGTTGAACTGTTGACATTTTCTCCCTTCTGTAGCCAATGAGGGCAAAAAGAGATCACCCTTGATTTCCCAAGGTCAGGGTTGACTTAGGTCATTATTGTTAATCCCCCTGCTCCCACCTGCTGACCCCTCACAGTGGTCTGGGATTCAAGCCTCCCTGGCTGTGAAGCATGCAGCCAGCCTGATATCTACCAGCTGCTGAAGGCTGGGGGAGGCTGCGGAGGAAGACAGCCCCAACCATGGAGGATGGGGATCCCATTAGGAGAATACCTGAGCTGGGTGGTCAAAAAGCCACTGCTCCCTCGGCTTTTCTTCATAGGCAGTTACACCTTCTGTCATCTCATGCCTCACAGTGGCCTTCATGTGACCAAGGACATGGTTCAGCCATATTTCTACCTGAAAGAACAACTCAGGTTAGACACTGGGTGCCTGAGAAGTTTTGGTTAGTCCTACATATTTTCTTCCACTCAGTCTGAGGGAGTGAAGGAAAGGGAGCCCACACATTGTATACAGCCCCAAGTGGCTGCCAGAAGGTGCAGAGAGATGTGCTGTTTACGTAATCCGGGATGGTGATAAGTGAGACCCAGACTTAATTAACAGCAGGCTGATGTGTGCATTTGGAATATGCAGGACAGAGTAGCAGGTTAAGGGGGTGGGGGCTGTCACCCAGAGCTCATACAAGGAAATAGAAATCTGGGTTGAGCTGGGTGTAAATAAATCAGTGGCTTCTCATGACCTTGTCCACTCTGAGTATGAAGCGCAAACCAGGATTGTATTCCCCAGCTCAATGCTTTCTGGGTCTACAGAAAGAACATATTGTGAATGAAACCCCAGGGCCACCCTCATATAACTGAGAAGCGATTATTTTCTGGCACTAGAATTGCTTTCTTAGATATAGGTGATAAGGGTGGAACCCTGTAAAATATCCTTACCCCAGCTGTTATTTGGCACTAGATGAGAATCCCCAGGGGCAATGCTTTGCTGGATCATTTCAGACGATAAATAAATAAAGAAAGGCTTATATTTATCGGTGGTGCTAATGGATGGGAAGGAGGCTTAAGGGGTAAATGGTCCCGTGGTTTGTGTCCCTTGCATTGGACATGGAGATTTGGAGGAGGCAGTTCCTGGAGCACGGTGGTAGTTTGTTCTCCAAGGGGAAGGCTGTGGGAGGAAGTGACACTAAGACACATTTGTGCAGAGAGGGGACATCTCAGGAAAGCAGCTGGTTCCACAAAAGGACATTTTTCTCCCAGGGAGGGTGTCAGTGTTCCAGATTCTCCCAGAGGATGCTCCAGGGGTTGCCATGTTGACGTCTCCTGGTGCCGCTAATCATTTTAAAATCCTTTTCTCATTGACTTGGGTAGCTGTTTATGTGCATTTTATTTCCCTCTGCACAGGTCTTTGGTTAAGGAAAAGATATGAATGTTGACATGTGTCCTTCCCTGAAAGAGGAAAGCAGGGCGCCAGCTGCTGCTCCAACATCAGTTCAAGTCAAAGAAGCTGGCTCTTGGAGGGCATGGACAGCAGCTCTGGACCAAGGTCAGAAAGGCCCTCCTAGAGTTGATGCTGATCATATTTGAATGAAGGCATTTGAGAGAGAAAAGCAGAAGGAGGGGAAAGGGCTACTGTGTTACCTGCCCGCTGCAGTCACAGGGCTCACTGAAAGCCACATACTCCTCTTCTTTGCTGTACATGCCGAGGCTTGTCTTGGTTGGTTCCCCACTGGCATCTAGCTGGAATCGCATCTTGGCCATGTTGTCAAAGAGTTTGGAAAGGTGACGTTGAACCTATGAAGGGAAACCAGGCCAATGGATCATAAAACATGTTCGGGAAGCTGCTTATTAGAATTGTTTAGAGGCCTACCATGTGGCAATCATTGTGAAAGACAGAGTGGTGGATACCAAGCATTTAGAAGGAAGTTTGTGGGAACAATGCTGATGTGAGGACAGGAATAAAATGAATCCGTAGAAGTGGCCAAAGGAAGACTGAATAAAACTAGTGAGAGTTGTGCACTAGCTATAAACCAACTAAGTCACAATGGTTTGACTAAATTTGGATTGGTCTACTATAGATAGGACTAGATTGGAGAAAAATATGATGGTCCAGTTGTAAACCTTCTTCCTAAGAAAACACTACCATGGTACAGGACATGAGCAAAGGACCATCTAGTAGAAGAATGCTAACATACATTGAATCTGGTGAGTCAACAGTGGTGGCGGCAGTGGCCTGTGGAAGAAGCCACCCCAGTCTTTTTTTATTTTTATTTTTTGAGACGGAGTCTGGCTCTGTCGCCCAGGCTGGAGTGCAGTGGCGCAATCTTGGCTCACTGCAACCTCCACCTCCCAGGTTCAAGCGATTCTCCTGCCTCAGCCTCCTGAGTAGCTGAGATTACAGGTGTGTGCCACCATGCCCAGCTAATTTTTGTATTTTTAGTAGAGATGCGGTTTCACCATGTTAGTCAGGATGGTCTTGAACTCCTGATCTCGTGATCCGCCCCCCTTGGCCTCCCAAAGTGCTGGGATTACAGGTGTGAGCCACCACACCCGGCCATAGCCACCCCATTCTTGAAACCTCTTCAGTTCAACAAACACACATCAGAAGGGTTCCAAGCAGTGCAGGCATGCTCATGGCAAGCATAAAGTCTGGCTGTGCCGGGCTGCTCCCAGCCATGGCATCTGAGGAGTAGAGGTCCTCTACAGTGATTGCCTGGGGCTGTAGTGCTAGGAGGGATGCTGGACAGAGCTATGTTGTGGTCCTGAGGTGAAGAAAATGGCAGACTGAAGGAAAAAGAATAAACAGAACCTGCCCCCTGGTAGAGCTTCTTGAATAATTACAAAGGGCCCTCCAGCTGCTGGTATCCTGACTTTTAATGCTAAATTTAGAACAACCAGCTCTCCAGCTTATGAGATGAGAGGACAAATCTAAGAGTGTTTAGGTAAACTGTGAAGGTACCCATGGAAACACCACCCACACTGATTTGGGTACAAATACCAAGATAGACCTTTCTTTATTGAAAAACAAATGCAAATTAAAAATAACAACAATATAGAACCTATGAAAATATCCCAAAATTTAAAAGGAGAAAACAGGACTCAAGAGGGCAAAGAAGAGCATATATATATATAAAATATATAATGTATCTATGTTATTTTATATATAATATATAATTAGTATGTATAATATAGAATATTAATATATTATTATTTTCTATCTAATCTAATATATAATTATTAATATATAATATATTATATAATTATTATATATTAATATATTATATAATATATTGCTATTATATTAATATAATTATATTATTAATATATTATTATATTAATATAATAATATATTAATATAATAATATATTAATAATATAATACTAATATATAATTATATATTATATATAGCTAAATTTTATATAGGTATATATACTATATATGCTATAAAGTAACATTATATATAATTTTATATATAATTTTTTTAACCTTTATACATAATTATATATAACTTTACATAAAATTGTATATAACATTTTTTAAACCTTTAATAATGGAAACAAATCAATTTGTGAACCATCACCTTGTTTTTCTTTCAATTACATTAAAGAAACATGAAGTCTATAAAACGTGGTGAAAGATGAGTTGGCAGAGGTAGAGAAATAAAGTAAGGAGACTAACAATGACAGAGTACAGTTTATAGCAGTATTAGCAACACTAAAGTGCAGAATTGACACAAAAAATTAAATATGGTGGAAGAGCTTGAGAAACTTACTGATAAATGCCAAGGAAGAGGACTAAGAGATAAAAATACGATGAAAGAGAAGGTAATGTATATAGCATGTATAAAGTGGAATCTCAGCTTACGGAAGTATGATAAACCTGAATGAAAAAATATACAGATAAATGGGATAGATGTATTATTTAAAAACATGCTAGAAGAAGACTTTTTCAAGATCATAAAAGCACTCGTTTTCAGATAGGACAAAATCTCATCATGTTTTAGGGATAAATTAACAAAACAAGTATATAAGCATACAAATTTTTAGAAATTAATTTAAATTTTATTCTCTATAGGGACCTAGATAGAAAGAAATTAGGCTATCTAGAAATTTTTTTTAAAGCAGGCAGGCCTCAGATGACTTCTTTGTAACAACAAACAGCAGAGTGATATCTGCATGGATTGAGAGGTGATCACTGTGACTCATGAATTCTAACCCTAACCATTCACTTGCTCACATGTGAAATGACAGAGTCACAGATATAGAAGGAATTAGGATGTATTCCACCATGCTTCACCTCTTAGGGTGTGGGGAATACTCAAAAATGTACTCAAATAAGAAATGAATCAAAATAAATATTTAAGAATGAGGCCTATTCTGGTGGCTCATGCCTATAATCCCAACACTGTGGGAGGCCAAGACGGGAGGATCACTTGAAGCCAGGAGTTCAAAATCAGCAAGACCCCGTCTCTACAAAGAATTTTAAAAAATTAGCTGGGTGTGGTGGCTCATGCCTGTAGTTCCAGCTACTCTGGAGCCTGAGGTGGGAGGACCCTTGAGCACAAGAGTTTGAGGCTGCAGTGAGCTATGATCATGCCACTGCACTCCAGCCTGGGTGACAGAGCAAGATCCAACCTTAAAAAAAAATTAATTAATTTTTAAAAAGAATGAGATATAAAAAAATCTGGCAGTGATCTGAACACAGAATGAATAAAAATACAGTTATAATACAGAATGCTAATGCATTAATAATAAATATTTCAACACCACCACACCTGGACTACTTTGGAAATATTTTCATCTATAGGAAAAAAAGAACTGCTATAACTATCAGGGATAATCTCTCTTTAGTACTTGCTTCTTATCAACAAATCAAAACCTAATTTCACTAAGTTAGAAAGGGTAGGTCAAAGACAAAACAACTTATGCATGTTTTCATCCTTTGGCTCTGTTTGAGAAGCTCTTGTCTGCTGCTTGTGGTGAAGCAAAAGGGTGGAAACTTGGCAATATCTAACAAGACTACATATGTATCCACCCTTTGAGCCGGGAATCTCACTTTTAGGAGTTTACCTGGAAGACAGATGGCCAACAATACAAAGTCCAAGGTTATTCAATGCCACATTCTTTGTAATTACAAAATATAATAAATAACCTATGGCCAAACTGTGGTATATCAATCCATGGAGTATGATGCAAATATTAAAAAATGAGGGAGATATCTTTGACTTGATATGGAGTGATTTCCAAGCTATGTAGCTAAGTAGAAAAAAGCAAAGTGCAAACAGGTAGGCGTAGCATGCTACCTTTTGTGTATGAAAGAAGGGGAAATTAGAAACTGTACATGCATGAATGTAAATGTGCATTTGCTTATTTTTGTAAAGATAGACATAGGAAAGCTAACCCAGAAATTAATGAAATTGGTTACCTATAGTGGGTGGAACAGACGTGGTTATGGCATGAAAGGAACAGAGGAGGCAAGGATACATCTCTGAGTATATACATATCTTTTTGCATAGTTTGACTTTTGGAATCCTATCAGTGTCATACATATTCAAACAATCAAATAAACATGTATGGGAAAAACCCTAAAACTGAAAGCAAAAAGAAGCAAATGAGCCCAACTATTCTTTAAATGAATAACAAAATCACATGAGGAAAAAGAACTCATCCAAGCATTTTGAGACCCAGACAATGTTGAGAGCAGAAGTTCTCATAGTGTAGTCCCTAGACCAGCAGCATATTGGGAAAATTCTTAGAAATGCAAATTCTCCAGCTCTACCCAGACGTAGTGAATCAGAAACAGTGGGAGTGGGACCGAGGAATCTGTACTTCGACAAGCCTTCCAAGTGATTCTGATGCACTCCCAAATTTCAGAACCAGTGTCTGTAGCTCCAAATACCAACACTGCTTCAATTAGTTACTTTAATACTCAAAAAACCTTCGAACACAGCAGGTTTCTTCTGTTTTACAGATAAGGAAAGTTTGTTGCTAAGAAGTCACATGTCCAAGACTCTATGGCTAGTAACTGTCTAGAACCAGAAGCCAGAACCCCACATTTTGGGCTTCTCATATATGCTTTTGCCAATAAGCCTTACCTCCATATTCAGTTAACATAACTTCCAATCTTATCTCCCTATAGAAATTTTAGCTATCGAGTTTGGCCAGTATTTCCTGGATCTTTCTTCAGAATCAGATTGAAGGCATTCTCTGCCAAGCCTCAACTCCTTCCACCTTTGCCATCCTCAAAGTTTCTCAGTTCTTTGTTAGAGATTAGCCTCTGATGGGCCAGAGGGCATGCTGAGCAGCAATACTGATGGGGATTAAGAAAGCTCCGAGGTGGCCGGGTGCAGTGGCTCACAGTTGTAATCCCAGCACTTTGGGAGGCTGAGATGGGCAGATCACGAGGTCAGGAGATCAAGACCACCCTGGCCAACATGGTGAAACCCCGTCTCTACTAAAATACAAAAAAAATCAGTCGGCATGGTGGCATGCACCTGTGGTCCCAGCTACGCGGGAGGCTGAGGCAGGGGGATGGCTTGAACCCAGGAGGCGGAGGTTGCAGTGAGCCAAGATCGTGCCACTGACTCCAGTCTGGGCGACAGAGCAAGAATCCATCTGAAAGAAAGAAAGAAAGAAAGAAAGAAAGAAAGAAAGAAGGAAGGAAGGAAGGAAGGAAGGAAGGAAGGAAAGAAAGAAAGAAAGAAAGAAAGAAAGAAAGAAAGAAAGAAAGAAAGAAAGAAAGAAAGAAGGAAGGAAGGAAGGAAGGAAGGAAGGAAAGAAAGAAAGAAAGAAAGAGAAAGAGAGAGAGAGAGAGAGAGAGAGAGAAAGCGAGAAAGCGAGAAAGCGAGAAAGCGAGAAAGCGAGAAAGCGAGAAAGCGAGAAAGCAAGAAAGCAAGAAAGCAAGAAAGCAAGAAAGCAAGAAAGCTCCGAGGTATGTGATGATGCTGGGGGCAACACAGACAGGTCTGAAGTACAGAACCTGCCAGAGAGAAGAGGCATGATGGGGAGCCAGAAACTGCCTCCTGCTGGGCACCCCTCAGCCCTCCTAGACCTTTCTGCAGATGCTCCTCCAGCTTACCTGTTGTGGAGCTGTGCCGTTGGAAAGGATGTCTAACAGATCGGAGGAGGAGAGAAAGTAAAACCGCGGGAAGGCAAGCCTCTTGGTGTCGAGGTACTCTGCCAGGGCCTTCTCACACAGGCACAATCTGAGGGCACAGAACATAGAATTTCCCAGTTAAGAATGTCTAGACCCATGGATACACATACATTACTTAAATGTATGTATATGCAATAGACGGAACATATGCATTAGCACAAGAAACACTTAGAGATATTTGCAAAGATATACATGGATGTGTCTACCTTGGCGTCAACACCTCTAATAATGCCCCATGCTACCCAAACACACAGGCAAAGAAAGGGACATGCAAGGCACCCATACTCACTTCTGCCCACTGGTCTCAGAGACGATGGGGAAAAGGAAATGATGCCTTCTTATTAGAGAAGGGGTAATGGGCGGACCCTCACCTGCCCTGAATATCCTCCAGCTTTTCATACAGGCCTGGCTTGTTGGTGGTTTGCACTACATTTGGAATTTTCTGGGCATCATAAGCTAGCTCTTTAAAGTCAATGTCGATGCCTTCAAACCTTTTAGAATCCTGCAAATAAAAATGTGGAAGCAATTAACCACCACTCCACTCAGTTCCTAGAAGCTCCCTCCATGGAGCCAGTTAGAAGCAGAAACTTGTTCCTGGGTTGTCAAATACAGAGAATAGACTCAACGAAGGAAACACCCTTAGTTTAAGCTGCATTCAGCTTAGAACCCATTTACATTTTCAAAAATTGTTTAGGAGTCCAAAGAGCTTTTGTTTATGTAGGTACTATCTATCATATCTTTCAATATTTTCTGTACCAGAGGCTAAAGCTTTTTTAAAAAGAAATTTCTAAAATATTCATTAATGCATTTAGACCGGGCGCCGTGGCTCACACCTGTAATCCCAGCACTTTCGGAGGCTGACGCGGGCGGATGGTTTGAGGCCAGGAGTTTGAGACCAGCCTGGCCAACATGGTGAAACCCTGTCTCAACTAAAAATAGAAAAATTAGCTGGGCTGGGCTTGGTGGTGCAGGCCTGTAATCTCAGCTACTACTCGGGAGGCTGAGGCATGACAATCGCTTGAACCTGGAGGGTGGAGGGTGCGGTTGCAGAGAGCCAAGATCGTGCCACTGTACTCCAGCCTGGACGACAGAGGGAGACTTTGTCTCAAAAAAAAAAAAAAAAAAAAAAAAAGGGCATTTTAAAAGTAGCAATAATAAGCTGGGCGCGGTGGCTCACACCTGTAATCCCAGCACTTTGGGAGGCAGAGGCGGGTGGATCACAAGGTCAGGAGTTTGAGACCAGCCTGACCAACATGGTGAAACCCCGTCTCTACTAAAGATACAAAAAAAAAAAAAAAAAGCCGGTCATGGTGGTGTGTGCCTGTCATCTCAGCTACTCAGGAGGCTGAGGCAGGAGAATCGCTCGAAACCGGGAGGCGGAGGTTGTATTGAGCCGAGACCGTGCCACTGCACTCCAGCCTGGGTGACAAAGCGAGACTCCATCTCAACGACAATAACAAAAGTAACAATAATAAACCCATTATGTCAGCATAAATAAAATACTTAAGTATATTTTCCAAAACCAAAAATAACAGTTGAAAATGGGGCATCATTTCACTTTTTGTCAAATCTCTACAATATCTGACTTAACAGAAAACTGCTTCTGTATCAATTTATTATGATATCACATGTCATCTGACCTCTGGAGAACCCCACTGTACACTCATGGAAGAATGAGAGAAAAAAAAAAGGCGGATAACATCTTAATGTGATTATTAAGATAATTTTGACCTTGAGGACTCCCTGAAGAGGTCTCAGAGACCATCCCAAGCCCCAGGTATACAACACTTGATTCGTAAGTAGATAGTGGATCTAACGTTCTTTCTGGACCCCTGCAAAAGTTTATATAACCAAAATGAATTTTCCCTCAGCAAATATACTCCTTTGATGTCAAAAGTAATCCGTTGTCAACATTTTTCCCAGACATACACACTCACAGTATCATTGAAATGATTGACAGACTAATATATGCAATTAGCTTCAGCCAAATACATGGCACCTGGTGAGGTGGTAGAGCTTGTGGTATTATTATTACATAACAACAATCATAATGGTATGTGCCATGTGAATTGTTTTAATGAAGACTCTGGAATAGATACTAGTATTAGTCCCAGTTTACACACAGGGAAACCAAGGCATTGAGAGGTTAAGTGTCCTGCCCAAGGTCCCACAGCTGCAAGTGAGAGAATGAGGACTCAAGCCCAGGCCTGCCATTCCTTCCCTCTGTGATCCTGCCCCTTGCCCAAGAAGACCTAAAAACAAGAGGGTAGGCTGGGCACAGTGGCTCAAGCCTGTAATCCAGCACTTTGGGAGGCTGAGGCGGGCAGATCACGAGGTCAGGAGTTCGAGACCAGCCTGGCCAACATGGTGAAACCTCGTCTCTACTAAAAATACAAAAATTAGCTGGGCGTGGTGGCACTCATCTGTAATCCCAGCTACTCAGGAGGCTGAGGCAGGAGGATCACTTGAACCCAGGAGGCAGAGGTTGCAGTGAGCCGAGATCGCACCACTACACTCCAGCCTGGGTGACAGAGCAAGACTCCGTCTCAAAACAAAAACAAAAACAAACAAAAAAACACAAGAGGGCAAAGTAAATTATGATTCCTCAATGGGATATTTTGCTCCAATTAAAAATAAAAAAGTATCAAGGTTGCAGAAGTATCTGAAATATCTGGCATAAATGTTCAAATGAAAAAAGTTGAATAGAAAATTATAATTACACTGAGAGCAATTATGTAAAAATATGTATATACATGAACCAAAGTTGGGAGAAATTCATAATGAATGAATATAGTTACCAGTTAGGGTGTTAGAGCCTGGCTGATTTTATTACGTTTTCAAATTGTTTCTGTTTCATTGTTATTACAGGGAAAGTAAATGTGTTTACATATTTTATACACAAACCTGTGGCACTGTGTAGAGGTTAATGATACTAACTCTTCAATATTTTTAATTAAAAGTTCTCAAACATCTCCCTTAAAGTTTCTGCAAGAATCTCCACCTCTGTCCCGGCCCCCTTTTAATTAAGCCTTGTCTGCTTCAATCACTGGCATTTGAGATGAATAAAATCTGGCTTATTCAATTTGACTTAATGACAACTGCCATACAGAATTGTTTTCTATTACTTTTCACTGCAAATATACAACCTTTAATCTATAGTATTACACTAAATATGCTTTTTGGGATTAGCAGGAAAACTATGTTTGGGCAGAACGTGCTTTAATTTCTAACCAAAGCCTGGACAGCCCGTGACATTTTGGAATCAAGCTAATTTGTAAGCAAAGAACTTGCTGTACTGAAAGAATATAGAGGAAGCCTAAAGAAAAAATTTAAAAATGAATCAGAGTCCACTGAGAGAGGGGTAAGTTAATGGCACATTAATTAGAACTAATTAGAAGGGGCAATCAAACACAGGGAAGGTAATAATGAGAAGAACACATATTTTAGGGGAATCCATTGTTTGGTGTTTAGCTGACAGCTGGTAGTTGGAGCGCTGGCACAGGTCAGCGGTTTATAGAATGGCATGCTGCTGAGAAGGAACTTGAATTTGCCTGGAAACGAGACTCGCTTTCAGTGGACACTTGAATTTTAACGATCCAAGAAGCAACCTGTGAGGACCTCATTCCAAACTGCAGTAGCCAGTATTTTTTTTTAATCTTTCTTATATATACATTTTTTTTTTTCTGAATGAGGTTTTCCTTTCTTTTTCCTACCCATTGAAGGACAAACTGATTGGTGTGCATTTCACTGTCCCTCTTTTCCTCTGCCTAACTTTTGGTGGCAGGTAAGGTGAGCATCTGTGGGAAGTGCCTTTAAGTAAAGTCAAAGCAAGGAGGCAGAAAAGGAAAGAGCCTAGACAATGCAGGAACTGGGTGACCTTCCCTTCACCCTGGATCAGAGAATAGAGAGATTCTAGATTTCCTTAGCAGGTACCTGGGGTAGCTGTGCCCGAATATCTTCAGATCCAGTGAATATGCTTTCCAGGTGAGTCCATGTTCGCTGCACTTCAAACCAGATAGAGATGACAGCGTCCACTGTGGACAGCTTCTTCTGCCAGCCCGACACCTCCTCCAAGAAGAAAGCAACATACTTGGACATCACCAGGTTCTGAAGTTGAACTTGATTATCCTCCAGAACCTCTATGAGGTCCTCATCAGAGCACAGGAGGGGGACATTGGTCCGTGGGTGGGGCTCATACTGGAATTCCATGCCAGCCCAGGTAGTCTGCAGCTCCTTTAAGGTTTTCTCCATACCCATCTCTTTTGCAGCTTTGTCCACAATGCCCCGGACCTCATCCTCATAGTGGTGCAGCTGGAGCTGCAGCAGGTGCGCTAGGGTGGTGTCCTGGTCCATAGTGAAGCTCACACCGGTGGCCTGCATCAGCTGCCTCCAGTGCCGCTCCCGGATGGCTGGATTCTGCAGCTCAGCTACTGCCCTCAGGGAGCTCAGCGTGTTCCACACAGTGCTTTCCAGGCCTGTGAATGCATCCCAGGCCCTGACCTCCTTGTCCAGGTTTCGGATATGCCGGGCAAACTGTTTGCACTCCAACTCCATGGCTTCCACGTTGATATTCCTCCAGGGTGTGGTCTCCCAGGCATGGATGCTGGAGGTCACCATTCCAATGGTGTCCCAGAGCTCCTTCAGCTGGCAGACCTCCTTCCTGCACTGCCTCAGCTGCTTATAGTCAGGGACATTGACTTCAAATAAGCTGGCAGACTCAGAAATGGAGGCCATAGTGGATTCCATCTGCTGGATCTCGATGTGCCTGGCATCCAGCATTTGATGAGGGTGGATGCTATCAAACCTACAAAACACAGTGTGTTCCTTTGTAAGTATGGCACGCAGGGGCCCATCTCCTAGCATCTCTAAGGTAGCAACCAGCTGAAATATTTAAATGCTTGGTGTTTTAGGAAAGAGCAGTGGCTTTCACCAAAAACATTCTTTTCACGAAAGCAAATAATGTCTTTTCTTCCCAGGATTTTCTTTTGGGAAAAAAAAAAAAACACACTCAGGACAGACTGGGGTGGAGTGGGCATTGGAAGAAGGGCAATTCAAGAACATTATGCTTGGATGTTCTCCACTCAGGTCTAGAAGGGAATACCCCCTTATCCAAGCCCCTTTAGACTCTGCCCTTCATCTAGCTGTTGGTTCTGAAGACCATTTGACACAAAAGAGCACTGTCATATTACAGCAGAAGCCGGAAAGCCAAGGGCCTTGCCAGGAACCTAGTGATAGGTGATTTCTTAAATTTATTTTTTATTTTTATTTTTTTTTTGAGACAGAGTCTCGCTCTGTTGCCCAGGCTGGAGTGCAGTGGCGTGATCTCGGCTCACTGCAAACTCTGCCTCCCGGGTTCAAGCAATTCTCTGCCTCAGCCTCCCAAGTAGCTGGGAATACAGACACCTGCCACCATGCCTGGCTAATTTTTGTGTTTTTAGTAGAGACGGGGTTTCACCATGTCGGCCAGGCTGGTCTTGAACTCCTGACCTCGTGATCCACCCGCCTTGGCCTCCAAAAGTGCTGGGATTACAGGCACAAGCCACCAAGCCTGGCTTGGTAGGTGATCTTTAAGTGGGAGAGCTGGGACTCAGGAGCCCAACCTTGACCCTCCCTCCATTGATCACTCTGGGGCAGTGGCTATCAGCCTGGGCTGCATGTCATGATCTTCTGAAAGCTTTGTAAGATCCCCATGCCCAGACTGCTCTATAGACCAACTAAATCAGAACCACTGGGGGCGGGACCCAGATGCACTCCACAGGTGATTTCCATTTGCCAGGATGGTGTCATCATTCATGGTGAAGCTCACACTGGTGCCTGCATCAGCTTCAGGCAACAGCACTTCATGCTGGTGAACCACTGTGAGTGGCCATGAAGACTGGCTGCAAAGCCCTTGATAGATAATCGTGGTCACTTTCCTTCACTGTGTGCCTTGAATCTGGCTCCTCATCTTCATGAGTTCCTCTCCAAGCTGTCCCTGATCTTCCAGTTCTGCCTTTGCCCTTCCCTGGGCCACTCCCTTCTGCATCCTGGGGCAGTCTCTGGGCTTGCACTCGACACCTATGAGCACCATTTCTAGCTTTTTAGTTCACATTTCCTCATCCTCTTCTCTCCAGTGTTTATGGCATGCAAGCACCTGAAACTGCTTCTAATCCTCGTAAGTCTGGACAGACTTTAGGCTGCCATACAGCAAAGCATGCGTTCCTGCATAGTGTTTTCCCCAACATAAGACCCTACATGCAAAGGAACCCATGTAGGCAGATGGCTTTTTCTTTTTTTTTTTTTTTTTTGGCTTACTGCAATCTCCGCCTCCCGGGTTCAAGTGATTCCCCTGCCTCAGCCTCCTGAGTAGCTAGGACTACAGGCACACACCACCAAGACTGGCTAATTTTTTGTATTTTAGTAGATACAGGGTTTCACTATGTTGGCCAGGATGGTCTCCATCTCCTGACCTCATGATCCACCTGCCTCAGCCTCCCAAAGTGCTGGGACCATAGGCATGAGCCATCCCGCTCGGCTGCAGATGGCTTTTTTATGGTCAAGGGCACTCATAGCCCTAGTGTTCAAGGACCCTCTCATTTTCTCCTCCAACCCCACTTTATTATACTCACTCTCATCCTCAAGCTCAGGTTTTCTTGCTTCTGTGTGCTTGGAGGGCTACATACTAGACACACCACAGCTTAAGGGAGAATGGTATGTTTTGCTAAAATCAAAACACGTCATCATGGGGTTCACCATCAAAGGGAAGGTTGTGAGGAAATGACTAACTAGAGAATCGGCCGTTTCCTCCCATCAACAGTGTGTGTGTGTTTCTGTGTGTACATGCATGTGTTTGCGTGTTGGTAGGTAGAATACAAAAGGAGTGAAAAAGGAAGAAAATGACATACAAACTCTTGTTTTTCAACTGCCCTTTCTCTGTTGACTTTAGAAATATTTGACTTGACAGATGGAAAGTAATCCTAATTGAAGTCATTTACCCGAATGCTTACCACTTAAGCCTAATTGCCATGCAACAGAATAACAGTTATGCATACTATTAAATTAGTGTCAGATTAACTTCGACGCTCGTTATGTTTGAATCCTGCTTGTTCAATCTAAATTGTTTTTGGCTCAGGTGCTATGGTTGTAGATTTACATCTTAAGAGAATGGGACTATCATTTGCATGCCTTCTCTATTATTTAGCTCCCACATATTTCAGAACAGAAGGTCAGAGTGCTCAGAGTTGAAAAGGGCCCTGTCTCTCTACATATATATAGAGAGAGGAGCTTTCTCCCTTATGAGGAAGAAAGAACTAGGAGGAAAGAAATGGAAGGTGCTCATGGCAAGGGGCCCAGCAAAAAAGATCACCAAGGGTGAGGAGTTCTTGTGTTTATTCTTCATTTCCAAAGACTAATCGTTGGTGTGTGTAGGTTCCACTTTTTATCTTGACTAGAGTGAACTTAGAATGTGAACTGAACCTCTTGATGTTAGTTAAAATTCAAGCAAATTCTAAAAGCCCACATGCTGTTTAATTTGTTAGTGGAACACCATTTAGGAATAACTTTTTAGGTAAGATAGGAGCTATTTGGGGTGCACATGGAAGATTAGAAATTATCTTGCTAACCATTCTTCCTTTGGCACCCATAAGCATTCTTAAATCGATGTTGGTTCCTCAAGTATTTATAAGAGGTGAATGTTTATCAAACTTATTCCAAACTTCATCCACCCTGCGGCATAATTTTTGTTTATAGTTTAGATTTGTGGGTGATCATTTTCTGTAGCTAAGCACACATAAAAACCAACTTGGCCTAAGTTGTGAAGGGAACCCATAGATGTGTAGCCTTCTTATGATTTCAAACCTTTACAGCAAATTGTCAGGATATTCATAGACCTCGTCCACGTGCCTAAAAAGCTGGAAGCCATCCTCTAAACTCTGGGGAAATGATACAGTATAAGAACAAGAAAGCAATAGGAGGGAAAAGGGTGGGTTGAGTCTTTGAAGTTGAAATAATAAGGCAAAATGTATTTTACTCTAAAAGAGAAATGCCTGGAAAGCTTGGATGAATAAAACTATAATTAAAAGAAATGAAAATACGGCGCTCATGCATTTGATCGTGGAAAAATGACTGATTCAGGCCTGACCCAGATGTGAGCCTAGAGAGAGAGGAATAAGTGAGCTAAATTGATTCCTGGGAAATTGCCTGTTGGTAAATGGGAATCTCAGTACCGTCTGTATCTGTGTATACCATGAACGGTGTCATACCTGTCCTTGATACCCACCAGGTAGCATAAAACTCAACGTGTCTCATGCCTGTAATCCCAGCACTTTTGGAGGCCGAGGCGGGTGGATCATGAGGTCAGGAAATCGAGACCATCCTGGCTAACAAGGTGAAACCCTGTCTCTACTAAAAATACAAAAAATTAGCCAGGCATGGTGGCATGCACCTATAGTCCCAGCTACTCGGGAGGCTGAAGCAGGAGAATCACTTGAACCCGGGAGACGGAGATTGCAGTGAGCTGAGATCCTGTCACTGCACTCCAGCCTGGGTGACAGAGCGAGACTCCGTCTCAAAAAAAAAAAAAAAAAAAAATTAATGTATCCAACCCTGACTTTGTGAGGCGCAGTCCTTCCAATTCTGTGCCCGCCTCAGTGAACAGTGGGATAAAAGCTCTTCCGACCACTTGTCCAAGCTAGAAGATGAAAAATCCCCTTACACTCTCCTTCTCCTCCATCTCCCACATTCAATCAATCCTGCAGATATTCTCCTAAATCTCTCTGTAATCTATTTTCCCCTCTCCCTCATCTCTGCCACTGCTTCTGATCAGGCCTCACCACTTCTCATCTGGGCTGTTGGAACCACTCTCCCATTGAGCACCTGGTTTTGAGCCTACCTTGCCCCATTCTGTTCTCTGCAGCCATGAGAAGGTGGTCTTTACATTATGTTTTTGTCATACTTAGACTCCTCAGTGGCTGAGATTATGGTCAAAACATGGCCCCCTCCATTCTCCTCTCCTGCTTCCTGCATCCCAGCCATACACACATGCAGTTTTCCAGCTGTTTCTTACATTTTCATCCTTCTGCATCTTCGTATGTGCTATTTCCTTTGCCCAGAATATCCTCATTTTGTAACTGTTTTTTTTCCCCCTGAAACAGCTCTTACTTGCCACTGGCTCTGGCTCACCATGATAAGCACCATGTTCTAGGGGAGGTGTGAACTGCCTCCCTGGGCGGGGTTAAAGCTGGTGCCCAATGTGCATGCCTTATTGCTCATTTTTGAAATTGTCCCTGAGGCTATAAGTCCTTGAGGTCAGGAAAGGTGTATTATCTCAAAATCCTAACAGCTACATCCTTTTTTGCTGGCTCCACTGCTGAGACCATAACCTCATCTACTCCATGAAAGCCTAAATCCTGTGAATGAGTCAGGTTAACTGGAAGAACAGGATCAAGCTGAATGAATGACATATCTTAGGAAACCGATATGTCTCTGGGAGGTTTAATGACAAATATTGCCCTTTTCTGCAGTTATGGAAGAGACAGCAGACACTGTGCAAGAAGGTCAAAAGCCCTTCTTTCCTCATGACTGCTGCCTTGGGCTATTTGGAAAGCTGTTTTCTCTAGTTGTCATGTAGGACAGCACCCCATGGAAGATATCTTCAAGAAAGCCCTCCCAGCCATTCATAGAATCTGGTCGCCTGCTGAAAACACGAATGGTCTTCATTGAGCTGGAGCTCACAGAGGTAGATTATTTTGGCTCAGTAATCCCTCGATTACCTTGGTCTTGGTGTGGGCAAGAAGACTATATGTCATGGTGACGTTTCTTAAGGTCAAGAGGACTGTGCTCAAGGTCAGGAAGACCAAACAGTGAAACACCACTAGAGCATGGGGGCATTCCTTTCATTCAAGAGGGAGAACTGGTCACCAGCTTTAAGAGTTGCACAAAGCCCTTGAATCTGAGTAAGATGATTTAGCCAATTACTGTGGTGAGAGCTCGGCTCTCACCGAAATATGGTGTTATAATTTAGAGTTAAGAACTAAAGGAGGAGCTGAAATTTGACTTGGACATGAAGAACCTCAACCTATGCAACCTGACTTCACACAGCACCTGTCAGACTGCAAGGGCTTAATAAGACACTCAGGTTTTTTTTCTCTCCTCAAACACGAGAACATTCAAAACTGAGCTTAATCTGTGTAACCTAATCAGGAGCAGAAACTTGCATCCACAGAGAAATGTACCAGGGTCTGCACTTTAGAAATTTATAAATGATCTAAAAGTGAAGAAACCAGAATTAAACTCAAACTTGAATTCACAGAAAAATATACCAGGGCCTGCAACTTAGAAATTCATAAATAACTTAACAGTGGAGAAACCAGATTTAAACTCACATGCCACACATAATACCTACAAATTTTGAACACTCACACACACCAAACTAAGAAAGAAAACAAAACACATAAGTTGACATCCACTAAGATTCGCTTTAGTGATAAATCTACAATTCCATTTTAGCTCTGATGTTTTTCTTGACAAGAAGAGAAATACACCAAAATTGCAGAAATGTTTGGTTTCCCAGCAGTTCTTTTCAAAGCATCCTCTTCCAGGGATTCATCTGCATGTCAAATTAGCAGATGTGAATTTGGAACACCCAGCTAAGAGTAGCAGTATCCTCACAGCCAGCAGATACAAGTGCAAAGAAAGAAAAACGAACACAACTATCAAATAAAAATAAAATGAAAAAACAAACAGGAGTTGATCAATACACAAAATATACCCATGAAGGAGGAATACCGAATTTCGAACAGACACAAAAGCACACCAATGTTGTTTCCCTTTCAAGCAGTCTTAGAAGTCTCTTTGGGAGGATATTTTCCCCAACATCTTTGAATTTTTTTCTTTTTTGAAATTATCTTAAGAGACTGTTGGGCCGGGCGTGGTGGTTCATGCCTGTAATCCCAGCACTTTGGGAGGCCAAGGTGGGAGGATCACGAGGTCAGGAGTTCGGGACCAGTCTGACCAACATGGTGAAACCCTGCCTCTACTAAAAATACAAAAATTAGCCAGGCATGGTGGTGGGCACCTGTAACCCCAGCTACTCAGGAGGCTGAGGAAGGAAAATCACTTGAATCCAGGAGGCGGAGGTTGCAGTGAGCCGAGATCGTGCCATTGCACTCCAGGCTGGGTGACAGAGTTAGACTCTGTCTCAAAACAAAACAAAACAAAACAAAAAGAGAGAGACTGTTGGTGCAAAAATATTAGTGTCTTTATTTTTATGGCTGTTGCCTTTGGAGTGGTTGTTGTTAACACTAAGTAGTATTACCTAGCTGGAGAACTTACCTCCTTCAGCAGTTTTGGCTCTGAATTGGTGTTCAATTTCAAAAATTCAATTGCATGCCCAAAAAAGAGTCAGAAGAATAAGCCTCAGACTCTGAAAGATAGTCCCCAAAGGAGTCTACAAGGGTTTTGAGCAACAGATGATTCTTTGGAACAAGGGCGTGGCTCCTAAGGCAATTATTCTAAAGGGATACAGACTTAGGAGTTACATTCCTCCTCATGATTGCTTGAAAGGAAACCAATTACTTCCCTTTAGGGTGGTGGTTTCCAAACTTGGCTGCACATTGGAATTCCTGGAGCTTACAAAATACTGATTCACAGGTCTCGCCTCCAGAAAGTCTAACTTCATTAGTATATAGGACACACTGGGCATATTGGGAGTTTTAAAATCTCTCCAGGTGATTCTAAATGTGCAGCCCAACTGGCAGCACATTGCTTTAGAGTCATATGTTTTATATATTTATATCTTATGTCTGTTTTACACACTTGTCCTTCCCCGCCTCTTAACCTACTCATCTTATTCTCTGTTACCCCAAGTATAATGCTTGGGAGATAGCAGCTGCTTAATAAATGTTTGAAGAATGAATGATAAAAATAGGTATGCCAGGCTGAGTGAGCAACCATCCAGTTTGCCCAGAACACAGGTGCTTCCTAAGACATGAGCATGCTTGTAGTCCCAGCTACTCAGGAGGCTGAGGTGAGAGGATTGCTTGAACCCAAGGAGTTCAAGGGTGCAGTAGGCTATGATTATGATGCTGCACTCCAGCCTGGGTGACAGAGCAAGACGCTACCTCGAAAATGCTGCTATCTCCCAAGCATTATGCTTGGAGTTACAGAGAGTAAGATGAGTATGTTAAGAGACAGGGAAGGACAAGTGTGTAAAACAGACATAAGATATAAATATATAAAACCTATGACTCTAAAGCAATGTGCTGCCATTTGGGCTGCACATTTAGAATCACCTGGAGAGATTTTAAAACTCCCAGACAACAACCAGAACGATCCTGGACAAACCAGTACAGTTTTTCACCATAGTACCAGACACAGTGCTACACACTTTCAAGAATGATCTCTTTAATTCAACCCACAACTATATGTGGTGGACACTACTATCATCTACATTTTATAGATGAGGAATCTGGAGCACAAAGGTATTAAGTAACTTTGTCATAACATAAGAAGTAAGTAGAAGACCTGAAATTAGACCCCAGGCCACCTGAATCTAGCATCTGTGCACTTAATTTTTATTGAACTTCGTTCCAGTGAAGTTGTATTTTTTTTTGTTTGGTTTGTTGCTTTAATATTTCTGTGGGCAAATAACCTTTGAAAATAAAAACATTCCTCACTGTAAGCATCGAGAATTTTCCAGTTTGGAGATTTTGAAGTCTGTCTACCCAACAATATAGAGGAGACCCAGCAAGAAAGGAAGCTCAAGGAAACAGGAAACAAATCACAGAGCTGGAGCGTTAGGGCAAAGGGCACCCAATCTAGCTGGCACATCAGCAGATGTAGGACCATTGAGCTCCAGCTTGGCCTCCTGGTTGGAGCCGTTGATGCTGAGCAGTGGACCAGAAGCAGACCGCTTCACCACGGGAGGAAATCCCTGAGAAAGGAGCCCAAGTATGTGCAGCGTGGGCATGGATGAATGGTGTTGCTGATCCTAGAGTTGCTTTGTTTATGTAAAGACCTGTCATAACAAGCAGGGAGGTGTTGGAACCAAGCAGAGAGAAACCCCCTGAAGAAAACCTTCACCTAAATCCTTCCTTTATGCTGCCAAAATGAAATGCTCTGTAAAATTTTAAAAATTCAATCAGCCACTTTTTAAAACCAAAAGAACAGTCTGTGAGAACTTAGAATGCTAAAGGTTTAGTAAAATCCTAGTAATTATACCACCTATCATCCCTTTATAAACTTGGAGGCACAAAGATGCTTCTAGATATATATGCATCTTTTTAAGGCAAGATGTTTGTACAATCCTTGGCCTTTTCATACAGGTCATGATAGGATTCAGTCCACATTAGCACCACGTTTCAACCAAAGGTCCTAAATGGGAAGGAAGATTATTAACTGGTCTGCAGCTGCTGGAAGAATACACACGCCCCACAAAAAGATTATCCATGACTCAAAGACTGCAGTGTTCACAGAAAGAGAGGCAGCAGTGTTCGGCCCATACCTGAACGGGGCTTCTTTGTGGAATTGCTCCCAGAATTGCTGCTGTTCTGCATCGAAGGCTGTGCACCTCTGGCGGAGGAGTGTCACTTCATTTGCCTGCAGTGGGGCCACCTGCTGCTTCACAGTAATGGCCACCTTTTTTATGTTGTTCCATTTCTCAGGCAGCTCCTGCAAAGGAAACCTCAGTGTGGTCAGATTCCCAAGGTGCTCTTTCCTCTCCCATAGTCCTGAGCTGGACAGAGCCCAGATGCTTCCATCTGTGCTACAAGATGGTACAATGGTGTGGTGGTGTCATCTTCCCATTCCCTACAATCTGCCCTCCACCCACTCTTCCTCGACTTCCTTCCGCAGCTGCTCTCAACTATTACCTACCACTCACTCTACACTAACCTTCTTGCTCTCAACCTCTGGTCCTCTAAGCCCTCTAAATTTGTGAAAACTTGGAATGCTAAAGAGACTTTTAGATTTTTCTTAAAGGAAGATGTTTCTACAATCTTCGGTTTCTATTGCTTCTACCATATTTCTACTGAAGCTACATTAACCCCTTCCCTTTTCTATATTCTTCAGGGTTGCTTGGTTATTTTCTTTTATGTCCCACATTACCTCTTGGACCATCTTAACATATTTCAGATCTGCTTTTTTTTTTTCTCAACCAAAACATTGGTTCATTTCTATGGAGAAAAATTATCCATCTTAATTCTCCCATCTATCTCCAGCATTGCCTTCTCCCATATGTACTGAGTTTCCAGAATTTGCTAGATGTTACAAATACGCTACACATTATAGTTCCAAAACACGGATCTTGCAGCTCCAAGCCCTGTTTTTCATTTGCTGTACCCCACTTTACCCCATTCTGAAATCCTAAAATGTTTCCTCTATTTCTTTTATAAGGAAGACATAAATGCACTGACCTCCAGCTGCTTAAACACTGTTTCTGGCAATTCTTGTTCATAGGTCTTCAGCAATTCAATAGTCTGCTTTAAGGGCTCAAACATCTCATCAGTGTTACTCTGCCGTTCTTTAACAGCCATAAGGTGTCCCATGATCTCAACCAAGCCTTGGAAATCTCCTTTTTCAACTTTCTTGAGTAAGCCGCTCTCACTCTTCTTTATAAACGCATCCAGGTTGGCCAAGCTAATCAACACAAACAGAACATGAGGAACCATTCTCGTTCTACTTCTCGAAAGGCAGATGTATTGATTTCCCCAACAAAAATATCTATCATTATGAAAATCCTACCACATGCCCAACACTTGACTAAGCACTCTGCATAGACTATGCTCTGATGTTAAGAATATGGCCTCTTGCACAAGGTGTTAAGGTTACGAATGGCAAAGACTGAGGCCTATCTTGTGATGAAGGAGACTCAGGAGGAGACACGACATCTAAATGTAATGTGTGATTTGGATAGAATCAAGAATGGAGGTCATTTCAGAGGTTCTCTGAGCGCACTCAAAATCTGTGATAGGTGCAGACCTTTGTATTGAATGCTGGATTCAGAGAAGTGGCAAAATTTATGAACTGGATAACATGAGAATTATGGCTTGCGATAGCATTGCTTTGTGAAAAGAAGCATAGAAAAAGCTTCCAAGAGGTGTTTGCTGGCAATGCATAAATGATCATATGTTGATGGAGAATTCCAGGAGAAAGAAGCTCATAATTTTCAGTAGGCCTTTATATCACTTTACTATATGGCAGGAAGAAACAAACATTTTTAAGTTGACAAATCAAAAACTGTCTTAAGATTATACTCTAATAAACATATTTTAAAACAATAAAAGAGAAGGCTTAAAATGTGAAAAATAACAAAGAACAAAAACAAGCAAGCAAAATTATACAATAACTGAGTAGAAGATCTAAAAATGGAAAATATAATTATAATTTAAATTTCAACAAAGCTGAAAAGGGATTAGACTGCTGTATGATATACGTGGAGCAGTTTCTAAACTGCAGGGTAGAAAGAGAAAAAAGGAAAAATATGCAAGTTATTAAAAGACAGGAGACAATGAAAACATCACACATAAGTATAACAAAAGTGCCAGAAGAACGAAATAGAACAAACAAGAGCAACATTTGAGAAGAGTCTAGCTAAACATTTTCTAGAATTGCTGAAAGACACGCAATGTAAGATCAAGAAAGCCCAACAAATCCCAAGCAGAATAAATATAAAGGAACCCTCATATAAACACTTCACTATGAAACTACAGATTACCAAAAGAAAAAAAAAATCTTAAAATTAGCTTCAGAGCAAAGACAAGTTTCTTAAAACAACGACAGCACACATACAACAAAAACAAAACTAGACTGATAACCGACTACTCGGCAACACAAATGGAAGCCAGGACACAGTAGAATAATATTTTCAATAATCAAAGAGAATTTATGTTATTCTTGAATTCTCCCCTCCACAAAACTATTTTTAAAGAACAAGGGCAAAATGAATACATTTCAGACAAAGAAAGAATGAGAACACTTCATCAATAGACCTTTACTAAAGGAACTTCTAATGGGATATACCTCAGTCAGATGTCTGGACTATAGAGCAATAATGGTAAGTATGTTGGTAAATCTAAATAGGAGGCCGAGGCGGATAGATCACAAGGTCAGGAGTTCAAGACCAGCCTGGTCAACATGATGAAACCCTGTCTCTACTAAAAATACAAAAACTAGCCAGGCATGGTGGCCTGTGCCTGTAGTCCCAGCTACTCGGGATGCTGAGGCAGAAGAATCACTTGAATCCGGGAGGCAGAGAGGTTGCAGTGAGTTGAGATCATGCCACTGCACTCCAGCCTGGGCGACAGAGCGAGACTGCATCTCAAAAAATAAAAAAATAAAATAAATAAATAATAAATAAACATTTGGTGTATATATAGATATATATATATAGTTCCTGGGGCTTAAATAAATAATAGAGAGCAATCTAAATTACTAGGAATGATAGAATATAATTTGATGGATGAACAGGAGACATGAAACTATTCTAAAGTCTTTTAATCATTGTGAAGAGACTAAAAATAGTAATAAATTTACTTATTTTAAGGATGCTTATTAAAATAGCAGTGGTAAGCATTAGAACAGCAGAGCTACATGGCATGACATTCAAAGTAGCAGAGGAAAAAATGGAATAAGGAAAATAAAAGAAAACATGAAAAATTATACCCCAAAGCAGACAAAAAAGGAAGTCAATGAAAAAGAAAAAGAATAGCAAACTAAAAGAACATAATAAAATGGTAGATTTAAATTAAAATGTACCACGATCAATGTTAATGAACAAAACCCTCCAGTTAAAAAATACATATTGCTAAAGTGGATTTAAAAAATCAGTTCTATGCTCATTATAAAAATGTCTTCTAATGGAAGGGCACAGCAAGGTTGAAAGCCAAAGGATAAGAAGAGATGCACTAAGCAAATGTCACCAAAGAAAAATTGTTTTAGCTACATTAATAGAAGACAAAACATACTTTAGTACAAGACATATTGCTAGTGATAAAGAAGATGTTTAATGTTTGGTTAAAAGGCTCAATGTTCCAAGAAGATATAAAAAGTCAAAATCTGTATGCCTATAACATAACCTTAAAATATATGAAGCAAAAATTTACAGAATTACAAGGAGAAATTGACAATATACCACTAAAAATGGAAGATTTTTAATACAATTATCTTAGTAAGTGATGATAGATTAAGTAGATTAAAAAAAGGCAGTGAAGATACAGTAGATTTGAATAGAATAATTAACAAACTTGAACAATAGGCATACATAGAACATTCTACTCAGTACTTACAGAATATACATTATTTTCAAATATGCCCAGAAATTTATAAGAACTGAATATACTATATTGAATAAGGCAAACTTTAACAAATTTCAGAAGCTTGTTATTAGACATATCATTTCTAAACCACAGCACAATTAAGTTGGAAATTAATAAAAAACTATAACTAGAAAAGTCTCACATTTGAAAAATTAAAAAATCTAAACCCATTATAATTAATATTAAAAGTATTTAGAACTAAATTGTAATGAGAATATTACATACTAAAATGCAAGATGGAGGTAAAACTGTATTTAGAAGAGAATTTATAACTTTCAATGTTAGCATGCAAACAGACAAAAGACTCAAAATTAACAAGCAAACGTTAGCCAAAGAACAGAAAATAAATCCAAAGTAGTAAAGGAAATAATAAAAGAATAAATTATTGAAATAAAAATAAAACCATAATAAATAAGATCAATGAGTTTATTAGATAGTTTTTTTGTGTCCGGCAAGAAGAAAGGAAACCAGAAAGCACAAATAAGAATGAATAGAAGGCCAGGTGCAGTGGCTCATGCCTGTAATCCCAGCACTTTGGGAGGCCAAGGCAGGTGGATCACCTGGGGTCAGGAGTTCGAGACCAGCATGACCAACATGGAGAAACCCTGTCTCTACTAAAAAATACAAAATTAGCCAGGCATGGTGGTGCATGCCTGTAATCCCAGCTACTTGGGAGGCTGAGGCAGAAGAATCACTTGAACCCGGGAGGTGGAGGTTGCAGTGAGCCGAGATCGTGCCATTGCACTGCGGCCTGGGCATCAAGAGTGAAACTCCGTCTCAAAAAAAAAAAAAAAAAAAAAAAAGAACAGAAATGAAAAGAGGGAGACACCATAGGCTTTGCAGAGATTAAACAGTTGAGAGGATCTTATCCATTTTATAATAATAATTTGAAGATTTACATGAGATGGATACATTCCTAGAAAATATGACTTACTAAAAGTGACTTACGAAGGAATAGAAAACTTCAATATCTTCATAATCATTAAAGAAATTATAGGCTAAAATCTTCTTACAAAGAAAATCACAATCCCAGATGGCTCAATAAGAAATTTAAATCAAACTCTCACAGATCAGAAAATTTCAAGATTACACCAACTCTTCTGGAGAAAAAATAAGAAGAATTACTTCTTGTTCTATGAAGCTAGCACAATTACAAAACCAAAAACCAGATACAGACAGGAAAAAAAAAAGAAAATTGAAGGCCAAATTCAATCACAAACAGGTGCAGTAATGCTAAACAAAATATTTGCAAACACAATAAGCCAGAGAGTATATTGAAAAAGATAATACTTTTTGTTGGGCATATCTCAGATGCTAGGTTGTTTTAACATTAGAAGCCAAATAATATGTTCACCACTTTAACATCTTGAGGGAAAAACCAGAATTATCTTAATGGACATAGATAAAACACTTGATACAATTTTACATCCATTTATGCTAAATACTCCTAACAAATTAGAAATAGAAGGGAAATTTTAAAATCAGATAAAGCAAATCCACAGAAAACTCACAGCAAATATTATACTCAGCAGTGAAATGTTAAAAGCACTCCTTTTAAGATCAGAGACAAGACAAAGACGTATGTTATCCCCACTTTCATTCAACATTCTACTGGAAGTCCTAGCCAGAGTGGTAAGATAAGAGACAGAGATATAAAGCATAAAGACCGAGAAGGAAGAAGAAATAAAACTATCATAAATTAGTAGATGATGACCATGTACGTTGCAAACACCAAAGAATGTACAGATGAATTATCAAAATTATTAAATTAATTTAGCAGGATTGCGTGATATGAAATCAATGTACAAAATCAATTCAATTTCTACAGAAAATATGATTTTAAAATATTATTTATACTACGAACTGAAAAACAAAATACTGAGGAATATATTTGAACAAAAATATGCAAAATTTTTAAAGACAATGATTACAAAATTTCACCGAAAGACATAAAAAGGATGTAAATAAGCAAAGAGACAACATGTTCTTGGACAAGAATATTCAATATCATCAATTCTACTCAAATTGATCTATAGTCACTACAAATATAATTAAAATCCTAAAAGATTTTTTTCTTCTACAAACTGATGACTAAAATTTATATGAAATGGTAAGGACCAAGAACTGTCAAGATATTCTTGATGAAAATGATCCAGGTGGAGACCTGCCCTGCCAGATATAGAGATTTGTTACTAAGCTACAGTAATTAGGATTTCTTCATATTCATGAGTGCTAGATAAGGGACTATTTAATGTGAAAGATAAAATTTTAAAACTTTTAGAAGAGAATACAGGAGGGTATCATTAGGATATCAGGGCAAAAAATGGATTTATTTAACAAGACAAAAGAAGAACAACATAAGGGAAAAGTTGGACACATTTGGCCACACAAATTAAGAATTTGTTTATCAGAATACACCATAAGTGGAGTGAAAAGACAGGTCACAAAATGGTAGACTCCATTTGCAAGACATACAATAGCAAAGGACTAGATATAGAAAATGTAAGTAATTCCTAATCATAATTTCAAAAAGGAAAAAAAAGTCCAGTAGAAAAATGAGCCACAGATATGAATAGGCAGAGAAAAGGAAACATAATGACTCACCAAAAACATAAAAAGATGAGGACCTTTTTATACTCAGAGTAGTGCAAAATATTTACCACAGTGAGATACCATTACACTCCCACCAGAGTGGCCAGGATTGAACAATTTATCAATACTAAGAGGTGGGGAGGATGCTAGGCTGTAAGAGCTTTCACCCATGGCTGTCTCTACCTTGGAAGGAGCTTGGCATTATATGCATACTCTTTGACTTAGCAATTCCGCTCTTAAGTATACACCCTAGAGGAATGCTTGCCCATTCCATGATCACATATAAGAGTTCTTACAGCAACATTGTTAAAAGGGAAGCAGTGTCCTTAGGGAAGAGCAAAACCACTGGAAACAACCCAAATGTTCAACAACTATGGAATGGACAGATACATTGTGGTACATTAATCTAAGGGAATACTGTACGACAGGGAAAATGAACTACTGTTATACTGTCAACCTGGATAAATCTCAAACATAATGCTGAGTGAAAGAAATAGAACACAGAAAAATATATGGCATACAATAATATCATTTTTATGAAGTTTTAATGCACATCTCCACATAGGTATGTATGTATGCATATACATATGTATACATCCATATGCATACACATGTGTATATATCCATATACATACACACATACACAAAGTGATGAAGAAAAGCCTGGGAAGGATTATGTCACATTTAGGACCCTAGTAACATCTTGCAAGGAGGGAGAAGGATTTAAACTTTAAAATATAGCCAATGTTCTGTTTCTTAGCTGGATGATGCAAATTCACATATTCTCTTTAATATTGTTCTCTAAATTGTATGTATGTTATATTTCATCATAAAACTTTTTGTAGAGAGAGAATGGGAGGTGAAAAACCAAAAAAAAAAAAAAAACAAATATAAACACATCTTTTGAGAAATTTTGCTGTAAAGGAGTGCATACAAAAAATTGTGTTGTAGCTGGAAGGGCTTGTGGGGTCATACTCCTTTCTCTTTTTCAATGTGGCAAATATGACAATATGCCCACATGCTACTAAGAATGTGTAAAGGAAAGAATTGATAATGTTGGAGATAGGGAATATTTAAGAAGGTAAGTCCTAAGGTGAGAGGAAAGAGACTGGATTTAGAAAAGCAAGGACAGCTTATCCACAGTCATGGGAGAGGTGGTTGAATATCCAGCTTCAAATGCAGGCATGTTGGTAGATTTGTTGGTGAAAAGGTGAATTAGTTCTCTCATGATTGATACTAATTTCTCAGTGAAATGAGAGGCAGAGTCATAAAGGCAGAGAAAATATTTGAAGGAAACAGGAGTCTGAAAGAATTGGGAAGTGTCTAGGAAAATGTGAAGGGCCTACCTGAATTTTATGTTCACAAATGAAATGTAGGACTGGTCAGAAGACTGGTTTGATTTTGCTTCATCAGGGATGAATTGCTCAGGAGCAGGTGTGGAGCACTGAGTTTAAACAGTCAGGGTTTTACAAGGTGGGAATGGGAGGGAATGGGAGGGAACAGGGACCAAGGATGATAGACTCTGAGAAAGCAGGGGAGTCAGTGAATTGGAAATCCTGATGGGTTTGAAGAATTCTGTGCAGCAGTGTTGCCAAGTAAGTGAGGTGGAAAGATAACAGGTGGAGGCCAGGGAGTGGAATGCTTCAACCTGAGCTTCTGAAGGCAGAGCAATTACTTCCCCATCATTCTCTGAGCCCCACTGAGAATGCAGAAGAGATGTAGGTAGCAGAGGTATGGTAGAGTGAAGGGCGTTGGAGGGAGGAGGTCAACGATGTAAGAGCCAGTGTGATGGAAATTCTGTGGATGCTGGGTCATGGCGGGTGACTATCAGCAGAAAGTGGGAAGGGTGGGAAGGGAAACCTCTGAGCCAGACGCTAAGATCTGCACTGGTGAGCAAGAGGGACTAATGGCAGCAAGGCAGAGTGCAGTTGGTATTGTCTGAGAATTCACGTCAGCAGAGCTGGTGATTTTGAGGGAAGATGGTGGTGAAATGGTCTGGAAGCAGCACTGAAGAGCAACCATACCTTACCCACCTGCAGGCCTATTGGTAAGAGGGATATAGGAGAAAAGTCAGCCTCCACTTGGGAGGGCTGGAGGGAAAGCAGTGTCCTCAGAAGGGAGCCAGGTTTCAGTTGGAGCAAAACGGTGATGAGACAAGATGAAAGGGACAGTGGGCATTTGCTGCTGTAAGATCCTGAGGTCTGGTGCAAGGGCACAGGAAAGCTTTGCAAGTGCAGAGGTAGGGGTTGAGTCAGATTAGGGCAGGAAGAGCTGAATGAGATGAGAATTTACGTAATAAAAGGGGGTTGGACTTCTGGCAGTGAATGAAGTATCTAAAATGCAACATAAGGTGGGATTCATCCCGACCTATTAAGGAAAGGTGGAAATCACATAATTACATGGCACAGAGGAGACAATAATAATTTTTTTATTATTTCTATTTTATCGAATCCTCCAGAATACAATAAAATCTTCTTCTAAAGTGTAACACAATAGCCAGTTTCTAGAATCACCAACTGTTAAAGCTAGAAGACGGAAGACACCTTAGAAGAATCCAGTTGGGCTGTCTTCTTTCAGAGGTGAGGAAACAGGGATCCAAGGACACAAAAGTCAGGCCTCCTAGCTGCTCTACTGTGTGTTCATCCTGTTAAACCAACCCCATTAGATCTTTAAAGCCTGCCTGGTTGATGCCTATGGCAGCTGCTGTTACCACGTCCTGTATCAACCATGTGTTTTTGATCCTTTCACATCGGGGTCTTAGAAACTCTAGAGGGACTTCCCTGCACAGGGCTGAGCAATTCCTTGAGACAGCAGTGGCTGGCTCGTGAGCACACTTTCCATATGCAAACCAACTATTCCAGAGTCCAACCACCTCCTCTATGGGGCTCTCATGCTCTGGGCCATTATCCCCCTGCCCTAATCAGCCCAAGGCCAGGTCCCAGACAATTTGGAATAGCCTCTATGCCCCAGAGCTACTGAAATGTTCAAACTCGCCAATCCTGAGCCTGCTTGCCATGTCTTGTCTATTCCTTCCCACAGAAATCACAACAAAGGCTCCTGCCTGTATTCTCTGCCCCCCCTCTGCTTCCTGATGGACGCTGGAGCTCCCCACTGTGGCCCTGTATGCCATACACCGTCCTCTTGAGAACTATGAGTAATAATCTATCTGCTGTAAACTGTCCTCCTGGGAACTGTGAGTAATAACCTATCTTTTTATGGGAGTCATCTGCTGCTCTGTAGCCTTGCTGTGCCTGAATAATAAAACATGCATTTTGAAACATGCTGCTTATCCTTGAATTACCAGACGTAGCAATGAAGAGGGACCACAAAGCAGCTGTCTCCTCCAACAGTGCTCCATCCTGGGGCATCTGTCACAGTCCTACCACCCATCAGCATTTCCTCTTCTTGCCTCTGAGTTCCTCAGGGAAGAAAAGCTTTCATGAAAGTGGAAGAATACACAGGAAGCCCTATTTAAAACATCCCCAGTCAGGCACGGTGGCTCACACCTGTAATCCCAGCACTTTGGGAAGTCAAGGCAGCCGGATCACCTGAGGTCAGGAGTTCAAGACCAGCCTGACCAACATGGAGAAACCCTGTCTCCACTAAAAGTACAAAATTACCCAGGCGTGGTGGCACATGCCTGTAATCTCAGCTACTTAGGATGCTGAGGTAGGAGAATCGCTTGAACCCAGGAGGCAGAGGTTGTGGTGAGCAGAGATCGTGCCATTGCACTCCAGCCTAGGCAAAAAGAGCAAAACTGCATCTCAAAAAAAAAAAAAATCCCCACAAAGCGTTCTTGGGGTTTCCTAGGGTGGTTGAACATTACCCTTGGAAAATCTCTCAAAGTTTATTTGTAGATAGATAAAATTCTCAATGTTACCATTTTCTTTCTGCCTATGGCTCCAGATCAGGGAGCAAGGCAGTGGCAGCATTAAGCAAAACCAGCACTAAACTGAGGAGGGGGTCAGGTTGGCCTCCCTGCAGTCTCATCCAGCACTCCAAAGGGCAATCACTGTGCAGAGGGACTGGTGGTCCCCAATGGGATTCTGAGAAGGGGGTCGAGATTCTAATTGTGGTGGGTATCTGGGGACCAGGCCAAGGTAAAGTGACCGGGGGACTGTTGACTACATGGATTATTCATTCAGAGGATGATGCTCTGGCTTAGAGAGCCTAGTGCTGGGCTGGGTGGTCTAGGTCACAGTAGGACAGACAGAATTTCATATCCAGCCTGTTGCACAGTGAGAATGGCACAGACAAGCAGTCAGGAGCACAGAGTTTTAGTGACATCCATATTGCCCAGCTGGATAATCCAAGACAAGGAATAAGAGGTAGAAGTAAAACAAAGAGGCCCATTAGACCCTCTCTCCTTCCCAAGCTTAAAGAGATTGCATGGAGCTGTGAAGGAAGCTTGGATCTGCTATTATTGTCTCTAATATTCCTTACCACTTAACCACGTGCCTTTCACACACTGGACATGAAACAGAAAACAAAACAAAGAGGCCTTATCTGGTGAACAAAGAAAAGGGCAGGACTTAAGTTACCATGGTGTCCAAAAGCCTAGAACCTCTAACCAGCTGTCTTAATCTTTAATTTAACCAACATACCCATGGGGAAAAAATATAAAAAAGGTTTAAAAACATGGTGTTCCTCACAGCCTAGCATGCTGGAAGAAAGTGAAAACAACTGTTGTACCTGTGAGTGACGTGGTCCACAAGATGCTGTTTGAACAGGAGGCTCCACCTCTTAATAATATTCAGCAGAGATGCCTTAAAGGGTCGAATATCAATTTTCATCCAGCCGTCAAACACCTTGATGGGTTCCAGCCTGCACACCTCTTCATAGAGCGTTTCATAGGAGTCGATTTGCACTTTAAACTGAGAAAGGAGGGGAGGGTTCTCTGGGATGCCATCTTCCACATGGTCTTCAATTTCTTCCGGAGTGAGGATGTGCCCGTACAGCAGAAACTGACCCAGAACCTCCTTCCGGTCCTCCACATAGAGGTACGAATACTGGCTGAAGGTGCTCTGATAGCCACAGCAGAGGCCCATCATTCTCTGGACTCTCTCCATGAGTGTGCGCCGCATGTTTGCCAAATCTGGTATACCGTCCAGGTCGACCTGGGGAAGCGAGACAACGGCAGGCAGGTTACACCAGTGTGTGGCAGGAAGTTCGAGATTCGGCTGGACGGGACACAGTTGGAGGGCAGGATGGCTGCAGCTCCAGTACCTGATAGTGAGGAGAGCCATTTTGTGGGGAAAGCCGTGGCACCAGAGATGGTATCCTAAAAATGCTGGTGATGAGACCCTCAACAATGTCACAGAAACCCCCCTTCACTCCAGACTCCAGAGACGGATAGAAAACTAGCTCTGGGATGGCTAGACTCAGTTGTGCTTCAAATATTGGGGTAAGTCCTGCCTTACACTCTGAAAAACACAGAAAACAAGCAAACAAAACAAAGAGTGGATAAAATGGACAAAGTAGAGGACTGTTTTAAAAGCACCCAGAGCAATGCTTTTCTTTAGATAGGCTGCTAGACTGTAGGGAAACGGAAATGTAAAATTTTGTTTACATCCCATACAATGTGAGGGTGATAGTCTTGCAGTGCTTCTCAATGGGGGAACCACTGACATTTGAATAGGCCCATTCTGCTGCAGGGCTCTCCTGGGTACTGCAGGATATTTACTTTCCTTGTCTTCATGGAGCACATCCTAGTGACTGATCAGCCCAAGCCACTCCCCTTCCACATTCTCAAATGCCTCCTGGGGGACAGTCCAGCCTCTGGTTGAGAAGAGATTGATTGTTTTTTTTTTTTTTTTTTTTTTGAGATGCAGTCTGACTCTGTCACCCAGGCTGGAGTGAAGTGGCACAATCTTGACTCACTGCAACCTCCACCTCCCGGGTTCAAGAGATTCTTCTGCCACAGCCTTCCAAGTAGCTGGGACTACAGGCATGCGACACTATGCCCGGCTAATTTTTGTATTTGTAGTAGAGATAGGGTGTCACCACACTGGCCAGGCTGGTCTCAAACTCCTGACCTCGTGATTCGCCCGCCTTGGCCTCCCAAAGTGCTGAGATTACAGGCATGAGCCACCGCGCCCAGCCAACAAGAGGTTGATTTTTCAAAGCCCATTTCTTGGAAGCAGCTGATTTCTTCCTAGGCACAAGCCATACAATTCCACTTATCACTCTAGGTGAACAGGGGCAGGCTTGTCAACGATGTACAGACATGAACCACAAAGAGAAATTACAATTCTGCCTATTCTGCTCCTTATCCTTTTCTAAGAAATAATTTATTGCTGTGGTCCTGTAGTGATAAAAATTTTAAAAACAGTATGAATAATTAACAAATCCCTGATTACTTACTAGGTCAACTTGCCTTGCTAAATTTAAATCAAAATACAACACAGAGCAAGATGTTCCAGGTACAAGATATATGGTTAAAGTTTTTATCAATAACCACTTATTTTTATATGACTTTTCAATTGTAGTTATATTTAGGAGCCCGTTATGGGCTGGATACTGTGGGTGGCAGAGCCTGTTCACTGAAATCCATCGTTGTCTTCTTCCCTTGAAATAGAGTAATAACTGGGATTTGACCAGATTTCCCAGCCTTGCTTGCAGACAGGTGTGGCAACGAAATTTCCTCACCAGTGGATGTAGGACAACATGATGGTGCCACTTGTGGGCTGGGACTCTTGAGACTGCAGGTGATCCTTCTCTGTACTCAGTCTCCTTCTCCTCTACCAGACTAGAGCCTGGACATGGCAGTGAGTCAGTTCAACCCCAGAAATGAGGACAAGGCCCTGAAGAATGGTGGAGCCATAGGACAGAAGGAACCTGCCCATAAGACTGGAACACTCACCTTTGACTCTTGCTTTCAAGGGTAGACTTCTCTGTCCTTCAAACCATATTGTTGATGGAGTTTTTGTTACCACAGCTTAGCCACTCACCCTAAGTAAAATACTGCAGTATACTCAAAATACGTAAGAATAGGGCCTTGCCTTCAGAACTGGAGGGATGACAAATTCTCATTATTGGACTCAGGACAGTCCCAATATTTAACTTAAGGGAACACAAGATTGGACTCAGGAGAGTCCCAATATTTGACTTAAGGGAACACAAGTTTACCAATAACAAAGTAATTATACTACTATAAGTTTATAAGATGGTATAGTTTATAAAAACTACTATGTTTATAAAATAGTATAGCTTATAAAATCACCTATAATTTGCTTTATATATATACTCATGACATATTCTGCATTAATATACATATTATGTACTTATAAATTAATAGACAAAGTTGCATATAGTTTACGGAATTCAAAAGACTTGACAGAATGTTTTGACTGTATGAGATTTTTGTCCCATATGTTGACATGGGACTGTAATCTCTACATTGGATGTAACGCCAATGTAATTATCATCCAAAGCAGATTGTCCTGGTTCCACAGTGTTGGTGCACGTAAATCATTTTACTAGGTAAGAGGAGGAGGGACATTTCTCTATGGAGTGGGAAGCATATAACCTATGCAGGGTTTGGGTTGAGAGATGACAGGGAAACCAACCCAAGCCTTGGGAATGCCCTCAACAATGTCATAGAAGCCCCTGCTCTGCTCTAGACTCCAAAGGTCAAAGAAGTCTACTCCCCTCCAGGTTAACAGTGCAAGGTGAGTGTTCCAGTTTGGTGGACAGGTTCCTTCCATCCTGTGGCTTTACCATTTTCCAGGGCCTTACCCTCATTTATTGTGGGTTTGACCAGACAAAATGGTAAGGTGGACCTAGGATGACAAAGCCACCCAACTGAGTCACTGCAAGGGGTCACCATGATTTTCTTCTCAGAGGCCCCTTTAGGCTCCTTTACTTCCCCTTAGATAACCAGTGCCTTTCAAATTTTATCTATAGTGCTTCAGATCAGGCAGCTGATAAATTCAGCTCCCACCCGTTCGAAGGAGAATTCGAAGGGCCTCTATATTGTGAAGAAAATGTGTTCCCCTGTCCTCCTATTTCCACAAAGCGAAGGAAACTTTGGTAATCTTGGAGAAAGACTGCCATCTCTTCTCTCCATCCCCTGGTCCCACTCTGTCCTTCCCACAAGTGGACACATGGCACATCGGATAGCCCAGATCAGGAGAACCAGAGAGCCATTGGTCAAGGATGAAGTCATTTAGGCACCACTTCTAGTGCACTGCCTGCACCCAAGTATGGCTGGGGTATCTTCCTAGATTCTCTAGGGAGGGCTTAGTGATGAAGCCCCCTGAACCTCCAGCATTAGAGGAGGCTTGGTCAGTTCACTAAGGTGGACACCACCAGTGCTGGTCCGTAAGAGCCAGTTATCCAGACTTGGTGCCCGTGTTCCATGCCCCATTGGCTTGTTGCTCCCAGGCTCCAGAAGATGATCTCTTACCTTGCTAACTATGCTGGATTTCCTGAGTCCTGTTGTTGATTTCCTTAGTTTGGAGCACCCCTGTATCCTGCAAGCAAAGACCATGCCTAACACCTCAGCCATTCTACCTATCAAGACCATGGGGATGGCCATTGGGGCTACACTCAGTGCTGGGCCTTCCTTCTCTCTGGATTCTCAACGTAGGTGTCTGCATGTAGTCTCTTTTATGGGCTGGATATCTGGACACTGGCCTTGGACTATTTATTTTACATCAGTATTTCATTTCAATCCTTGAGTTCTTAAAAACTCTCATCTTACTTCCATCCTCTGGCTTCAAACTATTTACCTCTGCCTTACCATTTTGACAAATCCTTCTATAGGTTATTTGCTAAGCAACTCAGAATCTGCCAGAATGTGAAGGTTTAATTCGACTTTTAGTCCTGAACTCTTCTGCCCTGTCCATTTCATCATTCACTAGCTAAGGTTAGCCCTTTCTGTATCTTTCACTCTGTGTACCTTACCCCAGTTTATCCACTATAAATTCAAAGCCTTTAATTGTTTTTTAAAAGCTTCAAAGAATGCCCATTGTGTTCTACACATTTCTTTTTCTTCTGAAAATTACCTCCTCCCCTACTTCTTGTGTGACTCTTTCACTCAGAAAAACTTCTGTTTCTTCCATTTAACCTGGCGGACACAATCTCCTTGTGTTCTCAAAAGTCTACAGAGATAAAATACATGAAGCTTGAAGGCACAGAATGTCCCCCACCCATTGCCATAAGTCAAGCTTGGATGAAGCCTTCTGCCTTTATTGCTAACAGTGCTTCCTGCTTCTTAACGTGGTCACTCCTCTTTACTGAAGCTTGATTTAGAGTGAATTCACTTTTATACTTTTGCTATGTGCACCACTGTCTTACAGCCTGGTTTATTATCTAATTTTAAGCGTCAGAAATCTTTTGTCTTTGAACAATTTAGAAGTTCGATACCTTTTCTGTTTTCCTGTGCATCATTCACAAAAGGTCTACAACGTTTTGGGAAAAGTCACAGAGCACTCAGCTGCTCTTCAATATAATTCAACAAATGTTACTGTTGTTATCTTTCCAATAATAACCCACATCCATAAGCCAGTAAGTACCAGTATTTTCCAGAAGATACTTGAGGGAGCACTCAATGGCAAGAAAGAATCCATTCAGCAACAAATTGTCAATAGAGTTAACATAAGTCTTCCAGATATTGGAGGTTGGGTCTGCTGAAAATAGACCCAGGTTTTCCTATAAAAGGAAGAAGAAAGGATATAAACCTCGTTTAATAGCATGAAAGAACTGGTGTAATCAACAGTCAAAATAAAAACAACATATGGAGAAAAAAACTCTCTTGTGGAGAATTTGCTATTACACATGTATCGAATCCACTCTGCCTAATGAGTATTACCATTGACTGAAAGGAAGGCAAAGTTAGTCCATGACGGTAATATAGGGGACAACCTGTCCCTGAGGAAGGAGGATGGGGTTGGCCCAGCTTCTCAGAAGCAATGCTGATGGATGCAATGTGTGTGCTTCCTAAGTGCTGGTTGATATACTGTGGAGGAAGTTGCATCAGGGCAGAAGTGAGGGTAGGCAGAGGAAGGAATTCTAAGGGTAGATAGTATTAAGATTCAAGGTTTAATAAAAATTTCAGGTTCAAAGAAGCAAAGCATTTTCTGGTTAATTCTTAGAAATGAGCTGAAATGTTTTGCAGTTGGCATTCAATCCTACTGAGTGATTTAGAAAATGCACACAAATAAATAAAAAATGTTTCTCTCTCTCTCTCTCTCACTCTCTCTCTCTCTCTCCCCTCCTTCCTCCCCGCCTTCTCTTTTACATGATACACTCTTGACCTATTGGCATCCAAGCATCACCATGGTAACAAAGTTTGGGCTTCAAGGAAAGGAAGCCTAAATGCTCCAGCAATGCCAAGTACAGACATCCCATTTACTCTTTGTCATTTGCAGTATTAACACTTTTTACAGCAACTTTCCAGTTATCTAATATCTTCAGAAAAATCAGGAACTAACTTGCAGACGTAACTTTTCTAGATGATTCATATTTACCTCTTCAGGGTGTATTGCCATGTTATAAATCTCCCTGGATTTAAACAATCTCATGATTCTGCTTTTAGGTAACACAACTCTACAATTTCTAAGATGCAATACCTACACCTTTCTTTCTTAAGTAGACTTAAGATGTTCTTTGTGACTTAAAGTCCATCACCATGCAAATCACAACACAGTGACAAGACAGAGTTTCTCTCGGGTATTAAGATGTGTATGCTTGTTTGCTTCCACATTAAATCACTTCTAGTGTTTATGACTGCTTTGTATAATTGTTCTATCTTCTCTTACTGTCAAGCTATCAATATAATATCTATATCTTTCACCTTTGTTTACTGCCTCAAATCTATTGCGGTCTAAGAAACAAACGTGTTGGAATTTTCTATGAAGTAGGAAGAAATAGTTCAGGTTTCTGATTTTAACCACAACAGCAGAGAGTGAGATTGTACTTGGTCTTCTGCAAACAAACACAGAACTGATTATAATAAAAGAATTAATTGGTTTGGGTAACTGGATAACAGACAGAACAAGAATGTGATCCTTGAAACAAGGGACATACTCAAGGTGAGCCTCACCACCACCTGGCTTTCTACCCAAAGGCCCTTTTCAAACTATGGCATAGGTTAGTGGAGCTTAGTTACAGCATCCCTGCTGATAGGCAGAGAAGACAGAATTTGGAGTTTGGTGCTGCTGTCGGGGCTGGCTCCTCTTGAGTCTGACTGAGGAATCAGCTATATATGTTTAGAGCAAGCCTCTGGTAAAGAATAGTTGCAGAGTGCTCTAAGCTGAATGGAAATTATGTAGGCCATATAGTGTTGGAAGATGTTAGGGTTCTATTAGAAATAATGAAGCAACCTTGCAGATAACCCAGGAATTCAGTTGAGACCCTGGAAACACCATAAGTTAGAGCTGCTCGATTCCAGAGTAAGTCCTCTTTAGACCCTTAAAAAGCGAGCCTCGGGCCGGGCGCGGTGGCTCACGCCTGTAATCCCAGCACTTTGGGAGGCCGAGGCGGGCGGATCACGAGGTCAGGAGATCGAGACCATCCTGGATAAAACGGTGAAACCCCGTCTCTACTAAAAATACAAAAAATTAGCCAGGCATAGTGGCGGGCGCCTGTAGTCCCAGCTACTTGGGAGGCTGAGGCAGGAGAATGGCGTGAACCCGGGAGGCGGAGCTTGCAGTGAGCCGAGATCCCGCCACTGCACTCCAGCCTGGGCGACAGAGCGAGACTCCGTCTCAAAAAAAAAAAAAAAAAAAAAAAAAAGCGAGCCTCAACAGGATCAAGGTGATCCATCAGCAAATTAGTGGACTGCCAAAACAAAAATCAAACTCTTTAAAGGAAAAAAATCCAGATTCTCAAGTGGCATTCAAGTGGCCTCCAACATGTCTAGCACATAATAAAAAAATTACTAGACATACAAACAAGCAGAAAAAGGTGCCATTTAACCAGGAGAGAAAACAGTCACTAAAAACAGATTCAGAAAATAATCTGGGTAGGTCTCTGATTTCATAATTGTCATTCTAATCCCAGAAAGCCTATTCATTAAACCTATTTTATGTGAGAGAAAATTAAACTTCTGTCTCATTAAAAAAGAGAAAAGAAATAGACTCAGAAAATAACACAGATATTGAAATTAGTAGATAAGAATATCATAATTTCACAAAATTTAGTGAAAAAGAATTTCAAGAAACTTACAAACTCCAAGCATGAAGAACACAATGACGACCAACTTGGGAATATTATCACTGTGCTGAAAAAATATCAAAGATTAAAAAAGAATCTAGTAAAAGCAGCCTGAGATAAATAATACATTACATATAGAGAAACAAAGATTCAAATTATGACTGACTTCTTATAAGAAACATTGGAGGGTAGGTGATAATGAAATAACTTCCAAAAGAAAGCAAAACTATAAACACAATTGTGTACCAAATGAAACTGTCCTTTAAAAACAAAGATGAAATAAGGACATTTTTAGATAAACAAAGACTGAGAGAATATGTCATAAGCAGACCTGAACTTGAAGAAGTAGTAAATAAATTTCTTCAGGCTGAAGAGAAATAATCCCAGATGGTAATTTATATCTATAAAAGGGAATAACAAGCCTGAAGATGATGAGTATGTGAGTAAATATAAAACACTGTAAATATTTTTTCTTAAATTTTAAAAGTAAAAACTATAACACTGCATTGTGGGGCTCAATATGCATATTAATAGATACCATATATTTTACTATTAATATATATTATGTGTGTGTGCATATATATAAATATCTCACACAACAGCAGTATAAAAAATAGGTGAGAGGTTAAATTACACCACACTTTTGCAAGGTTTCTGTAGGAAAAGTCTAAGTAGATTGTGATAAGCTGAAGATGCATACTGAAACCTAGAACAACCACTAGAATTGTAATGCAACAAGGTAAAGCTGAAATGCCAATTGAGAAATTAAAATAGAATACTAAAAAATATACAGTTACCCAAAAAGCAGGTGACAATGGAAGAGCAGAGGAACAAGAAAGCAATGAAGCAAATAGAAAACAAAAAGCAAAATTTAGTAGAGCTAAATTCAACCATACAAATGCTTACATTAAATGTAAACAGTCTATGCATTCCAATTAATAGGCAGAGTTGTTAGACTTAAAAAAATAAATTTGTATTATATGCCGACTATTAAGACAAGAAATTTCAATCCAAGAAACAAATAGGTTGAAGGTAAAATGATGGGAAAAGATGCAAAATACAAAAAGTAAGAATAATGAATCAGATAGGAAAGGCTATATTATTATCAGAAAAAAATAGATTTCAAAACAAGAGGGTATTTTTAGAAATAAAAAGGGAATTTCATAATGATAAAATGGTCAATTAATCAGGAAGTTGTAATAATTATAAATGTGCTAAAATGTTACACATTTATAATTATAAATGTGAAATTTATAGTTATTATAACAGAACTTAACAGAACTTCAAACACATGACAAAAAAATTTAACAGAACTAAAATTGAAATAGACAAATCCAAAATTGTAAGTGGAGATTTTAACACTCTACCTTCAATAATTGATAGAACAAGTAGCCTGTAAAAGATCACAACAATGCTATCAATTGCTTTGAACTAATTTATATTTATAGAACACTACCCCCAACAAAAGAAGAATAAACATTATTATCAAGTCTCCAAGGAACACTCAGTAAGATAGACTATATTCTGGGTCATGAAACAAGTCTCAGAAAATTCCCAAAGACTGAAAGCTTACAGAGTATCTTCTCTGAGCACAATAGAATTAAATTAGATATCAATTTTTAAAGATATCCAGAGAAGCTCTGAATATATGGAAATTAAACAACAAACTTCAAAGTGACCATTGAGTAAAATAAGTTATAACAAGAGCTGGGCATGGTAGTTCACACCTGTAATCCCAGCAGTTTGAGAGGTCAAGGCAGGTGGATCATTTGAGACCAGGAGTTCCAGACCAGCCTGGCCAACAGGGCAAAACCTCATCTCTACTAAAAATTCAAAAATTAGCTGGGTATGGTGGCACATCCCTATAATCCCAGCCATTTGGGAGGCTGAAGCACAAGAATCGCTTGAGCCTGGGAAGCGCAGGTTGCAGTAAGTTGAGACAGTACCTCTGCACTCCAGCCTAGGGGACAGAGCAAGACTCTGTCTCAAAAAAAAAAAAAAAAAAAAAGAAACATTTAAAACTGAATAACAATGCAAATGAGGTAGATCAAATTTGTAGAATGAAACTAAAGCACTACTAAAAGGGTAACTAGTATCACCATCAGCCCATATTCAAGAGAAAGGCTTAAAATCAAGACCCTAAGTTTATACCCTAACAGGCTAAAAACAGATAAGCAACTAACCCTAAAGTAACTTGAATGAAATACTAAAAAACATAAATTAATAAACTAGAAAATAGATGAATAGAGAAAATTAGCAAAATCAAAATTTGGTTCTTTGAAAGGATTTATAAAATTAAGAAAAAGAAAAAATCTCTAGCAAAACCGACCAAGGAAAACAAGTCACAAATTGCCAATATTAGGAATGAAAAAGGATGCAGCACTACAGATCCCATAGACACATAATGTTGGGGTAATCAGACCAAACACCAGGTCGTGGGGGCTACGAAGTCCAGCAGAATCAAAGGAATGAGATAAGACAAGTTAAGAGTACATAGGGTGGGCCCAGGGGGCCAACGCCAGTTTGGAGGCTGTGAAGGCCCCGAGCTCTGGGAGCCCACACTATTTACTGGTAATCAAACAAAGAAGCAGGTGGTGAGGACGTGCTGATGTAGGGGTAGAAAGATGAGGATGTGAGGATAGAAAGGTAGTGGTGCATCAAGCGTAGCTGTGACGGTTTAGCATATGCTCTGCTACTTGAGATAAGGGAAAACAGGTTCTTCTAATTCAAGATACAATGAATTTATGATCTTGGGAGAGCAAGGAGCAAGGGGCCAGTGAGTCTGGACACATTCCAGAGGCTACAAGGGGTTTTATGCCCTGATGCCTGGGTTCTCTCCCAGCCACAAGGGGTTTTATGCCCTGGGCTTAGATTGCAGTGCAGCAGGGCAGCCTTCCACCCTTTGGCACAGAGCTTGGTGTTCCATAGGCCACAAGGGGTTTTAGACCCTGGAAGCAGGACATGTTCCAAGACTCTTTTACATTATGTCAGACAAGCAAGCCCTGCCTCAGCTCTTCTGCCAACACATAATGATAATAAGAAATAATTATGAACAATTTTTTTTGCCAGTAAGTTTTATAACTTAGATAAAATGAAAACGTTTGTAGAAAAAGCAACTTGCAAAAACTAATAAAGGTGTTAGGCAAAAAATCTAAATAGTCTTTCATCTATCTAAGAAATAATTATCAAACACTTTCCCCAGAAGAAACATCCATATCCAGAAGTATTCCCTGGTGAATTCTATCACATATTTAAGGTTGAGTTAAGACCAACCTTCCACAAACTTTTTCAGAAAATAAAAGAGGAAATACTTCCCAACTCATTTTATGAGGCTAGCATAATCTTAACACCGAAACAAGAACATCAAAAGAAAATAAAAGTAGAAGATAAATGTCATTCTTAAACACACGTACAAAAATCTTTTAAAATTATCAGAGCAAATACTATAATACATGAAAAGATTAATATGACATGATCGAATGCATTTATCTCAGAAATGCAAATTTGGGTTTAACATTTGAAAAAAAAAGAACAAAGTGCCCATTAACAGAAAAAAGGAGTAAAATTATATAACCACCTCAGGAGATGCAGAGAAATCATGTGATAAAATTCGATGTTTAATCATGATGAAACTCTTTTAGTCAACTAGGAATAAAAGGGGTCTTCCTGGGTCTGACAAAGAACATCCATGAAACCCTACAGCTAAAAATTTAATGGTGAATTACCAAATGTGTCTCCATATAATTGGAAATGAGGCGAGCATTTCTACTCTCACCACTTCAACGTTATACTGAAGGTTCTAGCCAGAGCAATAAGGCCAAAAAGAAAAAAAAAGACATAAAAAATTGGAAATAAAGAGGTAATATTGTCTCTATTTGCAAATGACTTATTTACATAGATCATCATCCTAAATTTACAAAGCAATTACTACATCTAATAAATTTAGAAAGATCACGGAATATAATATCAAAATGTAAAAATCAATGATGCTTGTATACACTACCTGATAGTAATTGGAAAATGAAATTAATAAAACAATTCCATTTGTTGTAGAACTGCAAACATAAAAAACTTGGTGCTAGATTTAATGGAAAATGTGTGAGACTTCTACACTAAAACTACAAAGCATTGCAGAGAAAAATTAGAGACTTAACTAAGTGAAGAGATATGCCGGGTTCATAAACTGCTATATTCAATATTGTTAAGGTCTTTATTTTCCTCAAATTAATCTACAGATTTAATGTAATCTCAATCAAAATCACATCTAGCCTTTTTCCCCCTAGAAATTGGCAGGCTGAATCTAAAACTTATGTGGATATGTAAAGAACTTATACTAGTCAAAATGACCTTGAAAAGGAAAAACTGAATTGCAGGACATATAGAACCTGATTTTCAGACTTACTGATAATCAATTTTCTCTTGATCAATAATCAAGAACAAGTGGCATTGGTATTTTCCACCATATATATTTTTTATTAATATTTTATACAATTAATCAATTTTCAACAAAGGTGCCAAAAAATTCAAAAGGGAAAGTTATTTTTAATAGTATGGGAACAATCAGATGTTACTATGGAAAACAATGAACTCAATTCCTGTAACCTCCTAAACAAAAATTAATTCAAGACAGATAATACTCCTGAATAAAAAAGTTAAAACTGTAAAACTTCTAAAAGAAAAAAAATAAAAGATATCTTTGCAATCTTTGGAGTAAATAGTTTCCTTAGGACTCAAAAGTACTAACCACAAGAGGAGAAAAGGGAAATCACACAACATGAAAATTTAAAACTATTTCTCATCAACATATATCAATAAGAATATAAGTAAACCACCAATTTGGAGAAGATATTCACAACACACATATCTGTCAAAAGATGTGTAACCAGAAGCTGTAAACGATTGCTAGAACTATAAACCATCCAATTTAAAATGAGAAAAACACTTAGACACTTTATAGAGGAATTCATATAATTGGCCAATCAGCATATGAAAAAATATTCAAAAGTATAAATCTTCAGGGAAAGACAAATTAAAATTTCAGTGAGATACAAAAACACACTGACTAAAATGGTAAAAATTTAAAAGACCACAACATAAACCCACAATTTGGTGAAGAAGTAGAGCAACTGAACTTTATTACACTGCCACTGGGAGTATAAACTACACAATCACTTTTGAAAACTGCTGGGCTATTACTTACACACATTAAACATATGCCTACTGATGACCCTGCAGTTCTCAAGAGAAATGAAAACATATGTCCATGGAATAACTTATATCAGACTGTACATACAAGCTTTATTTATAATAGTCTGAAACTAGAAATAACTCAAAGACCATCATCAGGGGACTGGATGAATTCTGTTATATTCATACAATGGAATTCTAGCAATAAAAAGAATTAGACTCGAAATAAATGCAACAATATGGATAAATCTCAATAACACTAGGCTAAGTTTTAAAAAGGCAGACACAAAAGAGAACTTGCTACGTAATTCCATTTATAGGAAAAGACAAATCTACTCTATATTGACAAAAAGCTGATCAGTGATTGAGGCTCGCAGGAGAATGGGGATGTATTGACTGGAAAGAGGGACAGGTGAACTTTCTAGGGTAATAGCAAACGTTCTGTATTGTGGTAGTTACCTGAGTGTATACATTTGTAAAAACTCACTGAGCTCTATGTATACTTTTTGTCTGTACGTTGTACTGCATGTATATTATACTACAACTTTAATAAATGAATAACCAACTGTACCCAAATATCCAACAGTGGGATGAGTTAGTCAAATCCTGGTGCATCCACACAATTAAACGTTACGCATGATATCATAGAAGATAATTAGTGACATAGACAGTTATTGGGTACACTGTTTTAAAAATCTAGTTATAGCAAATCAGCAAGAAAAGAACAAACAATCCCATCAAAAAGTGGGCTAAAGATGCGAATAGACAATTCTCAAAAGAAGATAAACAAATGGCCAACAAATATATGAAAAAATTCTCAACATCACTAATGATCAGGGAAATGCAAATCAAAACCACAATGCAATACCACCTCACTCCTGCATGAATGGCCATAACCAAACAAATAAAAGAAATAGATGTTGGCGTGGATGTGATGAAAAGGGAACACTTTTACACTGCTGATGGGAATGTAAACTAGCACAACCACTATGAAAAACACTGTGGAGATTCCTGAAAGAACTAAAAGTACAACTACCATTTGACCCAGCAATCCCACTACTGGGTATCTACCTGGAGAAAAAGAAGTCATTATATGAAAAAGATACTGGGCACAGGCCCGTTTATAGCAGTACAATTTGCAATTGCAAAAATATGGAACCAGCCCAAATGCCTATCAGTCAATGAGTGGATAAAGAAATTGTGATATGTATATGTATGTGTGTGTGTATGTGTGTGTGTGTATATATATGTATATATATATATATATCCCACCCTTTCCTCTGAGTCCCCAAAGTCCATTGTATCATTCTTATGCCTTTGCCTCCTCATAGTTTAGCTCCCACTTATGAGTGAGAACATACAATGTTTGGTTTTCCATTCCTGAGTTACTTCACTTAGAATAATGGTCTCCAATTCCATCCAGGTTGCTGCAAATACCATTATTTCATTCCTTTTCATGGCTGAGTAGCATTCCATGGTGTGTGTGTGTGTGTCTATGTATATACATGGTGTGTGTGTGTGTGTATATATATATACATGGGGACTGTAGCTCTGCATTTATCCAATATATTACACAACCTCCAGGGTAGTCATAAAGGTCCCTTAGGTCAAATACAAAACTTAGTAATTAGGCCTTAAATAATGTTTGCCTTTTGATAATTTAAATATTTTTAGACAAAAACCACTGAACAGAAGCTCCATGAACAGAAGAAATTTTTATCTTTTTCTCTAAATTTTTATCTTTTATCTAGTTCTACACACACACACACACACACACACACACACACACCATGGAATGCTACTCAGCCATGAAAAGGAATGAAATAATGGCATTTGCAGCAACCTGGATGGACTTGGAGACCATTATTCTAAGTGAAGTAACTCAGGAATGGAAAACCAAACGTTGTATGTTCTCACTCATAAGTGGGAGCTAAACTATGAGGAGGCAAAGGCATAAGGAGGATACAATGGACTTTGGGGACTCGGAGGAAAGGGTGGGAGGTGGGGGAGGGTAAAAGACTACACACTGGGTACAGTGTACACTGCTTGGGTGATGGGTGCCTATGTACCAATTAGCAGAAAAAGATAAAAATGTCTTCTGTTCGTGGAGCTTCTGTTCAGTGGTTTTTGTCTAAAAATATTTAAATTATCAAAAGGCAAACATTATTTAAGGCCTAATTACTAAGTTTTGTATTTGACCTGAGGGACCTTTATGACTACCCTGGAGGTTGTGTAATATATTGGATAAATGCAGAGCTACAGTCAGACAGCTCTGCTTCCTATTAACTGGGCAGCTACAGACAATTAATTTAGCCTGTCTGTGCCTTCGTTTTCTTATCAATAAAATGATAATGAAAGTATCTGATTTTCATGAGAATTACATGAAATGGACAATGCTTAGGACAGTGCCTGGCACTGTATGGTAGTGTATAGTAGATACTAGATAAATATCAACTACTATTATTGTGTTATAGTAAGAATTATTATTAAAGTGTCTGAACTTTTAGAGACTCTTGTGATAAGTATTTTGGCTTGTGGCCATTTTTGGTTATTTCCTGGTTGACCCCTGGATAATTAAAATGTTACAATATGTACTTTTTTCTAGGTCACTGTGCTTGTCTCACTGATTTTGTGATTTGTCTGAATTTTTTCTCATTCTGACTTTCAAGAGCATGGATTTGAGCATTTGTCATCACATAGATAGGTGATACATCAATAGATAGATACATAGACGATAGATGGATGATAGATCGATTTTAAACTTTTTTTTTTTTTTTTTTTTTTTGAGACGGAGTCTCGCTCTGTGGCCCAGGCTGGAGTGCAGTGGCGCAATCTCGGCTCACTGCAAGCTCCGCCTCCCGGGTTCACGCCATTCTCCTGCCTCAGCCTCCCGAGTAGCTGGGACTACAGGCGCCCGCCATCACGCCCGGCTAATTTTTTTGTATTTTTAGTAGAGACGGGGTTTCACCGTGTTAGCCAGGATGGTCTCGATCTCCTGACCTCGTGATCCGCCCGCCTCGGCCTCCCAAAGTGCTGGGATTACAAGCGTGAGCCACCGCGCCCGGCCTAGATCGATTTTAAACTTTTAAAATCTTAAGTAATTCCTTTTTTTGCTTGATGGTTTTCTTCTACCTCAAAGCGGGGACTATATCTTACATTTTCTTGGTATTCGATACAGTGCCCAGGATAGCTATGGAAATACAGCTGATGGATGGATGGGTGAATGAGTGGATGAATGAACAGTTGGATGAAAGAAAGACGAATGAAAAGCAGATGGCTGGGTTCTACAACAGCTGCTGATTTACTGGATGTGGGGACAGAAGGGGTTAAAAATTAAATCAACTTGAGGGACTCTTCAACTTGAGCAGCTCTTTACTCTCAAAGATAAAATTGGGATAATTATCTTAATTCTGGTAATCATTAGTGCTTAAGGCTCAACATTTTTATTGTGCTTCAAACCACAGAAAATCCACAGATAACAACTGTGATTCACTTGTGACTTTCCACAGGAGTCAACTTGTCAGACATGGCCCTATAGCTACTTGCGTAGGGCTGGAGCTGGTGGCCATTTATAATCCTTTCCCATTGTTCACAAGGAAGCTTCAGTCTTTGATGATGGGACGTAAAGTTTCCCTGACCACTAATGCAGGGCAGAGCTTTACAGCATGAAGTGTAGCACTCTGCATTTTTTCCTCTTATCACACACAGTTAGGGATACCACGGTAGTCTTTCATTTCTTTAGGCTCTACGGAGCCGGGTTATAAGGATGATGCTGGAGGACCACAATATGTTGTGTGGGCAAGCCGGGATGGGGATGGTTACTGCAGTGGATAATTTGGAATTTTGCCCTTGTCATCTTCTTCTGTTCCCTTGGGGGTAGGTGTGAGACCGAAGTCATGTGACAATTAAATGTTGTCACCATGAAGATAGTAATAATTTCAACACATTGATACCAAAATGCAACTTTTCATTTGCCCAGTCTATCAGCTTTAGTCTTTTGCTATCAGCCTAAACTTCTATCCTTGTCTTCGGAAGACACTGCACTTACTGACTGTCCTAATCACTTATTCATCCAAACACACTTTTTGATGCTTTCCCTAAACTCGTAGTATGTGCGCCTGAGTGGCTGGGTTATTACCTGAACAAGGGCGTGGATCTTAAGGCCAGATTCCTTGATGAGATTGTAATATTTTTCCATTCGATCATGCCGATCATCCAGAGAAAGAAGGGATTCCCTTTTTCCATCTTTTGTCTTAAATATTGGAGTCACCCATGTTTTCATGATGTTTTGGATCTCTTCCACATTGTCTTTAGTTTTCTGAATTCTTTGTTCAAGATCATGAATACTACTGGTGATTTCAGTGACATAATCGCAAATGCCTGTTCCCCAAAAGAAACATAATTAATTGAAATAGCCTGCAGTGGCATAGCTAAAGGGCTAGTTGCTATGAAAGACAGGGATTTAATACTTGCGAGTGTTATAAGACTTTTCTACACAGGTAACTTCATTATCGTCAGAATATTCTCCCTCCTAGTTGTATTAAAAAGCCAACCCTGGCCGGGCACGGTGGGTCACGCCTGTAATCCCAGCACTTTGGGAGGCCGAGGTGGGCGGATCACGAGGTCAGGAGATCGAGACCATCCTGGCTAACACGGTGAAACCCTGTCTCTACTAAAAATACAAAAAATTAGCTGGGTGGGGTGGTGGGTGCCTGTAGTCCCAGCTACTCGGGAGGCTGAGGCAGGAGAATGGCGTGAACCCGGGAGGCAGAGCTTGCAGTGAGCCGAGATTGTGCCACTGCACTCCAGCCTGGGTGACAGAGCGAGACTCTGTCTCAAAAAAAAAAAAAAAAAAAAAAAGCCTACCCTTACCATAATCCTGATTATGGAGGAAGAGAAAGAGGTAATGCTTACTTACCAAGCACACAAAAGCTGGTACAGCTGCTAGGGAATGCAATCTTATATCCAAACACCAGTGAGACTTGATGACCTTATTTGGGTTAATCTTTCTTTTAATGTTTTAAGCACTTTCATCATGTTAAATTTTGAAAATGTCTTTTCCTCTTGTATATGAAATAAAGTTCTAACTTGTTTAATATGGCATTCTAAGACTTTCATGAATCAACTATAATCTTTTTTTTTCAAACTTTAACACTTCTGAGGACCCTAATTCGAATTAATCTCCCTCTCCTGTGATTCCCTCCTGTGAATCCCTCTCCTGCTATTCATCACACTTCATTTTTACCTCTATGATGGCTTTTCATGAAAGTCATCATATGGCTCTGTATAAGTTATGTTGTATATCTGTCTGTTGTCCCCACTAAATGTGAGCTCTTTGAGGGTAGAGACCATGTCCCATACACCTCAAATCTAATTTGTCACACAGTACCCTGCGCGTATTAATCAGCCAATGAAAGTGTATTGAATTGAGAGATACCAGAGAAGTCAATGCATACTGCTTTAAGATGCTTACAATCTAGTTAAGAAAATTAAATAACAAAGATAATATAGTAAGAGCTGTCACTCATGGAGCACCCAATATATGCTGGAGACTGTAGGAGATCTTATGCAACTTCTGAGCCTCCCAACATGCATGGCAACAAGGTTTTCTAAATTTATCAACTATATCCATAGAAAAGGAAAAAAAGGAATACCAACCCTTCTTGCCTTCTCTGCTTGGATATGTGTCAAAGGAGAAGACAGACTTATGTTTCAACCCCAAATAAGATTACCAGGGAATAATTGGAGGTTCTATGAACTTTATTAGATCCTCGAATCTCCATGTTTTTGTCAGACTTCAGATGGTGCCCTGTTACCTTCTGTTTTCCAGTTCAAAGTCTCCTCTGCTGCTCTGAGGCGGAGATCAATATTTTGCAGCTCTTCCTCCACTAATGGAAATTCCACCTCCAGCAGAGTTTTCATAACCTTGTTGTACCAATTTGCCATCAACTCTAAATTAGCCACAAGCTGCCGATAGAAATCCCTGGAGGAGAACATGGCTGCTGCTGTCTCAGGCATGTGTTTCATCTCTCTGGGTTCAAGATAGCTCATTTCTTTCAGCACTGAAATCAGCTGGAGAAAAGAAGCAACACAAGTGTCTGTCGTTCAGTGATAATGAATAATCTGCAGCATTGGTCAAAGACTGGACAATCCCAGGAGGCCCAAAGATCTTCTGGGTCTTTTCTTAAGTTCTGCTCCTATCAGTTTCTTAAATCTAGTCTCAGAAAAGGAAAATCAAGTATCAGGCAGAAGGAAGATGTCTCGGAAAGAAACAAGGCTCCTAAATCTATACATCATAAAGAAGAGGAAAACCTGAGAACAGAGACAAGTGTGATAGCAGGGGAGGGCTCTGCCTTCTGTGCTTTGGACAATGTGGCTGCGGAAATGATGGGCTCATAGGGGCCCAGCCAGTTCCCATCCAAGGGTGGTGGCCTAAAGGAGGAGAATCATCTGGCCTGGGCTACCAACATTCATGAGAAGCCTCAAGTTCAGACTTCTGGCATTCTCTCCAAATGAAACAGTTATAGCGAGACACTGGCAGGATTGAGAGGAGGTGCCCATAATAAAACTTTAGTTATTCAATGTAATCATTTGGAATATCCCACAACTTCTGTAACTCTCTGCTGGCATTTCCTTGTGTCTTAACATGCTAGGGGTTCAGGAAATGGAACTCATCCAGGCTGCGTTGAACTTCTGTGGGGTCCCAAATTCAGCAGCAACTGAAGAAGTGAGAAGCCAAGGAGAAAGATTTGTCCAATGAAACAGGGTTTCCAGGCACTCTCTTCTTCATCCTTCCTTATTTATTGATGTTTCTGTCTGAACCCATGAGGACTGATGGGCATAGGTACAAGTGATGAACAGATGGCCCCAGGTTCTCCCTATCTCCCCCTCATATGAAGACACCTGGCTCCTAGCTCTCCTTCCAGTACTCTGGGTCAATTCTTTATTGCTAGTGGGCAAACCCTACTCAGCATTCAGACAAATGCTAACCATTTTGTGGGGAAATGGACTCAGTCTTCTAGTTCTAGCTCAAGATAGATATTAATAATTTAACTGTAAAAAGTGAAAAGAAAATAATTAAAAGAAAGATGTGGGGCTATTAATATAATAGGGAAGTAGAGAAAGTCATTCCAAACATAAAACCACAAAACATAAAAACTTTTGCGCATAAAATATCAACATAAAATGGCCAACATATTTGGCCATTTAAACTGGCAAAATTTTTGGAGCAGATTTCTTAGTATCTGTCACATATTTCCTAAGTATCCTAACAAATTCACAGGAAGAGAGGGTACTTCCACTAGCAAGTGGGCAAAGGACATGAACAAGCAATTCAAAGAAGAATAAATATACATGAGTAATGAATATATGATAAAAATTCACATTTACTAGTAATCAAATACATGCAAATTGAACAACATTGAGTTTTTTTCTTTTAGTTCAACAGTCTGGAAACTATTTGAAGAAATGAACAGTATCTTGTTGGCAGGAAAATGACTGAGTTTCATCTTTCTAAAGAACAAGTTGATAATATACATGAAAAGTCTCAAAATGTGAATGCCCGTTAGCCCAGAAATTCCATTTCTGGACTTTTATCCTAAAGAAATAATCAGGAATGCATACAATCAAAACTAGGGATATTTGTTGTAGCATTATTTATACCATGCTTTATCCAGTTTAAGATGTCATCAATTGTAAGATTCACTATTATTTTATACGCAACAAAAGAAAAAACAAAAACATGCAGTCTATTAAACTAAAAACATGCCAATTTCAGAGATATAAATATGTAAAAAGATGCCTCCTAGAATCAATGAAATATAGACTGATGAAACTGTAAAATGATGTAAATGCCCAACAATAAGACATTTAAATAATTTAAATGATTTACATAAATTTGAAAAACTTAACCTATACAATTCTTATCCTGTCCCCAGAGGGGCAAATTTCTGATCATGTCCCTCTAGACTAATAAGATAAGTGTGTTACTGTTCATTCTTTTTTTTTTTTTTTGAGATGGAGTTTCGCTCTTGTTGCCTAGGCTGGAGTGCAATGGCGCAATCTCGGCTCACTGCAACCACTGCCTCCTAGGTTCAAGCAATTCTCCTGCCTCAGCCTCCTGAGTAGCTGGGATTACAGGCATGTGCCACTACGCCTGGCTAATTTTTTGTATTTTTAGTAGAGATGGGGTTTCTCCATGTCAGTCAGGCTCGTCTTGAACTCCTGACCTCAGGTGATCCACTCACCTCAGCCTCCCAAAGTCCTGGGATTATAGGTGTGAGCCACCACGCCCGGCCCTGTTCATTCTTAATAGCCCAGCTTTGGCCACATTGCTTGAAGTTGTATGTCAAGGTGTGATGGTGTTCTTCTTTGACTTGTTAAGCTTGTAGTTGTCCCCCATCAACTCACATTATAGTTTAGGTATTAATATTTATCCCTACCCCCCTTTTTCTTCTTTCCTCCCTCCTTTCCCTTCTATGGCCTGCAAACATCTATAAAGTGTGCCCTATGTGTTACACATTAAGGCAGATAAGGTCCTTGTCCTTGGAGTATACAGAGGCTGGTCCATCTTCAATACATGACCAAGTATGGTTATATACCAAGGACTTAATTACTATATAGTAATATATCTTATACTGAGGACTTATCTCAAGGGCTTAATTACTATATTACAACATGGAAACTGTGGCCTACTTGGTAATCCAGATATTCATCTCTTTAGGCATTTAATATTCAATATTGCTCACAGTGAATGCCAATGAAATTGATCCAAGGAGTTCAGTAAGTTAAACAGACTCACGTCTTGCCAAAGTGAAGACATGAATTCTCTATATTCCTTGTTGACTTTGATTGCAGAGGAGGAAGCAATGTTCTACTTAAATTGCAATTTTCTTGAAAGACACCAATATGCTATCAGCTTGGTTTTCAGCTCAATCTATAGTGCATTCCTGGAGCATACGCCATCAAGGCAGATGTAGGTGACTGCTTTTAGCTTAGTGTGACCAATACAGTTTTTTTCAACCTGAGTAATATTATTTTTGAAACCAACTAACCTTTAGTTATCATTTTTCTCCAGCATTAAACTTTCTGTGGCTGCTACGGTCCCCACTGGTCTTCCATCCTTCTGATCATCTAAAACAGTTTCTCAACCTCAGCACTATTCACATTTTTGACAAGTAACTCTGTGGTGGTACACAGTCCTGTGCATTGCAAGAAGTTTAGCAGTATCCCTGCTATCTATCCACTAAATGCCATTGGCACTCCCGCCTAGTTTGACAAACAAAAATGTTTCCAGGAGGACAAAATCACCACCAGTTGAGAACCACTAATCTAGAGTCTTATTTCCAAAGCCACTCCTCTGGGATTTACCATATGCCATCTAGTGAAGATAAAATTTTGCATGTTAAGGTTGTGACCCCCAACTAGACCGTGGGTTCCTTGAGGGCAGGAGCCAAGTCTTATATGCACTTGGTTGGCCCTCCAGCATCTAGTCAATGGCCTTCAGACATGGTAAGTTCAAGGTAGGCCCAGTGGGCTATGTTTGTTACCAAATGATTGGTGATCTTTTGTAGTACTTCCTGTTGTGCAAAATTGAAGCAAATATATTGAGCAACCCTAGTGAAAAATGTGAACATGGACAACTTAATAAAACACTACACCCCAGAATTCATCCCAAAAAAGAAATCCAGGGTACAAATTATTTTGAGAATCTTTTGCATGTTCTTATAAAAAGTCTTTGTGCTGGGAGGCTGAGGTAGGAGAATCACTTGAACCCAGGAGGTAGGGGTTGTAGTGAGCTGAGATCGCGCCACTGCACTCCAGCCTGGGCGACAAGAGTGAAACTCCGTCTCAAAAAAATAAAAGTCTTTACGCTTTTGAAATCAGCAGAGTTCAAAGAAACTCTTCAGGAACCCAAAAGAGAGCTACTGTCAGCCAACTGACCTGTGGGTTAAAGTTGATAGTGATCTCCTTCGTCTCTGGGTCACGTTTTAGAAGTGGTTGGGAAAGATTGTACTGTGACTTCTCTGATACTGTCCGGCACCAATCCTCATAAAGTCTTGTCTCATACCTGCAAGGGTCAGAGACAACAGCCACCTCATAAGCCCCCTCCCAGCTCACCGGTGCCTGGTCATGATCTGTAACATAAATTGAAGATACTACTAGTCATTGACCCAACCAGGCTGGGTCAGCTTCTGAGAGTAACCACAAATTTCTTTCTTTCTTTTTGAGACAGAGTTTCGCTCTTGTTGCCCATGCTGGAGTGCAATGATGTGATCTCGGCTCACTGCAACCTCTGCCTCCCGGGTTCAAGTGATTCTCCTGCCTCAGCCTCCCAAGTAGCTGGGATTACAGGCATGTGCCACCACGCCTGGCTAATTTTGTATTTTTAATAGAAATGGGGTTTCTCTGTGTTGTTCAGGCTGGTCTCGAGCTCCCGACCTCAGGTGATCTGCCCGCCTTGGCCTCCTAAAGTGCTGGGATTACACGCTTGAGCCACTGCACCCGGCCATAGCCACAGATTTCTAAAGGTAGCATTGCTTAAATCAGAGAAGAGGAGAAAGACCCCATGAGATCTTTTGAGGGGATAAGGAAGTTGTGATTAGTCTCAGTAAATGTTGCAAGAAGTTACTGGGGAAGATTCGCTCTCACACTAATCTTTACGTAGCTCATGGACGTTCATCATTCAGTCATGACACACTGACCAAGCACCTACCATGTGCTGGACTTCGGGGATACAAATGATGGATGAGTACCTGACAGTAAAGGCAGTTAATGGTGGGGATCGCAGGCCAACAGATCACCCTGACACAGTGCAGCAACTGCAATCCTAAAGAAATGTACAGCTGTAATCCCAGCACTTCAGGAGGCCGAGGCAAGTGGATCATCTGAGGTTGGGAGTTTGAGACCAGCCTGACCAACATGGAGAAACCCCGTCTCTACTCAAAATACAAAAAAAAAATTAGCCAGGCGTGGTGGCTCACACCTGTAATCCCAGCACTTTAGGAGGCCACGGCAGGCAGATCACAAGGTCAGGAGATCGAGACAATCCTGGCTAACACGGTAAAACCCTGTCTCTACAAAAAATACAAAAAATTAGCCGGGTGTGGTGGTGGGCACCTGTAGTCCCAGCTACTCGGGTGGCTGAGGCAGAAGAATGGCGTGAACCCGGGAGGCGGAGCTTGCAGTGAGTCGAGATTGTGCCACTGCACTCCAATCTGGGCGACAGAGCAAGACTCCGTCTCAAAAAAAAAAAAAAAAAAGAAAAAGAAAAAGAGAAATGTACAGGACATCAGGCACCTAATAGCAGAGGTGGAAGGCTGGGGATGATAAGGAGAATGTCAGGGAAGGTTTCATAGGAGAGGTGATGAAGGGATGCTTGCTTGGGTCTCAGAGGATGGCCAGAGGTTGGGTGGCAAAGGGAGAGTGAGCATTCCTGGTGTAGCCAAAGGGTAGAGGTGAGAAACAGCATGCTTGAAACTGTGTGCTTGAAACAAGGACTACAGAGCATGGCAGAGGCTGGAGGTGGTGACGAGGAGGCAAAAACCACCTCAAGGAAGACTTTTCATGTCATGTTAAGGAGGCTGTGAGAACCACCGCAAGGCCTCCCAGCTGGTGGTGGCTATGGTGACATTATTGGATTTGGTAACAATGTGGGTACTGAGGGGAACAGATCTGGAGGCAGCAAGGACTGTTAGGAAGCCACTGCAGCAGTTCAGCCTGGAGAAGTTCCAGTCTCTTGTGAAGACACTGGTGGTGGAGACAAAGAGGAGTGGATGGACTTGAAGTTATTTTAGAGGTAAAAGGGGTGGAATGTGTGTTACTTGCCAGGTAGAGGTGCTGTTAATTAATCTGTCTGGAACAATGCTAAGCATAATCACAATTATAATCTCAACGGCCACCATTCTTCCCTCCTGAACCAGGAGAAAGAACAAATGGCAGAAGGAGAAATCAAGACAATGGCTGTTTCTAGACCCTAAGCCCTGGAAAGACTTATTCAGCTTTAAAGCAGTTACAACTTTGAAGTCATATAAAATTTTCACTCTTATGCTTTCTCAATAAAATGATGCAGGAAGTACTTTTTAAAACTTATTGCCTCTTTGTGCAGCATGCACTGTTGCTTTCTGCTGAGTAAGCAGCTGTTGCAATTTTCCGTGACATCCGTCTCGGAGTTCCATGAGTAGCACCCCACTCCTAGCTCTAGTTCACACTCCCAGCAAAACTACACTGGAAAAGTATTTATTTCCAGAATACAGCTGAATTCCCCAGATACCCTGTGTGTGTGCAACCCGGAAATACTGTACTCACAAATATCGTGGTTATAACATAAAACATAGAGTGATACTTCGGAGCCACTGAGGAATCTGCACAAACTCGGAGCTGCAAAAGGCAGCATGGAGGCTGTGCAATCTGCAGACCCACGCAATGCCAGAAGTTGCTTACTTTTCTAGCAATGACAGCATATCTTCATATTTTTGTTGCATTCGCTTTCCTTCTGCAGATTCCATGCAACTACTCGTACAAAAGAGAAAAAGTGACACAGAATTAGAAGAAGTTAAAGTAATAATCCGAGGAACAAACTGCAGTCTCCAAAGAAGAGCGTGAATAGCTCCTTGGCTCGTTTCCAAACAGCCCTGAAAGAGCCTTTCTTCTTCGCGAACATCTTACTCTGGCCACTAGAGGGCATCTGCACTTCCTGAAACGCAGGCAGCTCCGCAAGTGTCAGAGCTCTCATAACCTTTCCTGCCCGCAGCTCCACCAGCACCCTCACCTAGCTGAGCCAGTCACACACAAGGTATGTGAGGTCCTTCAAAAATCTGAATAAAAGGGAAATTGAGATATGAAAAAATTCTAGGTGCTGTAATTTTCTGTATTTAAGACCATCAATGTTATATACAGTCATGCACCACATAATGGCATTTTGGTCAACATATATACACGTATGTGACTGCGGTCCCATAAGATTTTAATGACGCTGAAAAATTCCTATTGCCTGTTGACATGGTGCAACGCATTACTCCCATGGCTGTGGTGATGCTGGTGTAAACAAACCTACTGTGCTGCCAATCGTATAAAAGTGTACAGTAATGTCCTAGGCCTTCGCATTCACTCACCACCCACTCACTGACTCACCTACAGCAACTTCCAGTCCTGTGAGCTCCATTCATGGTAAGTGTCCTACACAAGCGTACCATTTTTTAAATCTTTTATGCCTTATTTTTTGCTGTACTTTTTCTATGTTCAGATATGTTTAGATACACAAACACTTAGTATAGTGCTACAATTGCCTGCAATACTCAGGACAGTCACTCGCTGCACAGGTTTGTAGCCTGGGAGCAATACACTGGACCATAGAGTGTATTGATCATAGAGTGTATTGATCATAGGCTAAGCTAGACCATAAAGCGTATTGATCATAGAACGTATTGATCATAGAGCATATTGATCATAGAGCGTGTTGATCATAGAGCGTATTGCTCCTAGGCTAAGCTAGACCATAGGGCATTTGTAGCCTAGGAACAATACTCTAGACCACAGACATAGGTTTGTGTAAATACACTCTATGATGTTCACATAATGATGAAATTGCCTAAGGATATATTTCTCAGAACATAACCCCATTGTGAAGTAATACATGATTGTCTATAACACTATATGCCAGGTAAATATCTATATAGGTACAGATATATTAACATGTTTTTTATATATTTAAATATATGTTTCCCCTTTTCTGAAATCCATCTAGAACACGCGATCCGAAACACTACCACTTCTTCACGTTTTTACATGAGGGTCCCTCCCAGCTCTTACCCCTGAAACATGTGCACATGTAATACACATACATGAAAGTGCACATGGACGTACATATAACATGTGTAAACACAAGTGTGCACACACAAATGGAGGCTTCTGCAGGAATGCTAAGGACCACGGAAGAGAGTGTGGCTCGAGGTACGGTTACCCTCAACTGGTTTTGACACTTCCCACAACACTAATGAAAGTCCAGTCCTGGAAGAAATTGGTGAAGTATCTTTAATTCTTCAAAATCTTCACACTAACTATGTGGTGGTTTGTTTCTATTTGACCTGCTGGCAAAATGAGGCAGCTTACTGCAGAGATTCCTTAAAATCCATCTGCTCTTTAAACCAACATAGGATTTCTTCATCAGATCCCTCGAGCTTTCCACAGAAGCCCTAGCGCCTGCAGAGAAAGCAATGAATTTGCTGGCGTTTTTTTTTCCCCCTGATTACTCAGTCCACGTTTGTGATGAAAGAGCAGATGCATCTGCCAGGCAGCAAGGAGAGGTAGAATATGCTCCAGCCCGAATGGGCGCTTTCCCTTGCCAAGCTGTGTGATTTCCACAAGCCCCACAGGCCCCAACCCCGGGTCTCAGTTTTGTATCTAGAAAAGAATGAGGCCAGAGCAGAGTGAGGCTTCTCACGTGGGCGTGTGGCCGAGTGGGTCTGGGAAGTCACAGGAATAAGCACAGTGAAATTCCTGCAGTTCCCATGTCACTTCATGGTGAGGAATCTAAAACATTTTCAATAACCAATCAATACCTATTATAGAATAGAATACACTTTTTTTTTGAGATGGAGTTTCGCTCTTGTTGCCCAGGCTGGAGTGCAATGGCGCAATCTCGGCTCACTGCAACCTCTGCCTCCCAGGTTCAAGTGATTCTCCTGCCTCAGCGTCCTGAGTAGCTGGGATTACAGGCGCCCCCCGCCCCCTGCCCCCACCACACCTGGCTAATTGTTTGTATTTTTAGTAGAGATGGGTTTCACCATGTTGGCCAGGATGGTTGCAAACTCCTGACCTCAGGGGATCCACCCGCCTCAGCCTCCCAAAGTGCTGGGATTACAGGTGTGAGCCACCATGCCCGGCCCATAATACACATTTGAATTCATTTTTAAAACAAGGGGGAGTTTTCACGGGAATTATAGAGGTCTCTGTTGTGTGCCTTCCAGATCGCCTCTTGGGACCAGGCCCTGGTACACCTCCAAACCTTCCTGCTTCAACCCCTGCCTCGCCCTGTCCCCTCCAGCCAGGAGTGTTGGCTGCTGCAGAAGTACCGCTGCCTCCCTCTTTGGGAGCAGCCTTGGCCAGAGAGAGCTGCCTCACCCAAAGGTCACGCCCCTCCCCAGGAAAGCCCACATCCTACCAGCTGATGTAGGGGTACGGAGGCAGAACAGCTCTGAAGGGCCCAAACTCCCTGGAGGACCAGCTGAGACCCCCATTGCAACTTTCTTGCAGCTCAGCAGCTCAACTTCTTTCTCTGCCCGATCTGTTTCCCCTCCCTTCCTCATGAGTGCTGTTCCTGAAAGGATCTCTATAAATTCCTGCACACACATCATAGGTCTGCTTCCTGGGAACCAGACCTGTGACAGCTGTGGCAGTCCACATTCTAGGGGCAGCCCTGGCACCCCTCCCCACCCCATTCACCTATCTTCTCCCTTCTGCCTTCTGCTGCGTGATTGAGATGCATGAGGGCTCAGATCTACTCCCCGCCAAACTTCCAGGGCTGGGGGGTCCCCGGGAAGCATTCTGGATTAGGAGCCTGGAGAATCAGGCATTTCTTCCAGTTCTTTCTTTGGCTGTCTCTAGGACCTTGGGCAAGTCACCTCCCTTCTCTCTTCATTTCCTCCATTTCTTCATCTGAAAATAAAGATCTCGCCCACACCCAAGCAGATGCTGCAAATGGGTCACCCGCTGGGCAGACCTGCCTCACAGGCATGCTTTGTTAGTTCTGCACAGAGTTTGAGAAAAAATGGAATCCTTGATCATTGGAAAATTGGATGTCCAACTCTAAAATCCAGTTTCCAGCTTATCTCCAACAGTCAGGAGATTGCTCACATTGGGTCTGCTTTTCTGCTTGGCAATGCTGGAGTGGGGTGCTGGTGGCCCCCTGCAGACCCCATCCTGGCCATCCATTTGTCTGGCCTCTGATGGTGTTGAGTCTTCCCACTTGGGCCAGACCAGAGGGTCTCTAAGGCTCTTCCTAACTCCAAAAAGCCTGTGAGTCCAATGGCCAGAGTTTGATTCTTTTCCTTCTGTTGTGTTTTCCAAAACCTGTGTGCTGTCAGCAAGATTAAGTCTTTTAGAAAGAGGTATCAGAGAAAGACTGCCTTTCCTCAGCCAGCGTCTTAAACACAACATCACAATTAGCAGCTGAGTTGCTTCTATCTCAGCTTCTAACCTCAGCTATGAAGCAAGCTGAGGGTTTCCAAACCTGGTCACCGTCAGAATCACAGGAGGAGCTTGCTGAAGGGGCAGATTCACAGCCCACACCAGATTCAGATTCAGCCAGTGACAGGTGAGGCCCTGGAATGTGCATCTTTAACAGGTTTTCCAGAGTTATCCTGATGGACAGAGACCTCATACTGCACTTGAGGAAACACTGGGCTTCATTACTTTCCAGTGGCCTCAGCAGCAAGGAGACATGATGTCAAAGGGAGACGTGTGGAAGAACTCCACAGAGCTTAAAATCCCTGGCTCACTGTCCTCCAGAAATGAATCCCCCAGAGCAAAATGAGTCAGCCAGTTACAGCACTTAACACCAAGGGCCCTGCCCTTCAGTCCAAATGCATCAATATCATGACTGTTTTGCCAATAGGTGTCTAATCCCTTGCTGGAAATGGAAAGAAAGGAAGATGATTTTCTGGCCTTCGTTAAGCAGGTTGCATTTCTACAACACTCAGATTCTAGAGCAGGAACAGCAGCCCAAGACAAGCCTGTCTTTCAGGAACACAATACTCACGGGTGTGTGATGCGTCCAAAGTTGCTGAAAGGACCCTGGATGCGCTGCCTCAGCTCCTGTGCCCAGCGGAGGCCGCCAGCCACGGTGGGCATGTTCTTGTGCACCGGGGAGAACCCTGGAGACATGGCACAGACAGACCGAAATGAGTCTAGAGCACCTCAGTCCTCTCCGCTCGGCAAACACCTCCCACCAAGTACTCCACTTTTGCCTCATTATCTCCAGACTAAAGTCACCTGGGAGCACACTGGAGTTCCTGGGGGGTTCTGTTAAAGAGGAAGAAAGAGTAACCCTGAGACGAACACTCCCAGCCTCAGGGGACCTGGGTCCCATGCCCAAGCTATTCTGATTTCATTGCTCTGGGAGGGGCCCAGCCATGAGTGTTTCAAGGAGTCTAACTCTTGTCGCCCAGGCTGGAGTGCAGTGGCGCAATCGTGGCTCACTACAACCTCTGCCTCCCAGGTTCAGGTGATTCTCCTGTCTCAGCCTCCTGAGTAGCTGGGATTTGCAGGCACCCACCACCACACGTGGCTAATTTTCGTATTTGTAGTAGAGATGGGGTTTCACCATATTGATCAGGCTGGTCTCAAACTCAGGTGATCCACCCGCCTCAATCCCCCAAAGTGCTGGGATTACAGGCGTGAGCTGCTGCACCTGGCCACAATTGAGTGTTTTTTTAAAACGCTCTCAAGATGACTCTAATTGAACAGTCAGGGTTGAAACACTCCCTTAAACAGACAACTCAATCACCCTGGGTCTCAATTTTCACATCTATAAAATGGGAATAATATCTTCCCTGCTTAATTAACTTCCAGAGTTTCTGTGAGAATTCCATAAGATGATGAATGAGGCAGGTCATGTGGATTATGGAGCCCTGGACTCGAGTCAGCACAGACTAGATATGCTTATGTTAGCCCAAGCAATGGGTTTGTCTGCTTATATTTGGTTGTCAAGATTTAACAAATGTGAGGTTTCGCTTTTTAAAGAATCTCACTTCCCAGCTTCTCTGGTAAAATGAGAAGATTAGCAAGAATCAGCTGGCATTTCTAACTAGCAACTAGAGAAGTGGCTACTTCCTTTATTTCACCGCGGGTACCACCCTTCCCTAGTGTCACCATGCTCAGTCCAGATCCATGATTTTCATTTCCTGCTTGTCCTCCATGATAGGCAAAACTCTAAGATGACCCCCAATGACCCTCACCCTTGCATAATCCTCTCCCCTTTAAGCATGGGTCAAAACTGTGGCTATGATGACAGCGTACTCCTGTGGTCATGATATGTCATACAGCAGGAGGAAGAGGACCCTGGGTGGGCCAGACCTAATCAGGTGAGGCCTTAAAAGCAGAATGTTTTCTCTGGCTGGTGGCAGGACAGGAAGGCAGAGATTTGATGCATAAGAGGATTTAACGTCCTGTTGCTGGCTTGAAGATGGAGGTGGCTACATGGTAATGAATGCAGATGGCTTCTAGTTGCAAAGAGTGGCCCTTGGCTGACAGCCAACAGGAAATGGGGACCTCACTCCTATAGTCATGAGGAACTGGATTCTACCAACAGCAAGGAGGATGGCAGTGGATTTTTCCTCTAGAGCCTCCAGATGCAAACTCAGGCTGACCAACACCTTGATTTCAGCTTTGGGATTCTCTCTGAGTAGAGAACCCAGATGCACCATGCTGGACTCCTGACCTACAGAAGTGTGAGCTGAGGGCCAGGCGTGGTGGCTCATGCCTGTAATCCCAGCACTTTGGGAGGCTGAGGCAGGCAGATCATAAGGTCGAGAGTTCGAGATCAGCCTGACCAACATGGTGAAACCCTGACTCTACTAAAAATACAAAAAAATTAGCCGGGCCTCGTGGCAGGCACCTGTAATCCCAGCTACTCTGGAAGCTGAGGCAGGAGAATCACTTGAACTGGGAATGCAGAGATTGCAATGAGCCGAGATCGTGCCACTGCACTCCAGTCTGGGCAATAGAGCCAGACGCCGTCTTAAAAAAAAAAAGTGTGAGCTGAAAGATGGATGGTGGTGTTTTAAGGTACTAAGGTCGTGGTCATTTGTTACCGATATAGCTTCTGGAGGCATTTGAGTTTTCAAACTCTGTATCTGACCGTAAGAAGTCATGGGGATAATCCCACATAAAGCTTGGCCAACGGATTTTCTTAGAATGACTTCCAAGTGGAGGCAACTCTTGATGACCTCACCGTGAAACCTACTTGCAAGCAGAGCAATCCTCTTACTCAGCTACTTAAAAGCCTTTGATAATTTCCCCTACCCTTGATCATGAATTCCAAATTCCCTAAGGCGGCACACTGAGCACTTCCCAAGCTGACCTCAAATGCCATGGCCGAATGAATGTCTTCTGCACACCTTGTTTGGCTACAGGCAGACCCAGCTGATCACATTCCATATCCTCTCATATCTGCTTTGAAGGCCTTTGTCTCCTCTGCTTTACTGTTGATCTCCCAACTTTTAGGGCTCAGCTCAAGACTACCTTTTCCATAAGCCTGCCCTCGAATCTCCCACTCACGATGCATCTTGTCTTGTTAAGCCTGCCCTCGAATCTCCCATCCACAATGCATCTTTGCTTGGGGAGGAAGGAAGAGTTACAGTCTCTTCTTCTTTATTTTCTTTTCATAATAAGAAGTTCATAATTTATTTCATCCAAATGGCATCATTTTTCAGATGTCAGAGGCCATTCAGTCCAATAACGACTTATTGAGCACCCACTATGTGCAAAGCGCTGTGCGACTGACTATAGGAATGTATTTTATTTCTTTCTTATTTATTTTATTTTTAGAGACAGGGTCTGGCTCTGTCACCCAGGCTGGGGTGCAGTGGCAGGGTCATAGCTCCTGCAGCCTCGAACTCCTGAACTCAAGCGATCCTCCCACCTCAGCCTCCTGAGATACTAGGACTAGGGGTTCGCACCATCGCTTCCAGCTTGTTACCATTCTTTACAACTCAAGCCGAGCAGCACTCAACATTCTATAAAGAACCAGCCTTTTGTATTCATTATTTATTTTATCCCTTACCTTGACTTGCCACAGTATACAGGACCCACAGGCATGCTTGGCATGTAGTAAGGACTCAATAAATGTACGTAAAACTGAAATGCATTTGTTTTGACACGCAGCATCATAATAAAAATGGAGACATCACGCCTTGGCATGGTACTGCCCTTTGGAGGGCTCCTGCTGGTTCCTCCCACCAGAAGCATGGTTGCTATGGCATTGGAAGGCATAAGAAACTTTTCTCAGGCGTGTAAACATTTATTTTCGAATGGAGGCGTGTTGAAGATTAGTCAGTGTAGCAACACTGATCAAGGGTCAACTCATCCATAATGCCAAGGTCTCAGCTGAACAGAAGCAGTGAAGACTGTACCACGCTGGGTCAGCCTGCCAATCTCAGCCCCAGAAACAGGGAAAGCCGTAGTTCAGAGAGCTCCCCAGTCACCCAAGGTGGTCTGGAATTTCAAGCAAGAAGGTTGTGCTTGCTCTTTTTTGAGAATGTATGGATCCATACATGGACATTTAACAAATACAAGAGGAATGAGTTGCTTCTTTCCAGTAACAGAATGTCCCCATCAAAATCCCCTTTAACAAGCCTACCAAGTTCTGCTTCCTCCTGGACGTGCTGACTGTAGATCATCCTCACTGCATCCAGATCTTTGTTGAACATTTGGATGAGGACCAGGTATTTATCAGATGTATCCCTCGCTACCAGCGGTCTTTCAAGGAGGTTTCCTGCTATGTCTAGCAGCTGTAGGGAAGGTGGAGGAAAAAGAGGAAAAAAATCACAGATTAAACCTTTCCATGGTTATACAAATCCAGTGTTCTGGTTTTCCTTTATATGCCTACCAATGTAAGAAGAGTGAACAGTGTTATTGTGGAGCTGGACCTGTAATTATTCATATGTGGATGATATTCATAGTCTTTCTCTTCTCCTTTGCTTCTAACAGAAAATTCCTGTCTGCCGAGTTACTCACCCCCAGCTCTACTTGGCATAAGAATCTGGATAAACCAATAAACAAAGGGATAACTAAAGATCCCAGCAAGGTTAAGCTGAACTACATAATTAAGACCTGGAACAGGCCAGGCGCGGTGGCTCATGCCTGTAATTTCAGCACTTTGGGAGGCCCAGGTGGGTGGATCACGAGGTCAGGAGTTCAAGACCAGCCTGGCCAAGTTGGTGAAACCCCGTCTCTACTAAAAATACAAAAATTAGCTGGGTGTGGTGGCGGGTGCCTGTAATCCCAGCTACTCAGGAGGCTGAGGCAGGGAATTGCCTGAATCTGGGAGGCGGAGTTTGCAGTGAGCCAAGATGCCAAGATCGTGCCATTGCACTCCAGCCTGGGCGACAGAGTGAGACTCTGTCAAAAAAAAACCAAACAAACAAATAAACAAACAAAAAAAACAAAACCTAGAACAGAAAGAAGGTAATGATGGAAAAGAAAAAGAAGCTAAGTTGGCTGGATGTTGGGGAGAATTTGAAGGGCAAAAATTTGAGAATGGGAACAAGGAAATAGTTTCTGAGAGCAGGTGCCGTGAGAATGGCAGTGATGCTGACCTTTCTCTGAAGATGTGTTCCTGTGCATTCAGACTGCCCTAACCCCTCAGTGTTTCATGGAGCAGCAAAATCAAGATGTGAAATGCTTTTAATTACTTTCTGGCTCCTAGACTGTGTTTCTTCCATTGTGATGCTTTTCTGAGATGAGGCCATGTAGGACTCCAGTTATATTTAGGATATACCAATACACTGCTTCTAAACGTGCCTTCCATGATAACCTCTCATCTCCACCTAGCACTTGAAGTCAGAGGGTGACGAAGTACAGCAGTGGGCAGCCAAATCTGCCCAAAACTGCTCAGTGCATGGTTTTTGCATTTCAAAAGAGAATTAAAAAAATTGAAAAGAGGGCCGGGCACTCTGGCTCATGCCTATAATCCCAGTACTTTGGAAGGACGAGGCAGGCACATCACTTGAGGCCAGGAGTTCAAGACCAGCCTGGCCAACATGGCAAAACCCGTCTCTACTAAAAAAAAAAAAAAAAAAAAAAAAAAAATTAGCGAGTCATGGTGGCGTGTGCCTGTAATCCCAGCTACTCGAGAAGCTGAGGCATGAGAATCACTTGAACCCAGAAGGCATAGGTTGCAGTGAGTTGAGATCGCACCACTGCACTCCAGCCTAGGCAACAGAGCAAGACTCTGTCTCAAAAATAAATAAATAAAAATAATAAATAATAAAATGAAAAAGAGTGTGTGACAGAAAACACATGTACCCATAGTCTAAAATATTTATTCTCTGACCTTTTGTAGAAAAAAATGTGGAACCCTTGCTTTAAGTCAACGAACATGAGAAACACGATATAAAATTACATCCACATGTCCTAAAACTGGAAGCTGAACAGTCTGCATTTGTCTAAGACCTTATGCTCTTTATCCTACCTCCTTATTTCAGGTTGGGCCATTTTTTTGCTTCACTGGCATCCCAATCCTGGAGGGAGTGCAAGCTCTAGGAGCTGATTGGCATCAGCTCACAATCTTAGATGGCTCCTAGAAGTCTGAGGCATCCAGGCCATGTTATGCAGAATGACCAGGTATGGAGAAAAGCCAAATATGGGGTCCTTGGCCAGATGTTTTCCAGGTCTGACAGTTTGACTGGATTTCCTTAATGATTCCAAGGCACTCTAAGGACTCTGTAAAGGTGCTAAAAAGCCTTCCATTGGGGAGGATCTAGGGTCACACTTTCTTTCACAAAACAATCACCCAGATCTCTGGAGACAGTAAAAAGTAGCTCTGCCTCAATGGAAGCATAAGAGAGCAGACTTTTCCGAGTTCTGTGGCTCCCATCTTCTGTTGAGGAAGTACAGGTGTGTGCACAGAGGGACCACCATGGCCAACCTGCACCGTCTGTTCACAGTCCTTGGCCTGGATGTACTCATGGATTCATGTCCACTGAGGGGCCACCTAGTAGTTGGATGATCTTACAGCAGCAACAGGGGATCTAGAGTCAGGTACTCTCTCTGGTCCCTACTCCCCAGCCTTGAAAATGTTCTTCTCTGCATGAGCTTATGTCAATTGGAGATTTTGCTTTTGCTTGGGGATGAAGGAAGGGTTTTAGTTTCTTGTTGGTGAGATCACCAAAAAGAGAGAAACAAAGTAGGCAGAAGGGATCGGAGGGTTATGGTTTTCCTACTAGTTCCCAAGGCCTGGGCTGGAAGCTCAGCTGAGAAGAAGAGTCAAGGTCAGAAGATAAATAATCTGCTTTTATGAGCCCTCTGAAACTCTGGGTACAAGCAGTGCTGCTTCAGTAGAGGGAAGGTCTCCCTCTACTTCTGTCCAGAACCCATAAAATTTCAAGGATTGGAATTCTGGAACCCAAAGAGGCATGCCCTTGGCACACACAGACATGTTTTCATGGTGGGGACCATCAGAAGAAAAGCAATGGCAAGACTCCTTCAAGCACTTTTCTTGGCAGATAAAATTTAAAGGGGGTCTGTAGACATGTAGCAGATGTCGTGATTTCAAAGACTTCAAAGTGGCTTGAGAATACTTGTGAGGCATCCCTTGAAGACTCCTGAACATCTCTGGTAGAGAGGGATCTATGTGATGTGTAGGTCTGGGCATCCTTAGTGCACGAATGGAGTTTCAGCCCCACAAGTTGCCTGAGCAGCAGAGTTTCAATCATCCCTGACAGTTAATAGCATACATGATCATTTTGTAGACACATGCAAGCCCTTTCTTTGGAATTGGTTCAAATGCTTGGAGAGGGGAATCTCAAAAGGCTTCCAATGTGAATTACGGTATTGATTAAAGGCTACATGTATATGTATGGTCAATGGCTAATGGAGCCTGCCGCATTTGGGTTACCAAATACTCTAGAATAGCACAGATCCATCCATCCAGGGTTTAAGCCTCTTCTACAATTGTCCCACCCATCACAGATCCTGTGTCTGAACATTTTCAGTGCCCAGAAACTGAACTACTTGCTAAAGAAGTCCATTCCATCTTAAACAGCTTTGACAGAAATCTCTTTCCTCTACTGAACCACAATGTGACTTCTTGTAACTTCTACCAACTACTGGAACCCTTAAAGCTTTACAGAATAAGCCTCTTGATTGCTTGGTGGAACACATATCATGCTCCACTGAGTCTTCATGTCTCACGATGCAGCGTTCTCAGCTGTGCAGCCATTTACCTATGCATCATCTACGCCTTGTCCTAAACCTTCTCCTCCATACACTTTGTATTACCTGATCTGAGCGTGATATGATAAGAGCACAAATCTTCTTATTCCAGTTATCGATGCCTGAAACCTATCAATCATTACCTGGGAGGTGGTTTGCTCCAGATTGAATCAACCTAGCAGCCATGGTTAAATAGCCATGGTATTGCATGGTCACACTTTCCCTACTGCTAAAGGTATGGCACCTAAAGAGATCACCGCAGAAATTCTTCTTAAAAGTATTTTTACATTGTCACATTTTCAGGAAAGCATAAGTAATTAGCCTGAGAATCCCAATTCTGCACACTTTCTTGATATAAGAAGGATTCCCATATCCTTCTCTACTAGATTAATAAGAATAATTAATAGTTGCAGGAACAGAACAGGTGGAAAGGTATCCATATCATCCTCTGATGAGGGCCGGGGGAGTATCCAGGACCGAGTGGCTCCTGCCCCATTTACACAAACCTTAAAGGCATGCTCCAAGCCAGGTGCATCATCAAAAGCTTGAATAAAGATAGTCCCCAATCTTCGGTCAAGATCTTCTACTTTCTGGTTAAATTCAGAGACGTCATTTTCAAAGTCCTGAAGAGACACCATATATATATAAGGAAAACGTAATTTTCTGTAAGCCAACCCCACTATGCTCCTCACAGCTAACTTTTGTGTTTGAACTGGTTATACCAAAGAATTATTTTAATTTTCTGAAATTCACCATGGCATGACTTAATTTTTAGCCATGTAGAGTTACCCTGTGGTTGCAGCATTTTTACCTAGAGGGTTCCAGCAAGATGGTGAAATGAATTAGATGTGAGTTTGGTGTTCTTCCACCCTTTCCATGCTCCTCCGTTCTGCTTCCTGAAGCCCCTTCTCTCTCACTCATAACACCAGCTCACATAACCCTGAAAACCACCGCAGCATCAACAGCCCCAGCAATGGGGCTATTTCAACTTTACCACCCACTTTCGTTCCTTCCCCAAGTCAGAATTCTGTTTTTCCATTGTCAGCAAACTAATCTAGCCATTAGGAGGAAAGAAAGCTAATTAAACTAATACAAACAATTTCTTCTAAATCCTTCTTAATTGGTTAAGACAGCAACTAGCCTTGTTCTTAAGATTGCCAAATTTAGCAAATAAAACTACGAGGCACTCAGTTAAATTGGAATTTCAGGTAAACAAGAATTTTTTTTTTTAGTATGTCCAAATTAGTGTAGTTTATCTGGCAACCCTAATGTATTTCTCTTAGCACGTAGCAATTTTCAGAGAAACATTGGTCACGCCAATCTCTAATTTGTGGAATTATTTGTTATTATTGCTTTGTAACAGTAACGCATGTGTGTGTGAAAAAAAAAGGGTATGAAAAAATAGTCTAGTTCTACTTCCCAAACATGATGACATTTTGGCATGTTTCTTCTTAGTTTTTAGTTTTTTCTCTGGGCAAAATCCCTGGGATTATGCTTTGTTTTACTGTATTGTAGGGTAGCAAATACATTGTATATAGCCTGCTTTGTGGTCTGCTTTTTTTTTTTTTTGAGACAGAGTCTCACTCTGTCACCCAGGCTGGAGTGCAGTGGCACAATCTTGGCTCACTGCAACCTCTGCCTCCCGGGTTCAAGCCTCCTGCCTCAGCCTCCCAAGTAATTGAGATTACAGGTGTGCACCACCACGCCCAGCTATTTTTTTGTATTTTTAATTGAGACGGGGTTTCACTGTGTTGGCCAGGATAGTCTACGGTCCACCTTTTTTGGGTCTACTTTTGACTAATAGAATTCTTAGAAGGTAGAATCTTCCTGGGTCTGGCCAACTAAGATTCCCCTGGATGTCTGAAGGTGCTCAGAGCAGATTCCTGCCCTAATTTCTTTCTCCTTTTCCCGCACACACTCTTAAAATTCCTTCTCCAGTAATTCTGCCATTCCTTTTTCTGGGATTTCCATTCTCTGTTTTCATACTGGCCCTTTTTCTTCTTTTTTTCTCCCATGCATGTGGACTTACAGGTTGAGGCTTTCCTGGGGCTACAGGTGAGATGCGGGCTCTTTGTTCCTGTCCTGGAAAATGCTTCTCTGGTCCTTTCCTTATCCTATGTGTTCTGTTAGGAACCAGGTTCAGATCAGAAAACCCAGGCTGTGGCTTCACTTATACCTCCCCAAGTCACTAATAAAATTCTGTCCAGGTGTGCCTGTTCTTCCCTTAGCAGTTTTTGCCCGAAGCTTAAAACATTTTTCCCCCTCAGTTTTATTAAGTTATAATTGACAAATAAAAATTGTATACATATAAGATATACAACTTGATATTTTGATACATGTATACACTGTGAAATGATCACCACAATCAAGCTAATTAACATATTCATCACCTCACACAGTTACCATTTGCTTTTTGTGTGCGTGGTGAGAACACTTAGGATCTACCCTTTTGGCGAATTTCAAGTACGCAATACAGTTTTTCTTTTTTTAAAATTATTTTACTGTAAGTTCTGGGATACATGTGCAGAACGTGCAGGTTTGTTACATAGGTATACATGTGCCACGGTGGTTTGCTACAACTACCAATCCGTCATCTAGGTTTTAAGCCCCGCATGCATCAGGTATTTGTCCTAATGCTCTCCCTCCCCTTGTCCCCCAACCCCTGACAGGTCCCAGTGTGTGTTATTTCCCTCCCTGTGTCCATGTGTTCTCGTTGTTCAACTCCCACTTATGAGTGAGACAGCAAAGCAATACAGTTTTTTGTTTGTTTGTTTGTTTGAGACAGAGTCTCCCTCTATCGCCAGGCTAGAGCACAGTGGCGCGATCTCGGCTCACTGCAACCTCCGTCTCACGGGTTCAAGCGATTCTCCTGCCTCAGCCTCCTGAGTAGCTGGGACTACAGGCGCCCGCCATCACGCCTGGCTACTTTGTGTATTTTTAGCAGAGACGGGGTTTCACCATGTTGGCCAGGATGGTCTCAATCTCTTGACCTCATGATCTGCCCGCCTTGTCCTCCCAAAGTGCTGGGATTACAGGCGTGAGCCACCGCACCTGGCCTGCAATACAGTATTGTTAACCGTCTTCACCATGTTGTACGTTAGAGCTCCAGAAATTATTTATCATGCATAACTGAAACTTTATACTCTTTGACCACCACCTCCCCATTTCCCTCTCCCCCACCCCTGGCAGCCACCATTCCACTCTGCTTCTATGACTTTGACTATTTCAGATGCCTCATATAGTTGAGACCATGCAACATTTGTCTTTCTGGGTCTAGCTTCTTTCACTGAGCTTAAAACGTTTGAAGCCACAGGGTGGCCACCGCCTCCACTGTCATGTCATACCCACCTCAGCATCTCTGAAACCCTGGTGTCATTAGTCTGGAGCAGTTAACAGTTGGAAGAGGCCTCCTTGATCTTTCTCCCAACACAAAGAATAATTAGAATCTTTCTCTTGGCACAAGGAATAATAATTTCTCCTAACACAAAGGATAATTAGCAAAACCACTGGGACCACAGAGCCAAAGGAAATACACAGGGAAAATGCAAGTAAATACCTAGACCCTACAGATGAGAGGCATCCGGGACAGAGGCAGAGCTGGCGATTCAGCCCTTCCCAACCCTACCGTGCTTTGGAGGTACAGGCAGTCGGAGGAGGATCCTGAGAGAAGCCTGTACATCTCTTGAAATTCTTCATGCATTTGCTGGACCTGCTGACTCAGAGCATTCCCTCTGACGCCGCTGAACTCCACCTTTCCCAGTTTGTGGAAATCCAGGGCCGTCTTCAGAAGACCCTATGGGGACAATTCACAAAAAAGTTAAAATCATTCTCAGCAAACTATCGCAAGGACAAAAAACCAAACACCGCATGTTCTCACTCATAGGTGGGAATTGAACAGTGAGAACACATGGACACAGGAAGGGGAACATCACACTCTGGGGACTGTTGTGGGGTGGGGGGATGGGGGAGGGATAGCATTAGGAGATATACCTAATGCTAAATGACAAGTTAATGGGTGCAGGACACCAACATGGCACATGTATACATATGTAACAAACCTGCACGTTGTGCACATGTACCCTAAAACTTAAAGTATAAAAAAAAAAGAAGTAAAAAAAAAAAAGAGTTAAAATCATCATCATGATCATAACAACAGTGAATGAGAAAAGTTGGAAACCATGGGGGCGGTGGTTGCTTAGGAAATTGTGAAGCCTGATTAGTTTCATAACCTTATTATTAGATCGGGCTGGTAAAAATAACTCTTGGTTAAACTCAATAACAAAGCAAAGAGAAAGTATGGTCAAATAAAATTCACTTAAACCAAAATAAATATATACATACATAAATAAGTGAAATGTATGCTTCCACCTCTCTATGTCTTTGTGGTCTTTAACAAATAATAAAATGTAACAATAATAAAACTATTTATATAATTGGTAGCTTTATCGCTGATTTCTCTAAAATAGCTCATTTCAAATGGATCATGTTATCCAGTTCTAGAATGACAGCAATCCTAAGGGATGTTGACGGAAAAACAGAGCTGCAAAATCGTCCTGAAGACATGCCCAGAGGGTGACACCGGCCTTCTTTGCAACTTGTCTGCCAAGCAAACACATCTCCTGCAGGGCGCCCTCGCTGGGCGTGCATAGGATGTTACACCCTGCCGCCAGCCAGGTGGCGGTGAGTAGTTATTTACCAGCTCTGTGCTGCACTTCTTCATCTGCTGCAGAATAATAATAACACCTTGTAGCATGATGCTGAGTGCTAAGTCAGTTAACTCAAGCCTGGGATTTAGGCCAGGCCTGCACACACAGTATCATCGCTGTTATTAATGTGGCAGTGTCCCAGGTGTGCTTGAGATCCAATGACAGGTGGACGGCGCAACCCAGAAGCCTTGGGGAGGATCCCCTCCTGAGTCCACGGAAGCTGCCTCACCTCCGATAGGATTGGAGCTTCCTCCTGAGCACGTCTAGCAGGACAGATTGAATTTATCTCTTGTGAGTATCTAAAAATCACAAAACCTCCAAACCAAGATATGTTTCTTGTCATGACTTCCAATTTGTGTGCACATTCCTTAGGCAGGAAAGATGACAGTAAAAGTTCCCTTTGTGTCATTTTGGCCAACATTTGGTGTGGACTGTGGGAGGGATCCTCTGCTCTGGAGGTTTAAGGGGTGCACCATGACACCGATGCTGTAAAATCCAGCAGGTCCTGGTACCACTGCAGGAAATCTCACTGCCCATGGCTGCTGCTATGGGTGACCCATCAGGCTGGCACAGGCTGCCTGGCTCCTTTTTCCTGCTGGGACACACCAACTCCAGCAGCAGTGACAGAGGCGCTGGGAAGTGGGGACAATGGCTGACTTTCCCTGCTTGGCAAGGAGGGTACCCACGCAGATTTGGGCAGCCATCTAACAAGCCTGTTTTTGCTCAGCTATGTATGTTTGGGCATGGCTAGTGGGAAGCAGCTGAAGTGGGAGGGGAGAGAAGAGGGAAGACACCAGCCAAGGCAGGGAAGACAGATGCCAAAACCAGGGAGGGACTTTTGCCACTAATGGTGGGAAAAGTGGCAGTCTTTCTTCAAAAATAGATTCAACTTGATATACTGGGAAGAAAACCGAAATGAATTTTATGGAAATGAAATTGACTTCAGTAGTAATTCAAGTCTCTCGTAAAGTGCTTAGTTGTAATCTGTTTTATAGGGACAGTCATACTTGTGCTGTGAAATGCAACCTTGGTACTCATTCGTCATAATTCTGTGGATGTCAATTTCAATTTCTAGGAAATACTTCGTACCATTTTAAAAGGTAGATGCGTTGTGATATGTTTGATTACATCAGAAACCCAGATGATAATTTTGTTAGACTATTTTATTTCTCAAGAATACTTAAAGCATGGTCTAGGGAGGTGACAGGAAGGTGTTTGATCTTCAATTTATCCTAGATATTAGCGAAATATTTATTTAACTATTCTACTTTTGGAGAAAGTCTGGTCACTTAAAAAGATAGATACTTACATTGTTTTATGTAACAACACACACATGGTGGACAACAGATTTATCTGGGGCTCAACTCAAGGTCTTAGGCCTTTCCTCACCCTTCTGTGGAAAGAGATCCACCCATCCAGCTTTCCCCCAGACTCTGTATTCCCTTCTTCTGCTTATTCAGAGCGCTTATCACACTCTGGAATTATATTATTTGGCATTATATTATACTATTTGCTTATTTTCTGTCCAGTAAGTTGTAAATGCCCCAAAGGTATCTCGGTATTTCCAGTGCCTGGAAGAGTCCCTGACCCTGAACACATTTGTTGAGTGAAAGAATGTATGCTGTTTGTTCTTTGACTTGCCTATAATACTTCCAGAAAAAAAAGCAGCAAGGTGATAGAGGAGCTAGGAACCCTGACATCTGAAGAGCAGTTGGTGAAAAAAAATAGACAAGAGAAGAGAATTATAAGGAAGGACATTTCAATGTCCATAGGACCCTGGTCAAGTGCAAGGGGGAACCTTCCCTGGTGCTACAGTGAAGGCAGAATGAAGGCAAATGAGTGAATGGGACAAAGAAGTAGATGTGACCTCACCATACAGGTTGAACTTATTACATTGCTGATACGGGATCATTTCGACCTAAAAAATGGCCATTTCCTGTGGTTTCACTTAATAAAAAACCATCTAATGCTGTAGAATGGGCTACAAAGAGAGGGAGGGAGCTCTCCATCGCTGAAGGGGTTTTAATAAGTTTGATGTTGGAGGCATAGCAGAAAAGATTTCTGAAGCAGCTAGGAAATTGTCTTACAACTATAGACACCAGACTTATGGCATTGACCATGGCTATATCTTTGATTAGCCTTAAATCTTTGATTTAAGAATCAAAATAATTCGATTCTTAAATTATGTAAATGTAAGTTCTTTTCATTGTTTATTTAAAAGTTCTCACAAAACAGATAAAAGGCAATTTAAATCAATAAGAAGTTTAAATGATATTTTTTAAATATCTATTTTTATTCATCACAGTACTAAACACGAAATTCATCATGTTATACACCGGCTGAAATATCCACTTCAGAGACACAACATATGGCATTGTGGAAAGAGCCTAGGATCTAGGGCCAGAACAAACAAACAAAAAACCCTGAGTTTACGCAACTCTGGTTCCATCATTTACTAGCTATGTGGCTTAAAGCAAGACACCTAACTTTTCTAAGCCTCACTTTCCTAACCTGTAGATGGGAACAATAACACTTAAGTTGCTGTGAAGTTACCAAGTTTATGGAAGGTTCCCTGTAGGACTTCACTAAAAGGCAGCCACTATAATTAACCATGATCACTCTGATGTCATTAGATCGGGTTAATGGATATTATATGTGTAATGGGGTACAGAGGGGACATTTGGGTGCTTCTTTCAAGACAGAACAAGGAACACTGGGGTACCAGGCCGCTTACTGGACTGATCAGGTTCTATTCTTATGAAAAAACCGTGCAGCACTTAATGGTGGTGGCAGGTGGCAGGGATGTGGGGAGGATTCAATATGTGCTCTGGCCCCTGAGATGAAGAATCAAAACCAGGGGTAATAGCAAGACTTGCAAACAGCAACCCCCTTCTCAAAGGAGAGGCCACGCTGCCCATCTTAAAAGAAGAACCTTGGGAATTCATTAAGGGAGAGCACAAAGCAGATGTTCATAGATGAAAATCTCAAAAGGTCATTTGGAAAAAGACTGTTTTCTTTACCTTTTGATCGCCACTGACCTTATGTGGCCAATGGTCTCCTATGTGACCACATATTCAAGCCGGGCTAAAAGGGAAGATACCCAATTCGGCTCAGAATGAAAGGAGGCTGCAGAGTGGCTGGAGATGGTAGAAAGAGCAAAAGGAAACGCGGTGTGGATATTAGGTCAGCTTATTACCTATGTACCTGCTAATCACTTCGCATAAAGTCTCAGCAGGAAATCATTTTGTCTCCAAATGAATCACAGCTTTATAGCAGTTTTATAATAAAGGAAATGAGAGTTCTCGCCAAGGTGCTTACTGCATTGTTTGGAGGGAAGAGGCTGCAGGCAGAAACTCAAACAGGGGATCTGCAGAATCTACAACTCTATGACGCAAAAATGAACTCGGTGTGTGTGTGTGTGTGTGTGCACTGATGCATCAAGCAGGAAGGCAGGATGAAAGAAGGAATCAAGAGGCAACCCAACAACTCTTTTTCTCTTTGAACTTTGATGGCTCATTCAAATTGCAAAGATTTTATATACTTCTGGGATTTTCTTAGTAAGTCATAAAGTCAAATAAGATCCTTTCATGAAATGGGAATTATAATTGTACCTGAGTAACTTACTTTGATATAAAGACCTAGAAATTGTATGGCAAAAATTGAGTGTACAAAAGTAGAACAGAGTGTATAAGGGCAGAATAAAACCACAAAACCAGTTTGGGATCCTCAAACCAGGAAAGTGGGAGGAAAGAAAGAAGGAAGGAAGGGAGAAAAGGACGGAAGGAGGGAAACAGACCTTCACAACTCCCTATAGGATATCAAAGTTTGGTGCAAAGACAGTACTTGGAACCAGCTGTCCCCCTGGGTACAAATCTCAGCTACACCTCTCCAACCTGTGTAACTATGGGTGAGCTCATTTATGTATCAGATTTAGTTATGCTCATTTGTTAAAGAAAAGATACTGATACCCAGTTCTTTTCTTTTCTTTTTTTTTTGAGATGGAGTCTTGCTCTGTCACCCACGCTGGAGTGCTGTGGCACGATCTCGGCTCACTACATCCTCTGCCTCCCAGGTTCCAGCGATTCTCCTGCCTCAGCCTCCTGGGTGGCTGGGATTACACGGGTATGCCGCCATGCCCGGCTAATTTTTGTATTTTTAGTAGAGACAGGGTTTCACCATGTTGGCCAGGCTTGTCTCAAACTCCTGACCTCAGGTGATCCCACCACCTCGGCCTCCCAAAGTGTTGGGATTACAGGCGTAAGCCACTGCACCCGGCCCCAGTTCTTAAGATGATTGCAAGGATACAGGCTCTGGCATGGGATAGGTTCTTGAAACATGTTAATTTTTTAGTTTTCTATTCCTTGTTCTTCCCTCCACAAGGGTTAAATCTCTAAGAGATTACCTGTATCATGGTTATGATAAGAAGGCAGAGGAGAATGGTGGTATCCTGAAAATGCAATTACTCCACTTACTGCAGACACCGAAAAATACTGGGCAATGTATACCCCTTCTTCCAAGCCAGCCCCACCTCTGGCATTTAGCAGGCACCCAGAGAGGAAGAGTGGATGTGCACAACAAAATTCTCTTGTGCAAAAAGAGTGAAAGAATAAAAAAGCAACTCACATCAGAGAAATGAAATCTGGGAGAATTGTGGGGATTAAAAACCAGCCCTTCACACTCTAACCCGTGACGAGAGCATGCAGAGAGATAAACACATTGGTGTTTCATGTATTTATTAATTGCAGCTACCATCATCTCAGTGGCCATAGATTGTATTAGAATAGAAGATGAATAAGGCTAAGTTCATGATAATTCTTACTGGAGAGGAGCAGATTAATCCCATTTCAATCAGGCATCGATCACAGAGATACACAGAATATTAACTAAAGGCCTACATGAAATATGCCAGAGGACAGCTGATAGTCCTGTGTTCCACTGCACAGACTCAGGAGGCAAGAGCTGGGGGAGGAGGAAGATGGCAAAGGGCAAGGGCGATGCATCTAAGCAGACATTTGGGAGATTAAAAATAAAAGAGGGGAGGAAATATGAGGAAAAGGGGCAAGGAGTAGCCGTGGGAAGATGAAAACACATGGAAATTCAGGGCAAACAAAGAGGTCAGGGAAGTTAGAAAATAGAGAAGGAGAACAAAGTGAAAGGGGGACCAAGTGAAAAGGGAGGAAGAATTAGACAAAGGGAAAGAGAGGGAAACACAGTCAAGAAAAGAAATGCTGGCCGGGCACGGTGGCTCACACCTGTAATCCCAGCACTTTGGGAGGCCAAGCTGGGTGGATCTCCTGAGGTTGGGAGTTCAAGACCAGCCTGACCAACACAGAAAGACCCTGTCTCTACTAAAAATACAAAAATTAACCAGGCATGGTGGCACATGCCTGTAATCCCAGCTACTTGGGAGGCTGAGGCAGGAGAATCGCTTGAACCCAGGAGGCAGAGGTTGTCGTGAGCCGAGATTGTGCCACTGCACTCCAGCCTGGGCAACAAGAGCAAAACTCCATCTCGAGAAAAAAAAAAAAAAAAAAAGAAAAAGAAAAGAAAAGAAAAGGAGCAGCTGGGCACAGGAGCAAAGCAGCTAACCAGAGCCAAGGACAGAACGACACGTAAGAGAATGAGAGGCAGCAAGGCAGGGAGCTTGGTGACACTCATGTCATCCTCTAATTAAATGGGGGCAACTGCTTTTTATGCACCTGTGCCCTTGATTCAGAAAGCAGCAGCAGCCTGAGAAAGGACTTATTGTGAGAGTAATGACGCTAGGGAGGCTGGTGGCCATCACTGCTTATATTTACTGAACATATCCTGCAGATTAGGCGCCCTGATGTTAGAATAGCTGTCTATATGCAAAGTCAAATCATTAGCATGTGTGCACAGGGCCTGGGGTCATGCTCTGCTACCATTCCCAGGGCCATCTGCAGGGCTGGAGCATCTGCAAACATGGCCGCTGCCAGGCAGTGATGGAAATTCGTTCTTCGTGGTCAGCCCAGGCCAGGCATGGGCTGGGGCTGGAGTGTCCCTCACCTCTCACTAAACAGCAGCAAAGGAATTGGTGGTGGATATGAGAGGAATACAGAGTGCAGGAGGAGTGAAGGGCTGTACATCAACCATGATGGAAACGGCTGAGGGAAAAAGAGGCATTTAGGATAAAGCTAGATAATCAATTATTTATAGTCTCTGTGATCCTGATGAAGGGTTTAAGGTGCGCCTTTCATAAGATCTAGCTTCTGGCTTTCTCTCTCACGCATTTTCTCTCTTTATGCCCTTCCCATCTTTGTCTTCCCTGGCAAATTCCCACTCCAGTTTCACAACTGATTTTCTCTTGTGTTCCCACTTTTTGTCAAAGTCCTACTGGGCTAGAGACCCCTCTTTCTTGCTCCCAGTAACACATCAATCTCACTTTTTTTTTTTTTTTTGAGACGGAGTCTCGCTCTGTCCCCAGGCTGGAGTGCAGTGGCGCGATCTCAGCTCACTGCAAGCTCTGCCTCCCGGGTTCAAGTGATTCTCCTGCCTCAGCCTCCTGAGTAGCTGAGACTACAGGTGCACGTCACCACACCAGGCTAATTTTTTTTTTTGTATTTTTAGTAGAGACGGGGTTTCACCATGTTGGTCAGGTTCGTCTCAAACTCCTGACCTTGTGATCCACCTGCCTCGGCCTCCTAAAGTGCTGGGATTACAGGCGTGAGCCACCGCACCCAGCCCAATCTCACTTTTCTGATAGCAGTCAGTATATCCCACTTTCCTGATTCTGTGTCTTTCCTCCCGGATCTCGTCCTTTAGTCTGTCTTCCTTCTCCTGCAGTGGCTGCAGGTCCACCAGCCTCTTACAGGGAAATCGCATTTCAGTCGTCTTTGTATCTCAGTTCCTAGCTCCGTGCCTGGCACATGGTGATGCTGAACCAATACTTTCTGAACTGATAACAGATCCAATCTTACGTTCTCCTGTCCTTGTCCTCCCATGGTTTGCTCTGTTCATCATGGCTTCCTCCCAGCATAGCTCTCTTTCCTCCAAACCTGCTCATGACAGCTGGGAATATGATTCTTGTTCCTTCCCTGTCCCTCTGGCTCTTGTCTTTTTTTTTTTTTTTTTTTTTGAGATGGAGTCTCGCCCTGTCTCCCAGGCTGGAGTGCAATGGCGCGATCTTGGCTCACTGCAACCTCTACCTCCCGAGTTCAAACGATTCTCCTGCCTCAGCCTCCCGAGTAGCTGGGACTACAGGCGCCCGCCACCACACCCGGCTAATTTTTGTCTTTTTAGTAGAGGCGGGATTTCACCATGTTGGCCAGGCTGATCATGAACTCCTGAACTTGTGATTCGCCTGCCTCAGCCTCCCAAAGGGCTGGGATTACAGGGGAGAGCCACCGTGCCCGGCCTCTTGTCTTAATCTTAAACTCAACCCTGAATTTCTCAAATCCGTTTAAGTCTGTATTTCATTTTATTAGGCCCATTACCCTCCCTTCCAAGTCCAATCAGCAAACACATAGCTGTAAAATGTTGAGAGACCTGTTAAACATATTAAGTTTTGAGAATTGAAACAATCCAAAGAAATAGTATCATGTCTTCTCACCGTAGTACTTCACCTAAAATCCATATTTATTTTTAAATAATTGAGGGAAAGACATAACTTTGAGCAAAAGTCATGTTTCTTTTGCACAGGGACTCATTCGTTTTGGACTTTGGGGAGCTGCCTTGGAGATTGGGGAGTGGAGGAGGAGAAGTTCAAAGCAGCCAGCTTTGCGGGAATGGTTATAGCCCAGCCAAGGTTTGCTCAGTGTCAGTCTTTCTAGGCAGAGTTTATTTGAAACCCAGTTCAAAGGCTATGGGCAATCTGCAAACCAATTGAACTAGTTCATTGATTCCTTGGGCCTTCTTCCTAAATGGGTCTATGATCAGGATTTCCTAAACTTCTACTATAACCACTATTATGTGATGTGATGGTCAATCCAAATGACAACTATTTATTAAAACTTCTTTTTTTTTTTTTTTTTTGAGACAGAGTCTCGTTCTGTCACCCATGCTGGAGTGCAATGGTGTGATCGTGGCTCACTGAAACCTCTGCCTTCCGAGTTCAAGAAATTCTCTGCCTCGGCCTCCCGAGTAGCTGGGATTACAGGCGTGTGCCACCACACCTGGCTAATTTTTGTATTTTTAGTAGAGACAGGATTTCGCCATGTTGACCAGACTGGTCTCGAACTCCTGACCTCATGATCCACCTGCCTTGGCCTCCCCAAATGCTGGGATTACAGGCATGAGCCACCGCATGCCTGGCCCTTGTTTGTTTTTTTGAGACAAGGTCTGGCTCCTGTTGCCTAGGCTAGAGTGCAGTGGCACAATTTCGACTCACTGCAACCTCTGCCTCCTATGCTCAAGCCATCCTCCCACCTCAGCCTCCCGAGTAGCTGGGACTACAGGTGCACACCACACCTGGCTATTTTGTTGTTGTTGTATTTTTTGTAGAGAAGGCGTTTTGCCATGTTGGCCCGGCTGGTTTTAAACTCCTGGGCTCAAGCAATCCACCCACCTTTGCCTCCCAAAGTGCTAGTGGGATTACAGGCATGAGCCACTGTGACTGGCCAATTGAACCTTTATTATGGATTATTCCAGCTGATGGAGGGTTGGCTATGAGGTTGTGTTGTGCATTTTCCTATTCCACTTTTTGGACCCCTGGACTGCTTCTTTCTGTCTGGGGCTGGCAGCCTGAGGTGAGGTGCGCACTCACCTCCACCACGTGCAGTTGTCCCAGGAAGCCATCCAATCGCACAAAGACCAAAGAAGACTGGAAATCCCATTCCTTGACTTCCTGGTTCTCTTTGAAGTAAGTGTGGAGATTCTCCCTTCTGTCCTGAAACTCTTGCTTGAAGAAGCTCAAAGTGTCTGAGACCACTTGCAGTTTTCTCTGACTTTCTTCTACCTCACTTCTCAGCAGGTCTTCTGGGCTGAGATAATTAGAGGCCTGGTATACAAACAGATTAGTATCACTGAGCAGGTGCAGACATCCTGTAACTTTGCAACACCAACTCTGAACTGAATCATTGCCCCAGTAATATTTTTCACGAGGATAATAGAGGAAACATCTGACCTCGCTTTCCATTCCACATGTGGACTGCGACCTGGGTTTCGGCCAAATAGTCTTAGTCACTGAAGCTACAGTGATTGGCTCAGGAATGGGCAAGTAGCCAGGGACAAGGAAACACAATGAGACTTTGTTGGCTAGCTGGGGCTGGAGCAGGTGCCCTTTCCCAGGTATTCTTTTGTGACTTATTGGCTTTCAGTAGTAAAGTAATTTGAATGCAAGAATTATTTGGACCATAATTATTTTTCTGTCTCGAAGAGGCTTACACCTGGAAAACTGAAAAGCTGGAGCTGTAGCGACAGCCACCTTCACCACAACAGGGTGGGTCCCTGGGTCTGGCTGACATCATCTAAGGCCACATTGCAAGTCGGGGCTGAAGCCAGCCTTACCTTGGACTTTCAAGGTACATGAGCCAATATGTTTTCTTTTTTTGCTCCTACTTTTGGTTTCGGTTTTCTTACACTTTCAACCAAAAGAGTTCTGGCTGATAAACATGGAGTAATGGAAAGGCACTAGCCTAGGAGGAGTCAAACAGCCTGGGTTGGGGTCCTGGTTTGGGTGTCTTTGGGCAAGTCAGTTAACCTCCTTGAACAGTAGCCCACATCTTTAAATAATATAATAAATAATAAGACCTTCCCTGCCCACCTTGCAGGGTTTATTTGATGATTGATAGAAATCATGAATGTAACAGTATTTTGCAGCCTGCAAAATGTTAGTTATTCTTAGTTACTTATTAAGCTTGTTCGTTATTTTCTCAGAGAACAGCTCCTTAGAAGAAAAGGAAACTGGTTTGGAGAGATCACCCAAACCTCCTTAAGCCCTCTAGTTCTTTTTTTTTTTTTTGAGATGGAGTCTCGCTCTGTCGCCAAGCTGGAGTGCAGTGGCACAATCTTCGCTCACTGCAACTTCTGCCTCCCGGGTTCAAGCGATTCTCCTGCCTCAGCCTCCCAAGTAGCTGGGACTACAGGCGTGCACCACCACGCCCAGCTAATTTTTGTATTTTTAGTAGAGATGGGGTTTCACCATGTTGGCCAGGATGGTCTCGATCTCTTGACCTCGTGATCTGCCCGCCTCAGCCTCCCAAAATGCTGGGATTACAGGCGTGAGCCACCGCGCCCGGCCCTCTAGTTCTTTCTTAAGATACACTCCTCAAGGTTTATGCTGCCCTGGTTGGTGCTACAAGGGTCCCTAAGAAGGAGGAGCATGAAGTGCATAATCTAAGAAGCTGCTTCTCAATAGCTTATGGGTACCAGGTTCTTACCATGTGCAGGGCACATGCATTATCACATGGAAGCCTCAAATCACCCAGCAACCCAAAAAGAGATATGGCTTCTTGTTTTCACCATTGTACAGAGGAGGAGAGTGAGGCACAGAACAGGAAGTGATTTGTCCTGGCACAGAAGTGGTATGCTGGCTGCCAAGTGGCAAAGCCAGGGATTGGTACAGCATCGCCTGACTCTACCTGACATCAGAGGCTGCACTCTTTACTGCTTAGGCTTTGCTGCTGACTCATTACCAGTCCTTCTTCATAGGTCATTAAGGAGGTTGAAATTCACCACCCCTACTTATCCCCTCTTAGGCAGAGGGGAAAGGAAGACAGGATGGCTCAGGTGTTCTAATATTACTGAAAATGTCTTTGTAAATTATTGGCTTCTGAGAGTAAAATACTGTAATTCAAGTGTAAGAACTCTTTGGAACATAATTATTTCCTCGCCCAGAAAAAAGGACACTTGTCTCTTCTCTCCTGTGACTAGATGCCAACCAGCCCCCAGGGAGCAGTTGCTGGGCATCCCAGGGCAGCCCACCTGCTGGATGAGAAGGTTGCAAATCTCCTGGAGCAGCACAGTCAGCCTTCCCGGGGAGCGGTAGGACTTGCATGTGGCCCAAATCAGACAGACCACGTGGAGCAGGGGCCGCAGCTGGGGCTTCACCTCCGGAAATTCTGCATTCTCCAGAGCTTCCAGGTGGCGCTGGAGCGGTATCAGGTGCACATGGATGTCCTGTGCCTCTGCTAGAGCTGGAAGGAATTGGAGATGGTCAGCATTCCCATCTGGAGCCTAATACCCACCTGGTGGAGCCCTAGTCCCTGGGAAGTAAAAGACCTGCAAAACAACAAGCAGAGAGAAGGCTGGTTCCAGAAAACTTCCTAGCTCTTATGAGGAAATATGGAAACTGGAGAGCCCTGAACAACTAGGATAATGATCTGAAGAGTTCTGTCTTGTAACATTCCTCTAAATGGACTTTTCCCTGGCCCTCCCAGCCTCCATCTGGTGCTTGGTGGGTAGTAAATATTTGCCAATTACTTTGCTGCTATCTCTGAGACAATACAAGTTTTAGAATCAGAAAGACTTTCCTTCAAATGCTGGCCGAGACGCTTGGCAATTGTATGACTTTGGGCACGTGTAACCTCTCTGAGCCTCAAAAATAGGCAGAGCTGTAATCAGTTTAAAGGGTCCTTGTGAAGGCTGAAGGTAGTTCAATAGGAATCTTTATAAACAACTAGCACAGTGCTTGGACCAATGCAGGTGTTTGATAAATGGTGGTGGCTCTGATGAATATTCACTAATAAAGAATCTTGCTGAGCACTTATAAAGAAGTCACAGATGTGTGATGTTCCCCACCCTGTGTCCAAGTGTACCCATTGTTCAATTCCCACCTATGAGTGAGCACATGTATACATATGAAACAAAGCTGTACGTTGTGCACATGTACCCTAGAACTTAAAGTATAATTTTTTTAAAAAAGTCACAGAGCATAGAGACATAACATAGATGGGTTATGGCAAGGTTCTGCTGGTTTTCAAAGCCAGGAAAATCTCTTACCATCTCCTCTGAATACAACCAAGGAAAGAAAGGGGCCTTTAACCAGTCGTCTTGTGGTGACTGACACGGGAAACTAGGAAATCCAGCAGCACTGGATGCTAATATCTGCGTAGCAACTTAGAGGGAATGCAAAAGGGCATTGGACAAACTAAATTGGAAGGGCGAGTTTACAAAGGCTGGTTCTGTCCTGGGCAGATAATCAGGTGGTATCATATGAGAGCAGGTGGTCTTAGGTTACAGTATGCGGATGAAGCTCTGCATTCATCCTAAAGGGAACTCAAAATATACACTATTTAGGAAGCAGTTTCAATATGCCGGGAATTGTTCTACTTACTATCTATGAGATATTTACCATCTCACAGAAAGCCCTGCAAACCAGCTTTAGTACTTCATACTTTAGTATTTTATAAGTGAAGAAATTAAGGTCTGAATAACTTTCCTAGGGCCCTCCCATGAAACAACCAATCCTGTCCAGCTAAGGAAAAGGAAGACGACCCAGAGTTTATTACATTGAACCCTTGGCTTCACGGAGGCTCACCATACACAAAAATATGTTGATATGTATGTTTGTACTTTATATCCCAAATAAGGTTGTGGAAAGCAGTATGTGAATCGAATTTTTTGCAAAGTCAGATGTCACAGTAAATTGATTAGGGCAGGGATTCTCAAGTGGAGGGGCTGATGGTGAGTATTAGAACCTCTGTGTTGGGGTGGGGGATTTCAGAATCCAACAGTCATTCTAATGAGCGCATGCTCTTGCTTCCGTAAGTGCTGAGAGAAAAGAGGCTGAGACTATCATGCTATAGGAGCTTTCTCTTTATGATACCCTGTTTTGAAATCTTTTTAAAAATCACAATCTCTTTTAATTATACTAATTAGCATTGCCTTGATTTTTAAGAGCACAATACTTGAGAAAAGGGTTGGCCATCCAACCCAGGATGCAATACCCTTGGATGACAAGGCATATGAAGAGAGAGAGAGAGAGAGCTGGGCTCATACCTTTTTTTTTTCTTTTGGGGTGGGGATGGAGTCTCACTCTGTCACCCAGGCTGGAGTGCAGTGGTGCAGTCTTGGCTCACTGCAACCTCTGCCTCCTTGGTTTAGTCTATTCTCCTGCCTCAGCCTCCCTAGTAGCTGGGATTACAGACATGCACCACCATGTCTGGCTAATTTTTGTATTTTGAGTAGAGTTGGGGTTTCACCATGTTGGCCAGGCTGGTCTCAAACTCCTGACCTCAAGTGATCTGCCCGCCTCAGCCTCCCAAAGTGCTGGGATTGCAGGTGTGAGCCACTGTGCCCAGCCGAGCTCATACCTTTTTAAAGAATGTAAATACAAACAGCAAAGTGCATAGTGATCTCCAGTGGTTTGCAGGAAAGTCTTTAACAACAGGCTCTTTGAGGACAAACACGTTTATTTGTAGCATCTGCCAATTTCTATGGTATAAATATTCCCAGTATTCCTACCATGTCCATTTCTAGGCTACCAATTTGACTTCGCTGAGTGCTGCTTGGGAGAATGGGGGTGCAAGGTTTAAAACAATGCATATAGCAGCCCTTCACGAGCCACAGCAAACCAGTGTGCACTGGCTCCAGACAGCCCTTCTTTGTGTGCCTTCTTTCACACACGTATCTACCTACACACATCCTTAATTGCTGCTATGTGAATGTGTCCCCTCCAAAATTCAGGTGTTGAAATTTAATGGCCAATGTGATGGTGTTAAGAGTTGGTGCCTTTAAGAGGCCACTAGGCCATGAGAGCTTCTCCCTCATGAATGGGATTAAGGCCCTCATCAAAGAGGCTTCACATAGAGTTTGGCTGGCTTGCCTTCCACCGTCTATCAGGTAAGGACACAGAGTTCCTCTCCTCTGGAGGATGCAGCAACAAGGCGCCATCTTGGAAGCAGAGGCCAGGCCCTCACCGGACACCCAACCTGCCAGTGCCTTGATCTCGAACTTCTCAGCCTCAAGAACTATGAGAAATAAATTTCTGCTCTTTATAAATTACCCAGGCTGTGGTATTCTGTTAAAGCAGCACAAATGGACTCAGAAACTTGGCAACCAGGTTGTACCATGCCTATCCTGTGCAAATAAAGAAAACTCTCTAATTAGTCTTTATTGCCCTTGTTCTTCCTTCTCAAGGGGACTGTTGCTTTCCTGTTTTCCAAGATTATTTACTGCTCAGTCAATACTACTTCATACAATCGGGTTCCTGCATATTTTCCTCCATCCTTTTAACCTCCTTTTTTCTTCTCACTGTTTTCTAATTCATATCCACCAATCCAGAAATATTTCTTTTCCTCTCCTTCTTTCCAATTCATCAGTAGGTCAATAAACGACCCTGACCATGCCTAATAAGAATAATGCACATAGTGTATCTATTTAGGATAAAAAAAAAGATGCTCTGAAATTCAGCTAGAAATGAGAAAATCAGTCACCAGCTTAGAAGATCCTGCCAAATTTTCTGACCAAGTCTCTACCTAACTCTTCTAATCAAATTTTCTTCCATCATTGACACTGAGTTTCATATTTAAAGAATTTCTCTTTTTATGGTAGTGTTTATCTGGCACTATTGTAATGGTATCTTTTTTAAAAAAAATTCATTGCCGGCATATACTCTACTGCAAATAACTTTTTGAAGCTCACCTGGGGAAGTGAATCTTATAACTATTAATTCATATGAATAATTATAGTCTATTGATCTACTAATGTGAAAAGTATATTTGGGGCACTAAATAACAAACTCATAATATATTTTTACTACATCTTTTTCAGAGCCCCAAATTTCAGGCATTCACATATGTCCTTTGTATGTGTTCTACATATGTATAATCTGTAGCACTCTATTGCTTACTTCATATTTTTCTCTACATTGACTCCCAATTTAACCCAACTAAATTAGACAACATGAAAACTGTAAATCACTACCATAAATGGAAAGCTGGTATCACTTGCAAAAACCAGGGCTATTACCCTCAAACAATTTTATTTTATTTTTTAAATTTTAGACGGAGTCTCGGTCTGTCACTAGGCTGGAGTGCGGTGACGCGATCTCGACTCACTGCAACCTCTGCCTCCCAGGTTCAAGTGATTCTTCTGCCTCAGCCTCCCAATTAGCTGGGACTACGCCCGGCTAATTTTTTGTATTTTTAGTAGAGATGAGGTTTCAACGTGTTAGCCAGGATTGTCTCAATCTCCTGACCTCGTGATCTGTCCGCCTCGGCCTCCCAAAGTGCTGGGATCACAGGTGTGAGCCACTGTGCCAAGCCCCTTTAACATATTTTTTTTAAAAAACTTTCCCCTAGTCATTTCTGACATCAGTAGGGATACACATACCACTTCTGGGGACACCTGTCTCCTGGAAGTGTAAACTGGGAACAAAAGCTGATTCCTCGGGAACACAGAATCTCTCAGCAAAGCAGTAAGCTGGAGCCTCAAGAGACACTTGGTCCCAAGCCAGCCAAACGTGCTGGGAGAGCTGCCTCTGCAATGAGGATTCAGGGTCAGGGAGGACCTCAGAGACTAACAACTTATGCCAGTTCTGCTCTCTGATGTAGTTCATGTTGGAAACTAACACCTGGACTTTTCTTCCTTTAGCTAAGATGTTTGCAAACTCCATGCCATGAGAGGGGAAGGTGGGACAGGGAAGTAGCCAATGGGCTCTGGGCACAGGACACTGCCCTTTTTACTAAACCAAACATGCCTGGATTCGTTTTATGTAGTGGGCTTACATGGGAGATTGTATTTAAAGAAAGAGTTCTGGGCAAAGTAAAATGTTTGAAAATCACTGCTTTAATTAAGCTTAGACCATGTGAAATGACAAAGACCTTTAAAAGCACATTTTGACCTATGGTACTGAAGAGCAAAGAGGAGATTTTACAAGAAAAAGGGAGAAGACGCACAGTGCTCCAAGAAATGGAGAGGGAGTCCTAAAAAAATTTACCTACTTCTAATCATAGACTTTGCTGGCTTGGCAATTTTGATAAGCGTAGATCTTGTCTGGTGCTCAAATGGCCAGGAAATTGCAGTCCCATCTGACAGTAGGAATAGAAAATGCAGAATGGAGCTAGAAATGGAATAGAGATTTCTCAAGGAGCCAAAGGTGGAGGGACCTGAATTCCAGAGGTGAGAGGTAACAACATGGATTTGTACAGTGCAAAGCAGCAGCTGTAGGCAGATCGGATGGAAGAACTTTCTTCTAGTAGTTTCCAGACCCTGAAGACAGGCCCAGAAAGACCTTTGACCAGACCCAGGAGTTCCCAGCGTGCCAGGGAGGTACAAGCACTTAGTTAATGAGGGGTCCCAGCCAATAATCCCAGGTCCTGGAAGGCATGGTTAGGCTGTCTTGCCAGAAGGGTAGTCCTTGATTAGGACAGATGGACTCACATGACCACCCTGGAGTTGGTCACACAGGCTCCATAATGGCCACCCCAGAACTGTATGTCCTGGCCCCAGTGTTTGAAAGACACAAAGGGACAGCTCCAGGAACATTGTTGTGTTAAGTCAATAAGTTCTTCCACCTGTATAATCTCACACGGACCTAGAAAAGTAGGCAGAAGTGTATGCCCCATAACCAACACACGTACTAAAGCTCAGAGGGGCTAGGTGAATTTTCCCAGGCCATACAGCAGTGGAACTGCAAACAGCATAGCTCTGTTTAGCTGCTCTCATGTATCTAGATGTGGTATTCTTGCCACCATGCTAGTTTGTGTCGGGTCGGAAATTTACAAGGACTTGAAGTTGCGGAATTCAGACAGAGAGAGGTGAATGCATCATTCGACGGTAACTTGAGTCAAACACATTTGTGAAAACACTTGCTGGTCCTCACCTGCAACAACATCTCTGTACATGGCTTTGAAAGCTGGAAAGTAGCTACTCTGAAGCTTGTCCAGGAGCTTGGCCATGCCCCTCACCGTTATTGTTCTCAGTTGATTATAGATGTATTTCAGATCTTCATACCTGCAATATCATGAAGAAGGGTGAATCCAGGGAAGCATCAGGAAATGCAAGTCACACTGTGATGACCCATCGTCACACAGAAAGAGAGGAGCCCTGCCTCGGGGTGCTTCCACAGAGGCTGTGCTCCAGCCCAAAGAGCCTGGACATCTGTTCCCAGCCCAGTGAGGGCAAAAGCCTGAGCTGGGAACACAGGTTCAAAGGGGCAGCTCCAGGAAACACTGCTGTGACCATCTGGTGGCTCAAAAAGCTTGGCAGCTGGAGGTCATTAGCTCTGGCAGTAAGGTTGAGTCAGGGTGAGAGAGGCGTTATTGGAGCAAGGGTGCTAAGAGAAGGGCCTTGCAGTAGGTCAGCAGAATGGTCAGAAGCCAGGCAAGAGCATGGGGCATCTCAGCAGGGTGGTACAGACAAAAGGCTGGAGCCCTACAGGCATGTCTGGTCATGTGACACCGATAATCTCCATTCCATGCCAGGACAGGCACGTCTGCCGCTAACATCTGTCTGCCTCCTTTTGAGTAAAGGATTTATCAGCACGATAATAAATTGGAGTGAGGAAATGGGGAGGAGGAGGGCAAATAAGCAGGAGCAGGAGCAGGAGCAGGAGCAATAATGAAGCCTTTCTGGACAAACACCCTGGAAGATGAACTTTCCAGCCCTGCGAGTGATGAGCCGGAACACAGGAAAGGCTGTTCTGCAGCCAACTCCCCAAAACTCCTCTGTATTCAGAACTTTACAAAAGGTGTGTGCATGTGGCCTCAGCTGCTCAAGGAGAAGGGAGCAGATAAGTTAGAATAAAAATGTTAAAGAGTTGATTAATTTTACATATAGTCCAAAGAGCCTTTGAAAAAATGTAAGAGGACATACTGATGTGAACCCAGGAAAGGAAAAATGATTATTGAATCTTGGGGAAAGTGTGCATCTCCCAGTCTATCAAAAAACTCTCTTGACCCAATGACACAGAGCTGTCTACCCCACTGATGATGTGAAATACCTATAGGGAAGAATAGGCTCAATGGTGGCTTAACCCAGGAAAGCTCTAGCTTTAGTCTCTGTAAGACATCTTCACCCCAGACTTCCAGCATGTGCCTTCTTGCCTACCTGCTCTTCCAGAACTCCAACTCCACCTTAGGGGTGGGATTCTCCCCTTGTAAGAGTGGCTGGGAAGACTCTCTCTTGAGTACCACCTGGACTTGGTAGCTCCATTTGATCACTGCAGACTCAATGGCATAGATGACTGACTTATCTATAGAATCCAAGCTGTGAAAGACAAAACAACAACAATGATAACAACAAAAACAAAAACCCTGAGGCGTGAAAATAACCCTGGGTGTACCCCAAGACAGAATCCCAAATTTAAAAAAATAGGTGAGAAATTTCATCTAGCCCATGCATTCTTAACTTTTTTGGATAACAGTCTCTGTTGACTAGTCAACGAAAATTATAGATCCTCTCTCCAGAAAAAAAAAATGCTTATGTGTGTGTATGTACATTTTTCATACAGATTCAGGGCTCATCAATATCCTGAAGACTAGTTTAAGAACTTTGAATGCCAGTACGTTGTCCTGCCAATGCAGGAATACCGTGGACAGAAAATATTCAGATGACCACCCAATGCTTGCTTGAATCCTACCAGTGACAGCAAGCTCTCGACTTCACAAAGCAGCACCTTTCTCAATAGGTTGGCTCTCCCAAGGAAAAAGTTTGTCTCTATACTGAACCATTTCTAACTCCCTGTGATTTCCTCATCTTGGTCTTAGCTCTGACCTGTGCAGCAAGAGGAAATAGTTTATTTCCTCCTTCACAAGGCTAATAATCAGCCACCTGAAGATCACCATCACGATTTCACTTGGTCCTCATTGTTCCAGTGAAGAATAGAATTCCCAAACTTTTCCCCTCATACAACTTTTAAAGAAAGTAACTTAGCTATATTTGGAAGCAGTTAAAATTTTTTTAATACATTTTGGTCATTATTTTCACAGTCTTAACTGAAAATGATAGGTGCAAAGAATCAAGGACACAACGACAAAGAAAGAGGACATACAATTCACATTTTTATGTCAGAAACCCACTTCCACTTCATTAAATTAAATTTATATTTGCTGAGAAATGATACGGCACAAGTGATTGTGGAAGATATTAAAGGAAGAAGACACCCATTCCCCCAAAATGATCCAGTCTTTTGGGAAATTATCAAACTTGAACAAACAGAGATAAATTCAGCAATGATTAGAAACACACACTGAATGTTACAAAGTTAAAATATAAAGGGACTAGAAAAGGGGTAGTTTGAATTTATTTATTTTGAAGATTGGATATCTTTATTAAACCGCAATAAGTTTTCCAATTAACTGGGAAATTACTTCAAATTGTATATGTAGGAAATTACTTCTGATAGAAAAAACTCATTATAAAGTACATTGTTGTATTTTATAATGCATTGCACGCATATAATCTGTTGCATGCGTTACTTATTCTTCGGATCAAATCATGGATCCTGAATACACAATGTTGACAGTAATACATTGGGAAACTCCTGACAGTGTGGCAGACCGAGCTCATGTAGGAAGGCTGTCCGTTGCCACAAGCACATAGAGATGCTGGATGAAATATAGCAAAATATACTATTAATATTTATATGCATAGCCTGGCTTGAAAGGGGAAAAGAATTCCCAAGGGATAGAAACAAAGAAAACTCGAAAGTCAGCATGGTAAACAGAAGCTGACGGTGGATTCAACTTCTAAAAGGAGACAAGCCTGGGGTTTTAAGGCCTACTCAGGGGCAGGAGGCATGAACTCCCAACAAAGCCAGGTCCCAACAAAGCCAGATTTGCTACTATTTGAAAAGAGAAAAAAATCCCCAGGACCTGTAAAAAGTCTTCAGCTGCTGGGGGAGGAGAGTCTGGAACTGTAACAAGAGCCGGCAGCGATAGTTCTGTGACATTATGTACTGAGTAAACACTGGGAAGAGGCATGCCTGCCTCCCAGACTGGACCTGGGTCTTTGCCAATGATGAGACACTATCCTGATAAGCAAAATACGGAAAGCTAGTGTGGTTGCGCTCAGCCCTGAAATGATTCTGAAAGGAAAAAAAGGCCATATTGCTGTAATAGCCTTGGAAGACTTCATGCAGTGGCTGGGCCAGGGAGTAACCAGGGTAAACACACAGTCCACAGTCTGAGGGTGTCGGCAAACAGAGCAGACAGTAGGCTTGTGTGCAGAACGAGGAGATGTGCAGAGTCAGGAACAGAAAAGTTGTAAGGAAAACATTCTGATAACCAGCATCTCCCATATCTCAGAGGCCCATATGGCCAGGCTGGCGGTACTTACACTGTCTCACTTTTGGAATCCGCAAACTCCATTTTTTCTGAGCCTGCTGGAAGAGGCAGCAAAGTTTTTCCCTTCACTTGCTCAAGTATAACTGAGAGGTCACATTGGAGGCTGTGGGCGTGCCGCCTGACATCCTCACATATCATGTGGGGCCAGTTTAGGCGATTCTTCTCATTGGCCAGGACGGGTAGAACAACCTGGAACAGAGGTGCACAGGAAAGAAAGGCAGGTGTTCCAATTCTGAGAACTTAAAGAAATCCTCATCTGGAAAAGGCTTATAAAGCTATATACAACCTTTTGCAGGTCACTGTGCTGGAAGGCCTAATAATAGGGTCGAACATTACATACGACCTTGACATCTGGTAAATTGGGGAAGCCCTTGAATAGCCTGCTTACAAGTTTTCCTTCCCATTCTGCTCCTGGGGATAAAGCCCTCTAGCCAAAAAATTCTTTATCGGCTAAGTGCGGTGGTTCATGCCTGTAATCCTAGCACTTTGGGAGGCTGAGGCAGGTGGATCACCTGAGGTCGGGAGTTCGAGACCAGCCTGGCCAACATGGCAAAAACCCATCTCTACTAAAAATACAAAAATTAGCCGGGTGTGGTGGCGGGTTCCTGTGATCACAGCTACTCGGGAGGTTGAGGCAGGAGAATCGCTTCAACCCAGGAGGCGGAGGTTGCAGTGAGTCGAGATCACACCACTGCACTCCAGCCTGGGCGACAGAGTAAGACTCCATCTCAGAAAAAATGTAAAAAGAAAAAACAAAAAACTCTTTATCAAGAGGACGAGGCACAGTTCCCGCTTATCCCTGAGAAGCAGACTTCAGTTCCCTGCCAGCTGGTGGAATGATTTAAACTAGCCAATTGCGTCCCCCAGTGAGATCCAGGGACCACTACACCTTCTTGATACTATTAATACAAAGTGTGCTTTCCACAGCCCCTTGTCATTTAGTCTGTTCCCAAGAGCAATCCCCATGTGGCCTGCATGGCTCAGTGTCCTCTTCTGGGCTGTGAGTATGTTGACTGAAAAACTGCTGTCAATGGTGTCTGTCCTATGTTGGGTGTTGTATGTTTACCCATCTCCATCACTCTCAGGCAGGAATCCCTCCCTCATCAACGGGGTGAATAGGAGGTGATTAAATAGTCACAAAGGCCAGAGGCAAAAAAGGAGGACACAAGCAGATAAACATGACCTTCTGTCTACAGGTGGTGGGAAGGGCACCTTGAAAAGGCAAGCAAAGTTGAGGATCTTGAATCCATCTTTAGGGTGAACGTTAGGTTATTCTGGCCACCCAACATAGTTCCTCTTTTTTCAGTATTCATCCCCAAATCCATAGGTGAACATGGAACCAAATCTGAGCCAGTGAGAGTCAGGCCAAAGTGTCTTATGTGACTTTTCAAGGAAGAGACACCTTCTCTTTTCTGCTAGTGTGGAGCTTTTCTTGGTCACCTTCACAACCAATAGCGCCTTAGAATAAAGTTAATATGAGAGGAGAGTGCTTACAGATGGAGAAAGACCAAGTCTTGGTAACTTTGTTTGAGCTCCTAAATCAAGCTGCTCTTGAACTTTCCAAGCTAGTTTAAATTAGGTTTCTATTAATCGCAACTTAGAAACTTGTCAGTATACCGAGGTGGGCAGATCACGAGATCAGGACATCAAGACCATCCTGGCCAACATGGTGAAACCCTGTCTCTACTAAAATACAAAAAATTAGCCGAGTGTGGTGGCACGTGCCTGTAGTCCCAGCTACTTCAGGAGGCTGAGGCAGGGGAATCGCTTGAACCCGGGAGGCGGAGGTTGCAGTGAGCCGAGATTGCACCACTGCATTCCAGCCTGGAGACAGAGCAAGACTCTGTCTCAAAAAAAAAAAAAAGAAAAGAAAAGAAAAGAAAAGAAAGAAAGTTGTCAGTAAACTCACCCGGAATCTTTGACTGTCAAAATCTCACAAGTGATGGAAGGAGAATACCAGAAAGACAAACAGATGCTCATATAATGTGATGAGGAAGCTACCAATATATAAATAATCAAAAGGAAATATGAACTCATATGACTGGCTGGGTTATGATCAATAAGCCCCAGTGGCCGTGAAATAGAATACCTGGACCCAGCATGTTAGATTCTAGAGGATGGTCTTTGCCTGGTCTGTCTGGAAACATTCACTGAGCTGGGAACTTACAACAATCAGTAAAGGGAGCTCAAAAAGGAAGGAAAGTTTACAAATTAAGCTTTATCACATTCATGTTAAGAAAGAACCATTTGAACCCAGGGCAGAAGTCCTAACCGGGAAAGAGGATGAACTGGAATTTTCCTAGGATCTCAAAGGCAGGGACTCTATCTTATTTAATTTTTATATAGTCAGAGTTCTCTCCAGGATCTGGCATATAGAAAGCACTCAAGATGTTTATCAAATAACTGAATGTACACTGTCTGAAGAAAAAGGAATAGTTTTGAGTGGGGGTTTTAAGGGCTTTGAGTGACAGAAAAATAACGAATGTGAACTCTCTATGAAGTGAAAAGCAACTCATAGCCAGGTGCGGTGGCTCACGCCTGTATCCCAGCACTGAGAGGCTGAGGAGGGCAGATTGTTTGAGCCCAGGAGTCGGAGACCTGCCTGGGCAACATAGCAAGACCTCATCTGTACAAAAAAAAAAATAGAAAAATTGCCCGGTTGTAGTGGCGCATGTCTGTAGTCCCAGTTACTAAGGAGGCTGAGGTGAGAGGATCGCTTGAGCCCAGGGAGGTCGAGTCTGCAGTGAGCTGAAATCGTGCCACTGTACTCCAGCCTGGGCAACAGAGTGAGACCCTGTCTCGAAACAACAACAACAACAACAACAACAACAACAACAACAGACCAAAAAGCTACTCATTCATTTATTCAATGAGTATTTACTGAGCATCTATTATGTGCTGGTACTTTTCTAGGTGCTAGGAGGATACACCCGTGAACAAAACAGTCAAAAATTTCTGACCTCATGAAGCTTATATTCTAAGGGAGAGACAGTCAAGAAACAGTAAGTTCTGTGAATAAAGATAAAGCATGTGAAGGGAATCAGGAGTGTGGGGTGGAGGGGCTGCAATTGTAAATGTTGAGGTTGGCCTGACTGAGAAGATAAGATTTGAACAAAGGCTGGGAAGGATAGGGGGAGTGCTTTGCAGATCCTTGGGAGAAGTATATTGCAGGGAGAAGGAACAGCCAGTGCAAAGGCCCCGAGGTGGAAGCATGCTTGGTCTGATCAAGGAGCAGTGTGGAAGCAAGGAAAGCGGGGACAGAGTGATCCCAAAGAATAGGTGAGAGTAAAGGGAGTCAATTCACATGCAGCCTTGCCTGTGAGATTTTGATTTTTACTCTCAGAGAAATGGACATCATTGAAAGTTTTGAGCAAAGGAGTGCCATAGGCTGAGATCGTTTTGAGTAGGATCAACCAAGCTGCCGTGATTATAGGCTCTAAGGGGCAAAGGTGGAAAGGGAGGCCACCTACCAAGTTGGTGCTATAATACAGAAGACGGTGGTGTGGCACAGTGGGTAGTGGGGGAGATGGTAAGAAATGGCCTGATTCCATACAAATTTTGAAGGTATAGCCAATAGGATGTGTTAACAAATTGCTTTAGGAGTCGCAAGAGAAAAAAAAAGGGTCAGGATGACTCTAAGATCTGTGGCTTGAACAACGGGAAGAATGGAGTTGCTGTCAACTGATGTGGGGAGGAGTAAAGGTGGAGTAAGATCTTCAGAGAAGATACAGGAGCTTTTGTTTGCACATGTTAAAATGTAGTATCTCGATTGGACTTTAAGATAGAGATGTTGAGTAGGCAGCTGGATATGCTAGTTGAGAGTTCAGAGGAGAAGAGAGGGCTGGAGATAACAAATTTGGGAGGTGTCAGATACAAATGGCTTGTGGAACTTTGAAATTGAATGACAGCCCCCAAGAAAATGGGTGTATATAGAGAGAAGAGAAGACGTCCAGGGAATGAGCCGTAGGACCATCTGGTGTTAAGAAGTTGGGAAGAGGACGGGCGCGGCGGCTCACACCTGTAATCCCAACACTTTGTGAAGCCAAGGTGGGCAGATCACGAGGTCAGGAGTTTGAGACCAGCCTGGCCAACAGAGTAGAAACCCCATCTCTACTAAAAACACAAAAATTAGTTGGGCATGGTGGCGGGCACCTGTAATCTTAGCTACTCGGGAGGCTGAGGCAGGAGAATTGCTTGAACCCAGGAGGCGGAGGTTGCAGCAAGCGGAGATCATGCCACTGCACTCCAGCCTGGGTGACAGTGCGAGACTTCATCTCAAAAAAAAAAAAAGAAGTGGGGAATAAGAGGAGGCACCATCACTGGTGATAGCCATGGTGATAGGAGGAAACCAGAAGACTGGTTCCTGGAGCCCAAAGAAGAAAGCGTTTCCAGGAAGAGAGGATGATCATGAGCTATGACAAACGCTGCTCTCAGGTCAAGCCGAACGAGGACTGATTCAGGGCCGTTCAATTTAGTCAAGTGGAGATCATCAGAAACATTGACACGTTATTTTATTCCTCTTCTGTGAAGTGAGAAAGTCAAAGCCTGATGAGTGATGATGAGATAAAACAGGAAAATAATGAGACACCAAGAGGAGACACACATTCCAGGAATTCTGCTATGAAGGGGGTCATAAACATAGGGTGACAGCTGGTGGGATGAAAGGAGGATTTTGCTTGATGAGAATTATCTAGCAGAGAGGAGAAAAATATGAATGCAGGGGAGAAGAGGAAATTGCTAGAGTGATCTCCTCAGGAATGTGTGGGATTCAGAGCACAGGCAGCAGTTTCAGCCTTAGGGTTGGCATCAGAGGGCAGCACAAACAGTTTACCTCTAGCAACGGATGGGATGGCAGAAGATACAAGGAGAGATGCTGCAGTCAAAGTGGACATAAGAGTTCGTGGACTTGTTATTCTCGTTTCCGTTTCTTAAAAAACCAAGAAAGAAGCAAGAGCGTCTCAGAGTGAGGTTAACAGGAGGTTTTGGACATTTGAAAGAAGAAAGATTTTTCTTTTCAAATTGTTTCTCACGTTGGGAAATAGTGATCTAAAAGAGCAAGAAAATATAGTTGGAATAGAAAAAAAATAGAATGTCTGCTGGGAAACATAAAAGGCTTACTTAGCAGTTCGAGAGGTCGTGTATTTAAAGAGGAGCCCATTGGTTTTTCCCTGGTCTCTTTTAATTTAATGGGTGCAGGTATGAAGTATGTAGAGCTGGGTTTTACCAGGATTGTGGTTGCACCAACTGAGTATGACATAGTGAGGTAGAGGCCAGTACATCAGGAGCTGATGCAAGGGTATGATGATCATGAAGGAGCATGGCACTCAAATTGGGTAAGAGAAGAGACCGTGTGCATGGTCCAGGGCCAATGGGAAGGAGCCAAGGTCAAGAGATTGGAGCTCCCAGCAGGATCAAAGGACTGTTGTAGTCAGGGTATGAGAGAGAGTGAGCTGGAAAGATGGGAGTAGTGGTCAGAGAAGGAGGTGCATAAAATTGGACAATGAGGTTGGTGGTTGTTGGGAATGCAAGGTCTGGAAATGGCCATGGGAGGGGCTGCTTATGATCGGGAGGAGGACAAGATCACTGGAGGACAAAGATACAGAGAACCCAGAGGCCAAGTTATTGGAAGGGTCATTCACATGTCTTTGGAAATAACCACATATTAGAAGTAATGTTGGGGAGAGCCACAGTGAGTTGGGAGGCAAAATCATACACACGCAAGGGTAGCACCATCTGTACAGGATGCAGCAGTGAGAGTGGATGATGTCCTTTGATGACAGGAGATTCAAACTGGAGGCTTTTTGATGTGGATCTAGAGCAGCAAGGAGGAACAAGGAGGCCACCTGCCCCAGCTCCAGGCTTAGGAGAAGGCTGTAGGGGAAACGCAGCTGAGTCCTCCAGGAGGAGCCAGGATGGGTTACAGCAAGGTGACAAGGATCCATCAGATGGGTGAGGAGGATTTTAAATAGGATGAAGAGTGACAAGAATTCTCATCCTTTATGGAACACCTGCAGTGTGACACTCTATTCCAGGTGTTCTAATATATGATGTCTAAATTTCATAGCAACCCTGCAAGACAGTTTTGGACCTGGCAGAGTGAGCACATCTGCTCACATCACACTGCTGAATTTAACCAGAATTTGACTTAGGTCTGTGAGATTCCAAATCTTATGCTCACATTCCAAAATGCAAAAAGTCAAAAAAAAAATCCAAGTTTCAGAGCTAGGAAAAATAAGTTGGCAGTAGTGAATGATGTGGTTGGAGGAGGAAGTAAGGAAGTAGGAGAACAAGTTACTAAATTCTGTTAATTCTTCCTTTCAAACATTTCTTAGGCACATTTTCCTTTTTTACCTTGTACTCGTAGAATGGAACAAAAATAATATTAAAATTACAGCTTTCTCTCAGCCAACACCCTCAATCCTACCCCCAAACCGCCCCGCCCACACACACACAAGGCAGGAAGACGTCTCTCAGCCAGGTAGGTTCTTCTGGCTTTAGCGATGCTGCATGGGGAGGTGGAAGGAAAAGGGGAGCAGGTAATCAGAGACTATTAAGCTGATTACAAGGTGCTGAGAGAGAGGAGAGGGGGTGGACAGGAGGGCTGGGCCAGAAGGAGGGTCTTAGCAGATGGGAGGCCAACAAGCCTTGAAAGAGACACTGGATCAGCTTCAGGGTATGGAATAAAAGTAGATGGATGGACAGAAAGTGGAATAAAGTTACTGGTACAAGCTTTGAGAAATGCAAGGAAAGGACTTGAGTTATTTTTAAAATAAGTTATTTATTTAGGTTTTAAAATAGGTAATACATTTACATGGGGCAAAAATTTAAACGTACAAAAGCTTTTACAGTGGGAAGTAAATCTTCCACCTACCCCTGTACTTCAGTTACTGTTTCTCCTTCTTGTGGATTACTGTTAAAGAATGTCCTCTCTTCCTCCCTCCCTCTCTCCCTCCCACCCTCCCTTCCCTCCTTCCTTTCTCTCTTCTTCCCCTCCTTTCTTTTTTAAACATAAATAGTAGCATACCATCCATGCAATTCTGCACTTCTTTAAAAAATTATCTTAAATTGCAGCATTATTCACAAAAACCAAGAGACAGAAACATCCTAAGTGTCTATGATGGATAAATTTTTTAGAAATGTGGTATATACATACAATAGAATATTGTTAAAAAAAGAAAGAAATCCCGCATATGACGATAGGCGGTGACGATATGGATGAACCTTGAGGACATTATGCTAAGTGACATAAGTCAGTCAGAAGGAACAAATACTGCATGATTCCACTTATATGATGAGTCAGGTTCATAGGAACAGAAAGTAGAATGGTGCTAGCCAGGAGCTCAGGGGAGCGATGTGTGGCTTGCTGGGTGTGTGTGGAGTTTCAGTGATGCTGGACGGGGCAGTTCTGAGGATGTGTTGCACAATAATGCATATGTGGTTGACAATATTGTACTCTACACTTGGAAATTGTTGGGTGAATTTTACGTCATGTGTTTTTTTTGCCACAAGGAAAAAATTACCCTAAGGAATAACTCCGGTTGGACATGGTGGCTCACACCTGTAATCCCAGCACTTTGGGAGGCCAAGGCAGGAGGATCACTTGAGTCTAGGAGTTTGAAACCAGCCTGGTCAACATAGCAAGACCCTGCCTCAAAAAAAGGAATATTCCATATCAGTCATTCTTTTTAATAGTTGCAAAGTATTTCACTGTATAGATGGCCCATAATTCAGTCACCCAGTCCCCTGTTGATGAACATTGTTTGTCTCCAATCTCTTTCAATGCACCAATGAAAATTCTTAAACATTCGAGAATTTTCATTATTTTAAAATTATTTTTCTTGCTGGACTACTTTGCTTGGCCATGACACAACTCTGAGATGGGCCTTCTGTCTCCCACATACACTAGGTTAAATCCTGTCTCTGAACCTTTGATCAGTCTGCTCTCAGTATCTTGAAAGTTACCTTGCTCTCTACTTATACAAATTCTTCTAATTGTTCAGGAGACAATTCAACACTTATGTTAAGCATGCTTCTCAGATCACAGGCCTGTCTTTCTCCTCTGAAGCCAAAAGTACTTTCTATCGTCAACATTCATTAGAGAAGCTGATCTAAGTTCAGGCTTCAGCGGGATGGCTTTCAGACAATGCACAGTTGCAAGACCATTCTGTTTGTTAAAATATTGAAATACCTCCATATCTAAGAGATCTAGCTTCCTGGGCCCTCTGTGTCCTCCTCTATCTATCCAACCCTTTCCCTGGAATTTTCACCTCCCCACAGCCTCCTGATACACCATCTAAAGGGCTTACACTTGACATAGCAGGGAGACTCCAGGACTTGCATCCAGCAGTGGGGCCAACTTTTAGGTAAGCTTTACCCTCACCCCAGTCTTAAAAGTTTGAAACATTTTGAATATATGAATTATTACATACGTTTCAGCTCCTTGGAGTAAGCATTTCATGGGTGGGAATAGTTCTTTGGTATTCCCTATAGCACCTATCACCTGAACCATCATACAGCCAGTATTCTGCCCATCCTTATTTCACAACCTGCAGGGTCCAGGGCATCAAGCCTCCATAAGCACACAGCCTGACTTGCAGGGCAGTTTACTCCCATTCCAGAAAGGTCTAAGGGGCCCAGGAATCTCTCTGGAGCACTTCCCTGAAATCTCCTGCATTCTCGAAGCTTCTGCTGTGGTGCCACTAAAGCACTCATGACCCACATCTCCACCTTCCTCCCTGAGCTTCAGGCAGACTCCTCCAAAGGCCTGCTGGGCATTTCCAAATGGGAGCCCAACTTCTTATGCTGGCACAGGGCTGACCTTTGCTAAATGGTTGGTAATGAATGAATGAGATGAAAATCAAAAGCAAATCACTACCCACCTCCCCCTCCCATTTAACTGCTCTCCAGAAGTAGGCACTGTTTATAGCCATCCACCTCCTTCCACCCCACTGATCCATCAGAAATGCCGTCTTGTCCACTTCCCATCTTCTTCAGATCTTTCCAATTTACAGGAGGGATTACGAGAGGCTGATTTTGAAAGTAGTCAGAACCTAGGCACTCTTCAGATTATGGTCTTCCCCTGACTTTGGCTGGAACCCAGACCCGGACTGACCCAAGCCTCAGCTCCTTCCCATTCTCATTCTGGCCTGGCCTCCACCCAGATCCCTCCCTCCGGACCCACCCGACTCCGCCCCTAACCCCATCCCATTTTCTTCCTGACTTCAGGAACTTCCCTCCTGGTTGTGCTCCCTCCACAGCCTCGCCCCTCTGCCTATCACTCCGCCTCTTGGACCTCCCCTGCAGCTTCGCCCCGCCCCCTCTGGCCCCGCCTCCGTCCCTTAAGGCTCCTCCTCCCCTCCCCCACCCAGCTTTAGCCGCGCGGGGACACTAACCCACCCTCACCTCCGAGAACAGCGCGGCTAGGTGCTCCAGAGGTGCCGCGGGCAGGTCCCCGCAGACCACTGCGCCGCGGAAGCTGTCGGGCCCTGGAGGCTCGGGCCCGGTGCGAAGGAAAAAAAGCGCCTTAGCGCCAGCCAGGCCCGACTCAGGTCCCACCTCCAGCCCGGGGCGTATTGCCAGGCCCCTGGGCCCGGGCCGCACCACCAGCAGCGGCCGCGGCCCCTCGGCAGCATCGCGGCCCAGGAAGGCCTGGAGCAGCTGCTCCGCCTCAGCACTCCCCGCGCAACGCTCCCAGGCGCCCGCAGCCGGCCGCAGGCTCATGGCCACGTAGGTCCCCAGGAGTCGCAGTCGTCGGTCGGCGCCGGGTTCCCCATCCGCGTTCTCCGCCGCGAGCGCGGCCCGCTCCTCCGCGAGCCGCATCGCGCGCGGCCTCCAGCTGCATCGGTTTCCCTAGCGACGGGGACGCGGCCAGGACTCACTCCTCTGCTCCCTTCCTATTGGGCACGGACCCCTGGTCCCGCCCCTTCCAGGCTAATAAGGTAGGAGGTGTACGCGGGAAGGGGCGGGGTCGCGTCGCTGTTGCTAGGACACCAGCCGAGACTCGTACTCAGTGTCTGCCTGGTGTATTGGGAGTGCTGAAGTGTGACCGTGGAGCGCAATGGCTTATTGATGGGCTGCGTGGAGAGGAGATCAAGCATATAAATGCTGTTAAGGATCGTTTTGGCCAAGGTCGAATTAGAGTCTTTAGAGGTCTCCAGACACTGAAAATAGTGTGGTCCTCTTACCTCTATCCTAAATGTGCAATCCAGACTTAAACACAATGCCAAATCATAAAACAGATTTAAGGACATTCAGTGAATTTTATTTCTTTTCCATGATGGCAAATTAAACACTTCAGAACAGTGCTGTCCAGTAGAACTTTCTGCGATGATGGAAATGTTTTCCATCTGTTCTAGCCACGCATGGCCTATAAAGGAGGTGAAATATGCTCGTCCCACTGAGGAAATTTTTAATTTTACTTAATTTTCACTTAAAATTAAATAGTCACATGTGACTGTAGTTATATCGAACAGCTCAGCTTCAAAATTTTAATATCAAGTTTTTTTAAGTTTTCTTCCGTGCCTTTCTTTGCCCATGTTTTTTAAGGCATGTGCTTAATCTTCTAAAAATGTAACCAAACTGTAAGAGGCTTGTTTTTGAGACAGAGTCTTACTCTGTTGCCCAGACTGGAGTGCAGTGGCCGGATCATAGTTCACCGCAGCCTCAAATCCCTGGGCTCAACTGATCCTCTGGTCTCAGATTCCCTAGGAGCTGGGAATACAGGCGCCACCACATCCAGCTAATTTTAAAAATTTTTTGTAGAGATGAGGTCTCGCTGTGTTGTCCAAACTGGTCTTGAAGTCCTGGACTCAACTGATCCTTCTGCCTCAGCCTCCCAAAGTGCTGGGATTATAAGGATGAGCCACCATGCTAGAGTTTTTGACTTCCATGGGTATGACCACTAATCAGTTCTTACTAAATGTAGCAAAGTACTTGTAAATATGCAGGATGCTCAGAACCTTCCCATCCTGCCCTATACCTGGATATTGGCTTCAAAAAGGGATAATATAAAGTGCCTTGCCTGACCTCAGAAATTAGCATTTGTTACCTGCTTAGTCCTTCTCCATGGTCAGGATAAACAGCTTGGCCCTTTGCATGCATGTAAGGTGACAGTGCATGGGTGCTGAAAAAATGGACAAACAACTTGGGCAGCATGAGGTCTGCAGGACTGAATGAGCTCCCCTCTGCCCTGCCATCCTCCCTTTAGTCACCTCCCAGGGACTGCTGAGTTTCTGGGTAAAAGGAATGTTTATAATGGGTTTCAAAGGAATATTAACAGAATAAGCACTTATCAATGGTAGCTTGGCTAACAAGAGCCCCTCGGGAAAACACCAGTGGTTGGGAAGTAAAATGATTGATTTCATAATAACTGGAGCAAAGGAGTTGCTGTAATAAAAAATGTTCATGTTAGAAATGAATCTTTATGTTTGTAAAGGGTGTTTCATCATTGCTGGATTAAACAATAATCAACCAACTATGAGGAAAGGGAAAAAGTGGGAAACTAAAACAATCTTTAGGATGAATTTGGTAACTGACATTTCAAGAAGAAGCATCAGGGAAAAATAGTAATGTCAGGGGCTTCTTACACATATCGTTTTTTGTTTATCTTTGCACATAGGAAGGCATCGTTATTGTTTTAGTGCTTAGGGACTTCAAATGTGTCAACTATGCTCATGTTTCGTATACAGAGTGACTTCAGGACCATTAACTTTCAGTAAACCCTTGAAATAAAATTTCTGCCACCGCACTGTGGCTCTATTATGCCGTTAATCTCCTATGTCCCCTTGCCCCAACATACATAAAAATAGGAACAAAGGAGTCTGTGAATATGACTTAAAGATTTCTGTGTAAGGTGAAGGCTCCTGAATATTAGCAATCCCAGTTTTTAATTTTCTCTCCAAAAAGATACCTTATCTGCATTTTAGAAGGTGATTGGTGGGAGGCATTGATATGGGATTATTGAAAACAACTGACATTTTAAAATATTGTATAATTATGACAAAAATATCCCCAAAATATATTAGTTATCTATCACTGTATAACAAATTACCCCCAAACTTATCAGCTTAAAATAGCAATAGACATTTATCTCACACAGTTTATGGGGGGGTCAGGAATTTAGGAGCTGCTTAGCTCGTAGTTATTGCACAAGGTTTCTCATGATGTTGCAGGCAAGATGTCATCAGGGGCTACATCATCTGAAGGCTTGACTGGGGCTGGAGGAGACACTTCCAAGATGGCTTACTCACATGGCTAGTTGGTTAGTGCTGGCTCTTGGCAGTAGACTTCAACTTCTTAGCATGTGGAGCCCCCATTGGGTATCTGAGTGTCTTTGTAATGCTGTGACTGTCTTCCCCCGGAAGAAGTGATCTAAGAGAGAGCAAGGCAGAAGCCTACAGTGTCTCTTATGACTAGCCTTGGAAATCACACACTGTCATTTCTGCAATTATCTTATTAGTTACAGAAGTCTTCCCTATTCAATATGAGAGGGAATTACATGAGGATGTGAATACCAGGAGACAAGAATCACTGGGTACCATCTTGGAGGCAGGCTACCACAAAAAGTAAGGGAAAGAATGAATTTGCATAAGATGTTCAGCTAAAATAATTTCCATTTTTTAAATTGGAAACTTGAACTCAGTCCCATGAGCGTAATATTTGTAGTAATCATATTTTTTGTTTTAAATGACTATGCACAATTCCTGTTTGAGACTTTTGGTCATGATCTCTTTAAATTCTGGATAGTCGCTCGTGATGAGAAATTTGTTCCCACAAGCAAGTAATATGAAAGTTAAAGCCTTTCAAAACCATTCATAAATTAGCAGTTGACATTATATTTACAGAATCTAACAGCTCTTTCTTTTCTTCCTTGACAAATGTTACATTGAAAATCTTTTATGCTGCTAATAGATACTGAATCTAACCCAATCTTTTCATATCAAATATTTCAAAATAATGATGAAGTTCTAATTCAAATAATGTGCATGAATTATTAGAATAACCTCCTTTCAGCTATCTTGGATACTATTAATGTGAACATCAGACACAAATAGGGATCTCTATGGGATCCAAGAATAGAAGGACAGTGTATGCTGCCTGTGACTCCATCCAGGAGACATGCATAAGAACATCAATGGTTGCATTGTAGCAACTGCAAAATAATGGGAAGCAAACCAAGTGTCCATCAATAGTAGAATGGATGAGTAAATTGTGTTATATACTATTCATGACGTATAATACTCTACAGCAGTAAAAATAAATAGACAGTAGTCACATGCATCAACATGGGTAAATCCTAAAAGCATAATGTTGAATAAAAATAGGAAAGTTACAGAATAATTTAGTGTTACATTTGTTAGAAGTTTTAAACTAGACAATATGTTGTAAGAGGCACACACATATGTAGTAATCTAATGAAAAGTAAAGGAATGATTATCACAAAATTCAGATTTTGATCACTCCTTGGGGGAACTAAAGAAGCATGGGATGAGTAAAGGGAACACAGGGCCCTTTTAAGTTCCTGATAAGGTTTTATTTCCTAACTTGGCTTGTGAGTTTTCATTTTGTCATTCCTCTTAAACTGTACATACATATTGTACTTATGAAGCATCTATGTTGTCTGGGGTATAGACCCTGGGGTTTGTCATTACACGCCATGAAAATTTAGGAGATGGACACACAGGAGGAGTCAGGAGCAGAGGTTTAGTAGGCAGAAGAGAAGGGAAAGAGAAACAGCTTTCTCTGTAGAGAGAGGGGGGTCTCCAAGCAAAAAGGACCAGCTGGTGGTCAATGCACCAGATTTTATAGTCAGGTTTGAGAAGGCGGTGTCTGATTTACATAGGGCACACAGATTGGTTCTATCAGGTATAATGTTTATATAGTGCAAGCGGAAGGCTGGTTGTCCTACTCTAATCTTATTATGCAAATGGACTTTTTAGTTGATTGGTGCCATCTTGTCTGTTCATTACTGTACATGTGGCTGGCAGAGAAGGGAAGATGGAGCCGCCATCTTGAACATGTCTAGTCCCTAGTTCCTGTTGGCATTCACCTGTGCAAGCTTCCAGCTTGCTTGTGTATGTCTGCAGCTGGACTTTACAGGCTGCTCTTTGTTAGAAAATGACTTGGGGCTGCTGTTCATTAAAAAGAAAAGCCTTACCGAGGACTCCCATACAATTCTGCCTAAGTAATTTCTTCGTAACTCCTGTGTCATGTGAATATATAATATAACTCAGAATAAAATAAAACAAACAAACGTGCCATTTCATGTACTCTGAATGCTGTGGGGAAATTCATTTCAGTTACTGAGAATCAATGTATAGATGTTCATTTAAATGCTAATAACTCATTATATTTATAAAATTACATATCAGATATCCTAAAAATTGATTAAGTCTGTTACTGGTGACTTCTTTTTCATAAAATCCAATTGGCACTATTCAGTCTTTATGTTACTTACTGGTTCTATTAAACTCAGCTGATTCCTGATTCAACGTGTGGAAGCAACCTCCACCTCCTGGACTCAAGTGATTCTCTTCTTGTGCCTCAGCCTCCCGAGTAGCTGGAATTACAGGCACACACCACCATGCTTGGCTTATTTTTGCATTTTTTTGTAGGGATGGCTTTTCACCATATTGGCCAGCCTGGTCTCGAACTCCTGGCTCAAGTGATCCACCTGCCTCAGTCTCTCAAAGTACTGGGATTACAGGCGTGAGCCATTGTGCCCAGCCAGGAATTTACTGTTGAAGAGAAGTCAGAAGCCAGCTTCATTTTATTCTTTTGTAGGTAACATGTTGAAACTACATGATCATTTAGGGGATTTTTTAATATCTCCCTTTTAATTTTTATGATTCAGAAAAATGTTTTAGGATAAAACTAAAGCCCCATGTAATTGATCTTTGCCTGAAATTATAAAAGCCCATTCAGTTCTCATAACGAACTGTTTCTTCACAGCAGGAAAGATTGTTCTATGGAATCTTGGATTATGACTTATTTTCCATATGCACTTTCTTGTCTGATTTTCTGGAGAGGTAAACTGATAAAGTGTGCTAACAATTCCAAGTAGGGGATACAATTTGAGATATTAATTGAGATTTTTCGTTCCTATATGTTCTGATGCTGTCCTGCGGCTCTCCACACAGTGAGTTAACATTTAATCCCTCAGGGGAGTGTGAATACAGCCTAAAACAGCTCATCGATTCTGAATAGTTTTTAAACACATAGCAGAGACAATAACTATGAAAGCTATGCTGTTTTTTTTCTTGTATTGTAATAGGTGAGCTTACAGGGAGAACAGATTTATGTTGTATTATTTGTTGTAATTCTAAGAGCTTGGCTTTGAATATATAAGGCATAATCTGAAAGACTGAGAGGTTAGAGCGTATTTGCTAAACCATGGATAGATAAGAACGCATAGCAATATGATAAGCAGATTTCCTTACAAAAAAGAGATAAGGACTCTTTCTGGGATTGGGGAGAGAGACTAGGGAAGTGGAGTAGAGGAGCAGAAGACACTATGGATATGGCTGCAGAATTCTTGACCCTTTCAGGTAGGTCCAGGGAATGAGATGAGATGACAGCTACTACAGAAATTCTGAGTGTCCAAGAGAAGGGAACACTTGAGCCTTGCTTCTCTGGTAAGCTGTAGGAAACAGTGCACAAGTGGAGAAGCCTTTATCCAACCTGGCCCTTGTGTTAGTGTAGCAGTGACAGAGGGCAGGATTTGACAACAGGGACCAGGAGGCAGCCTTTCAATGCTCCCCTGCCCTAGCATTGTCCAGGTACAGGAGCTGACAGTTTCTACATGTGTGGTATGATTAGGAGGAGGAAAACCAAAATGCTTAGAGGGCTAGCTAGGGGTCAGGCTGTGAAGAACATAGTACAGGTATTACCTAGAGGCCTTAATGGGTGACAGTGCATGGTTACAAGGACGATACAAGATGGTTTATATCGCAGCGACGACAAAGACAGGTGTAGACTGGGTGTCCTTCTCCTGATGAAACCATCTTTGCAAAAATTATATCAGTGAGAAAGTTGTAACAGTGAGGTGAGTTAACCCACCCCTCATCTTGCCTTTCACTTGGGCTTTTGGGCCCAGCTAACTTTGGAAGACATTTAGGCTATGGTTTAAATTATAATAGGACTTCCCCAAAACTCAACAGCCTTTGTAAAGCTAATGAAAGAACATCAGGCTGGAGGAAGACAGGAGCTTGATTCTGCTAAGTTGGGGACATAGATTGCCAGCCATTCCTGCAGATAACACTACTATAGTAGATTGGCCTTTTGAGATATGACTCCACCTGGACGTGCCAACCCTACTCCTCCAGTGGCCCACACCCTGAAGTGATTGAACACACAAAAGGACAGTTCCAACCCCGTAAGATTTCATCTCTGCCCCAACCAATCATCAGTAAGCCTAGTCATCTCCACCCCTTCCCCCAAACTGCCTTTGAAAACCCCTGACCTACCAGCTTTGGATGAGAATGATTTGAGTACTAATTCCATCTTCCATGTAGTGTGGCTGGACTTGTGTCTATTAAACTCTTTCTTTACTGCAATGCTGAGGTCTTTATTTGTGCAGTAGGCAGGAAGAACCCCTCTGGCGGTTACACTGATTGGTGGAAGATATATAAGCCCTCCAGGTACTCACAACCTTCCAGAGGAGAGAGTAAAAGGAAAGAATCCTAAATAGAGTATGGAGACTGATATGGTTTGGCTGTGTCTCCACCTTAACCTCATCTTGAATTGTAGCTTCCATAATTCCCATGTGTTGTGGGAGGGACCCAGTGGGAGATAATTGAATCATGGGGGCAATTTCCCCCATACTGAGTAAGCCTCACGAGATCTGATGGTTTTATAAGGGGAAACCCCTTTCACTTGGTTCTCATTCTCTCTTCCCTGCAACCATGTAAGATGTGCCTTTTGCCTTCCACCATGATTGTGAGGCCTCCCCAACCACGTGGAACTGTGAGTCCATTAAAGTGTTTTTTCTTTATAAATTACCCAGTCACAGGTATGTCTTTATCAGCAGTGTGAAAATGGACTAATACAGAGACATCAGAAGTGATTGAATTGACCTGAATTGGCAAGACTGTGGATAAAAGGGTGGATCAGTCTGGGTTGGGTTAGAGCCACTCCAAGTGTTATACCAATAAGAGGCTTAATATAGAAATTAGAGCTTACACAACTATGTCAAGAACTGGGAAGTGAAGGTCAGGAAGGCTATAGCTGAACATCAGCTTTGCCACAGTGAAGTGAGTAGAACAGTCCAAGTTCACGGAAAAGTGTGAGAAACCAAAGCATCCATATGTCAGAACCTCAAAGCATGAGACCCTGGACAGATCTTCAAAAGCATAAGCCTGCCAGAACCACAGAGGGGAAGTTCTTGGAGGTGGTCTGCAAAGGCACCAAGACTGGCCACCATATCCTCTAGGATAAATTACCAGTATATCCCTTAAATTTGAATTTTAGGTAAGTAATGAGTAAATATTTAGTGTAAGTATGTCCAAATATTGCACATAAAAATGCATGGCAAAATGGGACATCCTTATACCAATCTGAAATTCAAGTTTAACCAGGTATCCTGTATTTTTATTTGTGAAGTCTTGCACTCCTACCCGTGAATAACAGCGTCCTTTTTATCTCCCCCTTTAACATCTCATGTGAATTCTACTCTATGGCAAGCTCTAGCATAAGAAGGGAGCCTTGCAGTAAGGGAGACCCTGAATGTACCTCCCTGCCTTAGAAGGGAGGGATGGTGGTGTTGGATTGGTAACAGACAATTTAGCATAGGAGATTATATTATTTTGCTAGGGCTGCCATGACAAAATATCACAGATGGGTGGCTTAGACAACAGAAATTTATATTCTCATGTTCTGGAGCCTAGAAGTTCATGATTGAGGTATCATGGGGCTTAGTTTCTTCTGAGGCCTGTCTCCTTGGCTTGCAGATGACTACTTTCTTGCTGCGTCCTCACATGGCCTTTCTTATGTGCCATGCATTACTGGTGTCTCTCTATGTGTTCAAATTTCTTCCTCTTGAAGGACAACAGTCAGGTTGGATTAAGACCCACCCAAAAGCCTTTGTTTTAACTTAATCACCTCTTTAAAGGCTCTGTCTTGAAGCAGGAGATGTGAGAGGAAAAACAAATTTTCCCTCTTTCCTTTGGTATGAGCAGCTTCCCCCTCGAATCCCTCCCCATTCTGTGTGATTGGACCCTGCTGTGCAAGTTTTTATGAGTTTATGGTTTCCTGTTTTCTGTAACTACAGTCTGTAAGTCTCTGTAGCACCATGGAGGTCATGAGACATGTTTGAGCGTGCTTAGATTGCAGCCATCTGGGTACCATAGCGAAGGACACAAGATAAGGCTGTGCAGGCATCTTGAGCAAACCTAGATAATAGCCACCTGGCCTGCATAGCAAGAGTCACATGTAAGCCTGAGTTAGGAACCTGTCACAGTTTGATTAACTGCCTTGTTCTGCTTCTGTAAGCTCACTTTCCCTGCCCCACAAGTTTTGTGCCACTGGCAAGCCATCCCACTTCGGTTGCATGGATGAAAGTCAAGCCCTGTCTTCATTCATGGCTCAGCCTTTGGATATTAATCTGCTGAGCCGGTGGTCACCTAAATAAAATCCTCCTGTTCCACCCATATGGACTCTCTGGTTTCCTGATTCCCACAACAGTCTCTATAATATAATCATAATTCATGTACTAGGAGTTAGTGTTACCAAACTGAACTTGGATCCGCCTGCCTGAAGTAGCAAAGTCAAACTCTGACATCAAGATTTGCAATGTGAGAAGAGTGAGGCATTTATTGCGGGGTGCCAAGCAAGCAGAACCAGGCGGCTTATGCTTAAGACCCAAACTCATAGATGGCTTACATGTAAGAGTTTTTAAAGTCAGGGAGGCAGAGGTTACAGACAAAGTCGTAAATCAATGCATGGGGACTATACATTGGCTTAGTCCAAATAGGTGAGATATTTTGAAGTGGGGGCTTACAGGTCACAGGTGGATTCAGAGGTTCTTTGATTTGCAGTTGGTTAAGGAAATAAGACTTTGTCTAAAAACTTGGGGTCAGCAGTAAGGAATGTTAAGGCTTTGCCTGTGAGCATGACTTTATTTAGGGCCCTCAGGAAGAAATTTAGAACAAAGAACAGTGGTCAGAATTCAGTCTTTAGTTCCTTCTTATCTGAGGTCTATGTGCCATGGATGGACAGTATTTTTCATCTGGTGAGCATCTGGGTTTTGAAAAACAACTCAGGAACAAACGTGAAGATGTTATCTTTAGTTTCTCTAGAGAATCAAATATCTTGTGGCTCTAACTTCTTTGGCTGTTGTTTCACACTACTGTTACCTTCTTGCTTTCTTTTTTTTTTTGAGACAGAGTCTCGCTCTGTTGCCCAGGCTGGAGTGTAATGGCACGATCTCGGCTCACTGCAAGCTCCACCTCCCGAGTTCACGTCATTCTCCTGCCTCAGCCTCCTGAGTAGCTGGGACTACAGGCACGTGCCACCACGCCCAGCTAATTTTTTTGTATTTTTACTAGAGATGGGGTTTCACCATGTTAGCCAGGATGGTCTTGATCTCCTGACCTTGTGATCCGCCCGCCTTGGCATCCCAAAGTGCTGGGATTACAGGTGTGAGCTACGGCATCCAGCCACTTTCTTGCTTTTTAAGGCTAGCTAGGTGCCTGGAATTTCCCTTGAAGGAGCTCACAATTTTCCTCTATTTCTATGTTTTGGGGGGACCCTAAGAGAAGTCCCTAAGAAGAGGTCCCTGCTCTGTCTTGCTAGGGGTTTAACATATGAATTTTGTAGGAACAGAATTCATACCTTAAGAGAGATCATCTTGAAACAACTTTAGTTTAGATGTAGGATAATAACAACATACTATGCAAATAAACAAAGGCCTCCCAAATGAGAACAAGCAAAGGCTATGTCAAAAGAGTCAGCTGCCATCACTTACATTTTGGTATAGATTCAAAGGCAAGCAGAGGAGTGGGAAAGATTTGTAGCAGAAAGAAGGGAAGGCTTCATGTGTGCCCTGATTGGAGGCCTTTGGCCTGTGGAAGCTGGAGTTGGTTCAGTGGAAGCAGAACATCCATGTGATTGGTTAGGGGAACTTGTTTGGCTTTCGTCAGTTGGCCCTAAGTTTGGGGACAAAAATTAGAGAAGATACCAAATTTTTTTTGAATATAATATTTTTTACTTGAACCCCCACAACTCCACCTCTTCCAGAAGCTATCAATTATTAATCAAATCCTGACCATTTGAGTCAATAAATACAGGGGTTCTTGTTTGACCTCCTAGACTGGCTGCTACAGATTGTGAGGTGAGTTCTATTTTTTATATATGGCTTAGCCATTGTTCATTTGTCTATTTTGTCTCTCAGTCTTTTTTTTTTTTTAATCTGAGTTTTGAGACCATGGAAAATGTACCTTCATACGGCATTAATATGACTATCTACTGACTTCTAATATGTACTTCCCATAATTTGATCAATGTTCAGTCTCAGTGGTTTATGGGAGTTTCTGTTTCTGATTGTAGAAAGGTGATGAGAATGGAGAACGTGGGGTATGGTTAAGCTGGAGGAGAGGAGGGTAAAATATTATTTTGACTCCTTCTCATACTTAGGACCCATGATTAACAATCAGGGGTTAGCAAACTATAGCCCATGGGCTAAATTCAACCCACCAGCCAATACTGAAAATACAGTTTTATTGGAACACAGCCATGGCTATTCATTTATACATTATCTATGACTTATTTCACACTGAAAGTGCAGAGTTGAATAGTTGTAATTATGCAGAGAATGTATGGCCCACAAGACCTAAAAAATTAATTATCTGACTCTACAGAAAAAGTTTGCTGACTTCTAGTTTGGATTAGAAACTACCAAATCTCACAGTTGAGAAGGACTCAAGATGGGAAGGATATAAAGCAGCCTCAGTTTCATTAAATAAAACTCAGAAGTGCTTTGCTGTAACAAATCCATACACTCTTCTTCTAGTAACTACTCACCACTTTTTGTTGTGGAAACTATATCCACCTTCTTGACAGCCTCCTTCCCCGCCCTAGTCCAGGTACTTCTGGTAGGGTTCAACCCCCAGTACTATGGCTGAAGCATGTGACTTGGCCTAAACTTGGATCATTCTTTCTTCTGGTCACAGTCATCAATGTGGTAATGGCCATATGATCCTATCAGGACATTAGAGTCAGACCTAAGCTTTGGTTTGAATGTTGGAATAAACTAGTATTTTCTATTTTCCACTGGACTTGAACCTAGGAGGATGTAGGACAGAGCCAATGTGACCCTCTTGACTCCATGAGGGGAAGGGTTATCTGAAAATGGAGCCAAGACAAGGGAAGTAGAGGCAAGGGACAGAGAAGAGGAAGCAGTTCCTGATGACATTTTTTTTTTTTTTTTGAGACAGAGTCTCACTCTGTCACCCAGGCTGGAGAGCAGTGGTGCAATCTCAGCTCACTGCAACCTCTGCTTCCTGGGTTCAAATGATTCTCCTGCCTGAGCCTCCAGAGTAGCTGGAACTACAGGTGCATGCCACCATTCCCGGCTAATTTTTTGTATTTTTAGTAGAGACGGTGTTAGCCAGAGTGATCTCAATCTCCTGACCTCGTGATACGTTCGCCTTGGCCTCCCAAAGTGCTGGGATTACAGGCGTGGGCCACCGCGCCCGGCCCCTGATGACATTTTTGAGCTCTACATGCAGCCTGCAAGACTAGACTTTTCATTTGCATAAACCAAGACATTCTCTCTCCAGTTAGCCAGTTTGAGGTGTTTCTGTCCCTGTTAAACAAAAATTACAACTGATGCAGGTGACACGTAAAGAAAAATTTCTTCAAGAACGAGGAGAGATGATGTTTATTTATAAAGGAGAAGGAGGCCATCAAGGAGGTAGTTGAGAGCGAGAACATAAAAGAAGATATTTCCTGAAATAACTTCTATCGGAGATGTAAAGGGTAAACCTTCAATTGCTTTGCTTAGCACATAATGACCCCAGATCACAGACTTAGCTCTTGATTTTCACCCTGCTTTTGAATTAAGGCAGTAAGCCAGAAATTAATATGGGCAGATTTCCCTGTGTTTATTCACTGTTCAATGTTTAATTCCCAGAAGGATGAAAGAAATACTTACTTAATTAAATGTGCTAAACAATAACAACCCTCGCTTGCTTTTCACCTGTACTTGTCTTACAGAAATATGCTATGAAGAGTTGATGAAGCTATTTTTAAAACAAATTCCACACACTACTTAATTATAATAATCTATAGAGTGTAACTGTACATTTCCCACCCTAGGATACGGGTGGGCAGAACAAGAAACAGTGCAGAAAACACACCTTCTTCTCCTTTTTGTGATTGCAGGAATTCTTGGGGGTTGATGTCAACTTTCCTTCTTAGATGTAATCCCCTTGATTTGGGAGGAAATCACACATCTTATAGGTCAAGAGAGTCAACTCTTCTGGTGGTACTGGGATTATAAATTTGTGAAATATATGAAATATTCATTTGCAAGTACATGAGTAAATGAATTAATAGATGCACTATCAAAAGCATGAAAAAGTATGTTCACCTCTGAGCTGGCCAGGTGAGCCCAAGTATTTTCAGGACGCAATAGACTATTGTCCACTGAGAGTAGTTTTCCAGAGGTAACAGATGAATGCCCTTTGGGTATGCTGCCCTATATTCTGGTGGTTCTCAAGTGCAGCCACACACTAAAATCATCTGGGGATATTTTTAAAGTACCAATAGTCAAGGCCCCATTCTAGAGCAACTGAAGCAGTGTCTGGCAATAGGGGCCAAGCCTTGGTACATGTTAGGAGACCTTCAGGGGATTCCAATGTATTGCCAGCGTAGACAGCTGCCCTTCTACCAGGAAGCCCTTCCTTCTACAGGGCCGAGGTAATGGGAGATCTGACTTATCCTCTTTTAATTCTACTTCTTTCTATGCCTACATCTGTTTCTCTTTCTACTGGCTCCCTTTCTCTTTGACATGATGTATCTTTGTCTGTTCTCGGCCCCTACATCTCTCTCTCTCCCTTTGTTCCTTCAGACATTTTTATTTACATGAGTCTGGAGAGGTGACAGAGACGTCACCTCTAGACACCTCTAGACCTCTAGGGACGTCACCTTAGACACCTCTAAGAAAAGACTGAGCCATCACTCCCTCTTTTCCTTTGGGATCCCTTCAGATACAGAGGCTGTGATTTACAGTACAATGACTTACAGCAGTTCTTTAGTGAGAACCTGATCCCGGCACTAAATAGCCCAGGGGTAAGATATTTTTGTTTGTTTGCTTTTTGTTTTGCTCAAGGGTTGAGTCAGTCGTTCTCAAAAGTGTGGTCCCAGGCAGGCAGCATCAGCAACCTGGGAACTTATTAGAAACCCAAATTCTTGGTCCCCAACTCAGCTCTGCTAAAGGGAAAATTGGGAGTGGGTGTCATCCAATGTGTTTTCAGAAGACCTTGAAGAAATTCTGATGCATGCCAAAGTTTGAGGACCAGGCTCCATGGGAGAAATGCTCTTTGACTTATTCTTCATGGGCCTCTACTTTGGATGAAGGATGTCCTCCAAGCCTCTGAGCTCATAATGGGCCTGAGATATATATTTATCCAGGAAATAATGCTATCTGATGAAAGAAATGATGTCAAATCTCAGTGACTTGGGTGGAAATGAATGAAGAATGCCCAAATGGGAAACAGAGACTATATATTCAGAGCTTGCTATAACAAAGAGTCACCTACAATCATTTGTGTTTGGCAGTGCCTCAAAGGCAGGCAGAGTGGGAAAGATTTACAGTGGGGCAAAAAGGGAAAGCTTCAGGTGTCCCCTGATGGGAGGCTGCTGAATCAGCAGGTATGGGGAAGCTGAAGACGGGCTAATTAGAAGTCCGGCATCCTATGTGATTGGTTTGAAAGTATATTTGGCTTTCTCTGGCTGGTCCTGAGTTAGAATTGGGGGCAAAAATTAGGGAAGCTGTAGTTACTGACTGTGATGGTTAATTTTATATGTCAATATCATTGGGTTAAGGATACCCAATTTGCTGGTAAAACATTATTTCTGTGTGTGTCTGTGAGAGTGTTTTTGGGACAGATTGGCATTTGAATCAGAATACTGAGTAAAGAATGTTGCCCTCATCAATGCATCTGGGCATCATTCAATCCATTGAGGGCTTGGATAGAACAGAATGAAGAGAGAGAGCTGATTTTTTCTCTCTTTTCTTGAGCTGGTGGGCCAAGAAGGTGATGGCAGTGGTGGGCCATCTGAAGCTGCTGCTGCCATCAGCTGCTGCTGCAGGGAGGGTGTGGGGAGGAGGTGGGCAGTCCCCCAACTCCCCAGACTGCTGCTCTGGGGGCTGCCATGATGGGGCTGGGCTGGGTCACCTGCTAGCAGGGGAACAGTGCGGTTGGGCAGAAAAGGGCCCTGAGGTGGAGCTGGGCCCAGGACAGTGCCATGCGTGCACATGGGGCGCAGGGGCCAGGCCCGGGGTGCAGAGCTGGGGCCATGCTTTGGGGTTCCAGGGTGAGAAGTGCCCACTTCAGGGACCTGGCCTGTGGTGCAGCCACTATACTCACCCTACTTTAGAGCACCGGGTTCCTGCATCTTGGGAGGAGGTTGTGTCCCCAGGGTTTGCCCCACATTGGGGTGACCACCAGACCTGACACTCCAGACAGCTGGGCCTGAGGCCTGTGGCCCGTGATCTGCTCCCAGAGGTGCCACATTGGGCAGGGCCACAAACCAGGCAAGGGGGAGCCCTGGGCTGCCCCTGAGCACTTGGGCCACTGGGGGAGCTCGTGGCAACATTGCTCCATCCCTGGACACCAGCCTGGGCCCAGCAAGGACCTGGAGCCCCTATCCCAAGCTGCGAGGGGACAGATTCCAGGGCTGCACATTCCATGGAGCCAGCAGGAGCTGGGAGCAGGCAGAGCCCTGATCCACCGGGATGCAGCTGTAGCCACCCAAGTTGGGGCTGTGGACTGGGCCTCTTTGCACTCTTGGGGGCCTGGGAAGGACTTTGGGTGCCCACAAGCACAGGAGGAAGACTGAGGGGGTGCTGAAGACAGCCTGGCACTGGCCTGCAGGTGCCCCTTGGTGTGAGCAGCCTGGATGCCATGGATGGCAGCAGGAGGCAGACAGGCTCTTGGGTGGAAAGGAGCGGGTTCCTGGTGAGGCCCCACCTTCAGGCCAAGGAGGGCCTGAAGGCTGAGGGCTGGGCTGCCAGTCCTGTGGACTGGAGTGGGAACTTGTAGTGCCTTTTCTGGGCCTGCCCATCAGCACATGGACTAATTGGCACATACTTCCTTCCCTCTGAGGCCCATAAAAGCCTGGGGCTCAGCCAGAGCAGAACAGACAAGGGGACAACCAGCTGCAGAGAGGAGATACCCTCTTTGCCAAGAGCAGAACACTCATCAGGATGACCAGCTACAGAGAGGAGTTACCATTTCTGCTGGGAGCTGAGCACTTGTTGGAGTGACCTGCCTGAAGATAGGAGCTACCCTCTCTACTAGGAGCTGAACACTCCAACAGGACACCCTGGCTGTAGAAAGGAGCTGAGAGACTGAGCTGTTTTATCGCTCAATGAAGCTCTGCTTCATCTTGCTTACCCTTCACTTGTCTGCATAACCCATTCTTCCTGGTCATAGGACAAGAACTCAGGACCCACCAAATGGTGAGACTAAAAGAGCTGTAACACAAACAGGGCTGAAACATGACCCTTGCTCTCTACGTTGTGAACAAGGAGAAGGAGAGAAGAGCTGAGGACCCTTGGGGACTGCTGTGACTCCCTCTTTGGGGCCCTGCAGTGCCTGGCATCTCCAAGCTTCCGGGTACCACCACATTCCTTGGTGCCAGCCAGGGGAAGCTGCTTGTAGTGTGCCTGGTCCAGCCACAGCCTCGCAGAGAGCCGCTGCCCATGCTGGCATCTGGAGTTGCCCACCTTGTAGCAGCAGCTGGCATGTCTGAGGGTGCAGACCCCACGCTCACTCACATACTCCTCACTACTCCATGCCTGACTTGTGGTCTCCTTGGAGGTATGGGATCCAGGCCTGTAGCATGAAACAAGTGCAGCCTGCCAGGCCAAGTGGACAGAATGAACCCAGTGGACCCAAGCAAAAGTTCGGCAAAGGTGCCATTGGACTCAGGTTTCCAGCCAGAAAAGCAACACCCCAAAGGTCCTGTAACACTGGGACAGCCATCTTTTCTTGCCCTTGGACATGAAAGCTCCTGGTTCTCAGGCCTTTGGACTCTAGAGCTTATACCAGTAGCCCTGCCAGTTCTCAGGTCTTCAACATTGGACTGAGAGTTACACCACTCCTTCCTCTGGCCTCTGGGCCAGCACAGCGTGAAGTCACAGGAATGGGAAGCAAAATTTTTATTAATGGGTCACTAGTGGTAATGGTGAGTGGTGCCACTCCAATTTCTACCCCTTAATTCCTAGACCCATGAATTCTGGCTATTGGAGAAATAGTACTGTATACTGGATGCTGATTCAGAGTATATACAGCCTTCTGGAGAACCCTGAGCCAGCCCTGCAAGGTATCGCCACCTAGCTGATGCTGTAACTGAGTCTTCAAAAATCCATTTCACTATTTCATGAATCAGGAAATGCCTCCTCATCAGACACTGAATCTCCTGGCACCTCAATCTTGGACTTCCCAGTCTCTAGAACGGTGAGAAATAACTTTTTGTTGTTTATGATGTAACTCTCGGTCTAAGGCCAAAGGACCAGGGGAGCCTCTAGTGTAAGTTTAAAAGTCAGAAAACCTGAAAACCAGGAGCTTTGAAGTCCGCAGGCAGGAGGAAATGGATGTCCTAGCTCAAGAAAAGAACGTGAACTTGCCTCTGCTTTTCTGTTTTTGTCAGGCCCTCAGTGGATTAGACAATGCCAGCCCACATTGATGAATACAGATCTCCTTTCTGAGTCTACTGATTCAAATGCTCATCTCTCCTGGAAACACCCTCACAGACACACCCAGAAAAAAATGTTTTACCAGCTACCTGGGTGTCTCTTAACCCAGTCAAATTGACTTACACAATTAGACATAACATTGACCAAGTCCTGACTATTTGAGGCCTATTGCTGCAGGGGTTGTGATTTGGTTTCCTGGGCTTGTGGCTGCAGAGACTATGGGTTGAAGTTCTGTTTTTAAATATGGTCTGGCCATTGTCTGCTTGCATATTCAGCTTCTCACTTGGAACTTTCAGGCCTTGATCTCAGACTGGATGAGCTATCTTGAATTAGCGTCCCCAGATTTTCCACTTTGTTTTGAATGCCTTATTTAAATGTCAGTAGGATTGAAGAACTTTGACTGCAGTTGCCCACACATTCCTCACCATGTGCTCTTGGGCTGGCTCCATTGTGTGTCACGTAAGCCACAATCTCAGGGAGATAGGGGTCCTGGGAGAATAGTGGCACCGACAAGCAAAGGGATCATCCCTGTGTGATCTATGTGGTTTGGCTGGAAGATGCCAGTGGGGGGTCCCCTACCACTTTCTTTCTTGATTAGGTGTCATGGATATTAGGTAATTCCTAATCATGGTTGTGGTTTTCAGAGCCCCAGTGGGAGGAGTTGATCAGTGGAAAGATAAGTGAAAAACAGGGGCACTTACTACATGGGGAATACAATTCTTTCTTGATCTGGGATGGAGAAAACCAAATGAAAATATTATAGAGTTAGTGGTTTAAGAAAATTCCATTAAATAGTGCCTGCAATTAAAATCACTGGACTGGAAAGACTAGGGATATCTTAGTTGTTCTTTGGTTATAGAGGATGGTGGTACCAGAAAAACTAAATAGAAGAGGAAAGTCATTTCCCTCAGAGGGAAGATCCACCCCCTTCCTCCAGAGAAAGCCTGAATCTAAGAAATCAAATAAGGTGTTCTAAACTTATAGGAAGTGTGATGATTAGTTCTATACGTCAGCTTAACTGGGCCATGAAATACCCAGATAGCCATTTAAACACTATTTCAGGGTGTGGCTTGAGGGCATTTGTAGAAGAGATTAGCATTCAGATTGGTGGACTGATTCCTTAAAGATGACCCTTCCCAGTGTGGGGGAGAACCATCCAATAAACTGAGGGCCTGAACAGAACCAGAAGGAGGAGGAGGAAAGTTGAATTAACTCTGCCTAACGGCTTCAGCTGGAACATTGATCTTTTCCTGTCCTCAGCACTCCTTGTGTTCAGGTCTTCAGATTCCAGGCGGGAATTGACATCATGGCCTTTGGATAACACCATCAGCTTTTCCAGATCTTCAGCTTGCAGAGGGTGGATCATGGGACTTCTACAGGAAGATAAGATTATATGTGGAATTCTGTCTCCTCGATTCCCCTCTGTGACCTGTGATGACAATGCAAGTAGAGGGAAAACTGCAGAAATTTGAGAAAGAAGTCCAGGAATATCAGTAGAAGGAACTGCAGGGCAATGTTTACTGAGTTTCAGCATTGGCAGAGCTGTGAGTGGAAAGATTGAACCCCACGCTCTGAGAGAACGTGTCTCAAAGATAGATGGTGTCGACTTTTTGGGCAAAAGCTGGTGGCAGACGAGATATACCAAGGGCAGCATTGGGTTGTGTGTGGGTGGAATGGGCAGGTAGGGCTTGGATTTCCCCCGGGTGGAATTACCCTCCTCAGGGAAGTAGGTGGGATCAATGGGCTTTGTTGAAACAATCAATACTTTTGTAGACAACTCTGAAGACAACATTGAGATGATTTTTTTTTTCTGGGAAAATAAGCAGAAAAAGAATAAGAATATTTCCATGCCCTGTATTTCAAAAAAATGAGCAGCCATATCATTTCTGTAGTTTCTCTGTGGGCAGAATTTACTGAATTCTTACTATGCGCTTGGCACGGTTCTCAGCACTATTAAAACTATTTCCTCTTCAATGACTTTATAAGAGGGATATTATTAGTATACCCAATTTACAGATGAAGAAAAGCCCAGAGGTTAAGTTACTGCTCAATATAATTCGGCTGGTGAATGATGCTGCAGGCAGGCTGATTCCCAAGTCTAATTTTTAAACACTTCATTATAATGTCTGCGTTTGGGAAGAAATATGAGTGTAAGGCAGATTCATAGGCCTCAGGAGGAAGGGCCTGCCTGGCCACTGTAATGTAAATACAGCACAAGACTAAGAAAGCCTGACGAAGGCAGTTGGAATTGCAGGAGGTGGGAATTCCACATGGATGATCAGGGGTTGCAGATGTGCTTGGAGAGGTGCCTGTTATATATATGGGAATTCTTGCTCCATAGGATATAGTGTATTTATTACACCATTCCCCTCTGTGACCTATGATGACAAATATATATATATAGAGAGAGGAATATATATAACTCTCATATTATATATGGGAATTCTTGCTCCATAGGATATAGTGTATTTATTACACCATTCCCCTCTGTGACCTATGATGACAAATATATATATATATATATATATATATATATATATATATAGAGGAATATATGTAACTCTCATATTATATATGGGAATTCTTGCTCCATAGGATATAATGTATTTATTACACTATTCCCCTCTGTGACCTATGGTGACATATATATATATATATATATATATATATATATATATATATATGTATATGGGAATATATGTAACTCATATGTTATATATGGGAATTCTTGCTCCATAGAATATAGTGTATTTATGTCCTTAGACGTCACCAAAGAGGAATTAAAAGGCAAATGTATTTTTAACTGCTTTATTAAGGTATCATTAATATAGAACAAACAGCCCACGTTTAATATGTACAGTTTGATAATTTTTGACATATTTGTACACTCACGAAACTATCAACACTGTCAAGATGATGAACATCACTGTCAAAAGTTCATCACCAATGAAGTTTCCATTTGCGAATCTCTCCCTTTCTCCTCTCCTTGCCCCATCTCCCAACCCCCTGGGAAACACTAACCTATTATCTGTCTCTTTAGATTGTTTACATTTTCTATAAATGGGATCATGCACTATGTACTGAGTACTGGCTTCTTTCACTTAGCCTAATTATTTTGAGATGTGTACAAGTCACTGTATGTATCAAAAGCCCATTTCTTTCTTTCTTTCTTTTTTCGCTAAGTACTATGGCCATTGTATGGATTTACCATAATATATATTCCTCTCTCTCTCTATATATATATATTCATATATATATATGCATATATATATTCATATATATATTCATATATATATTCATATATATATTCATATATATATTCATATATATATATTCATATATATATATTCATATATATATATTCATATATATATATTCATATATATATATTCATATATATATATATACACACACACACGCACACACATTATACCTTGATCTGTTGAATATTTGGGTTGTTTCTAGTTGTTGCCTATTATATGTTTTTGTAGGGCCATATACTTTCATTTTTCTTGCATTAATACTAAGAAATAGAATGGCCAGATTATATGATCGATGTATGTTTCACTTTTTAAAAAAATCCGTCAAACGATATTCCAAAGTGGTTATACCATTTGCATTCCATCCAGCAGTAAATGAGAGAGTTCTCCTTCTCTACATCCTTGCCAACTCTTGTATGGTTAGTTTTTTAAATTTTATTCATTTTAATGGTTTGGAGTAGTATCTAACATTGTGCTTTTAATTTGCATTTCCTGAACGACTAAATGATGTTGAGCATATTTTCATGTTTTTTTGACATCTGTACATCTTCTTTTGCAAAGAGTCTGTTCAAGTATTTGGCCTCCTTTTTTGTCGTTTCTGTTGTGCTCTTTGGTTTATTTCCTTTTTGTTTTGTTTTGTTTTACTTTTTTGTTGTTGTTGCATTATGATTTAATCTAATTGCACAAAAATTTGAAATTACAACTCCTCCTATTTTCTAAGAGGAAGGTTATGCACATGATTGTGTAATAGTCAGTTGAACCCGTTGTTTTACTTTTTTGAGACAGGGTCTCACTTTGTTGGGCAGGCTGGAGTGCAGTGCCCTGAACATGGCTCACTGCAGCCTTGACCTCCAGGGCTCAAGTGGACCTCCCACCTCAGCCTCCCGAGTAGCTGGGGCTACAGGCATGCATCACCATGCCTGGCTAATTTTTATTTTTATTTTTGTAGATATGGAGTCTCTCTATATTGCCCAGGCTGATCTTGAACTCCTGGGCTCAAGCAATCCTCCCACCTCAGACTCCCAAAGTGCTGGGATTGTTACAGGCATGCACCACTGTACCTGGCCAATTTATTTACTTTTGGGAATTGTTTACATATTCTGGATACAAGTCCATTCTCAGATACATGATTTGCAAATATTTTCTTCCCCAGGTTGTGGCTTGTCTTTTCATTTTTAAACTCTTTCTAGGCAATGAGCTGGGACAATCATATGGCTCACCTCATCTGTTTCTTTTCTTGCAGGGATCATTGTCCTTTGTTGCCTGATACTCAATTTCTTCAAGCCTGTTGTTTCATATTTGTGTAATGTGTATATATATATATGAAACTTTCTAGGTCTTTCTAGAGGCTCCCTCATGTATTTAAAACTTGAAATATGTTGCTTTCAGGGACTTCTGTTTCCATCCAAGATGGATTAACTCAGACTGGATGTACCCTCCCACTTAAAGTAACATATATATATATATATATATATGTTTTAAATATATGAGGGAGTCTCTAGAAAGTTCTGATTGACAGGAGGTATAACCATTGCAAATGTCTAGGTTTTGCAAGGATGTAGGATTGTTTAGAATGGTCACTCTTTGAGACAGGAGGAAATTTATATAGCTTACCACCCCCACGACACCTTATACAACCATTATATGGGAATTAGTCACAATTTCTTCTAAGATTTATTGAGTTATTCTATGCTAAGTGCTCTTTTAAGTGCTCTACACATAGTAACTTATTTCATCCTCACAAAAACCATATGACCGAGGACAGTTCTAATCCCCTTTTACAGATGGGTTGACTGAAGCATGAAAAGTTTAAATATATGGTCTCTAGATAGTAAGTGGCCTTGCTCTGGAGCCAAAGCCCTTACCACTCTCCGGTGCTACCTACTGCCCTTTATGGGGAGATTTCTCCCAAGTGAGTTTTGTGTTCACAAGTCATAGATGACACAGATAACCTGCATGTGTTGACCAGCACCCTGGCAAATACGAAGACAGGAAGATTTTGTCTTTTTCAGTGGGAGCAGCAAGGCCCATCATGTGAAACCTCATAGGATGGCAGCAAGTTTGTACATTTAAAATGGAAGATGCTGCTCTATCTGGGCTAGATTGTCAGATTGTTTTCCGGTGCATATTGTACACACTTGTTTGGTGAGCTTATTTGGAGTTGGAGCTGATTGTAATTTCTGTGGAGAAACAGAAGAGACAATGATGCTTGGCTTAATGTGGCCTGGAGGCAAACCTAATTTTCACTGTCTTAGGTTTACCTCTTTCATCAGATTCTGAGAGCAAAATCAAAGAGACAATCACAGTAGCAGTGAGGGGTGAGTTGCTCTCTTTATTGATCCTCATGGGGTCAGAGGAGATCTGTACAGCTGGGAAGGCGGTCCATGAAGGTATTGCCAAAACTGTGGGATTTCTCTAGACTTCACTGATTTTCCAACAAAAGCACAGCAGCACCCAATAGTTGAGCCTAAGCTCGAGTTGAGCCGATAAGTTAACAGGAAAATTTGAGAATGTGGGGCCTCCAAGAGAGGGGAAGCTCACAGCTCCTCTCTAAATAGTCTCTATTCCTCTTGTGCCCCATGGAAAACAGGAGGACCTCTGATCTGGATTGGACAAGTTCCTGGACAGAGTCCCAGTCCTAGGGGGTTGGAACTTTTAAAGAGGTTAAACTTTGAGTGAACCACAAGAGACACTCTTCCTTCACGTGTCAAGAGGAGAAGAGAGGGTAAGGATTGCTCTCTGGGAAAACAGGGGCCAACCCCCTCCATTTTGTTACTGGAAAGGGGTCCCAATCCAGATCCCAAGAGAGGGTTTCTTGGATTTTCTACAAGAAAAAATTCAAGGCAAGTCCATAGAGTAAAATGAAAAAAAGTTTATTAAGAAAGTAAAGGACTAAAAGAATGGCTACCCCATTGGCAGAGCGGCCCCAAGGGCTGCTGGTTGTCCATTTTTATTGTTATTTTTTCATTATATGCTAAACAAGGGGTGGATTATTCATGCCTCCCCTTTTTAGACCATATAGGGTAACTTCCTGACATTGTCATGGTATTTGTAAACTGCTGTGGCACTGATGGGAGTGTAGCAGTGAGGACGACCAGAGGTCACTCTGGTTGCCATCTTGGTTTGAATGGGTTTTGGCTGGCTTCTTTATTGCAACCTGTTTTATCAGCAAGGTGTTTATGACCTGTATCTTGTGTTGACCTCTTGTCTCATCCTGTGACTTAGAATGCCTTAACCTCCTGGGAATGCAGCCCAGAAGGTTTCAGCCTCATTTTACCCAGCCATACTCAAGATGGAGTTGCTCTGGTTCAAAGACCTCCGACAATTTCACTTTGGTTCTCCACACTGCACTCTCCCATCTTCCCTCCAATCCCACTGCCCGAACACAAATACTTGTTGAACATGCTTGCTGGCTAGAATTGGATAAATGAAACTGGGCTGGAGGTATTCTTTTCTAGAAGAAAGGCAGGCCTTTTTGCCTTTTTTTTTTTTTTTTTCCTATTTGGCCTTTCTTCCTTTGAGATCTTTCTCCCCCATGGTTAGCATAAGCTCACCTGGAACATGCCTTGAAATGGAGTTGCCTAGGTCTATTAAGGCCTGAGTGTTCTGATTAAATTTAGTTCACTAAAATTCTACATTGCCCTAGATAATCATAAATGCTTCTTTACTTTGTTCTTTTCTGGTTGCATGTATTTCCCTCTAAGATTTTGCAGTTAGAGGTGACAGTTTGCGGAGAGATTTAGATGTTTGGGATTTGGTATTTCATCTTTCTCTTTCTGCTATATTTTGACATGATTTCAATTTACTGCTACAATGACTTTTTCTAGGTGACATAGCTTCCCAGGAGTCTCACAGCTACACAGTGAAAACAAAGACTGGTCCGGCTCAGAATCTTCCAGAGCTTTACTGGTCTGTTAAAAGGGCATCCTGGAAGTAAGGAAAATGTCTCAAGGCCTGCTCAAAGCTCTGTCAAAGGCTCGTATAGATTATGCTCTGCCCGGTATTGTATAATGACCCTTTATGTAGCCAATACTTTCTACTCTAAAAACCTAAATCTCATGACCTACCAGGAAGTGTGATTGCATCCACAATTTTCAATATCCAAAGGAGATGTTTATATCTAACAATTCTGGTCCATGATCTTGTGGGTTCTTGAAATGCCCTGGCCATTCTTTTTGGGTCAAGGTATTACTTATTTATGGGCACCAGACCTATTTTTCAGAATTATAGGTGCCATGCATAGAATTCAATATCAGTGGTTAAGAGCTGCTACAGATATGGGAAAACAAGGAATCCTAGTACTGACTATTTGACTTGGAGGTCATGTATTTTTTTAGTTGACTAGTCAAATCATGGCTCACAAAGCTATTGTATTTAGCTAGAACTCATTGGCCCAGGAAGTGTTTTTTTTTTTTTTTTCAAATGTATTAACATCATTTAAAAATCAGTGTCTTTTAATCCTTTAAAAATATGAAATAGAGGCTATTTTGGGCTGGCATTTCTGTTTTATAATGATTGGCTGCAGCTGATAAATACAGCTCTTTTTAGATGGGACTTGTTCTCTAATTTGACGTGGTACTCGCCACCTCCTAAAGGCTCTAACAAATATAAATAATATTAGGCTAAGATCAGAGATAGCATAGAAATTCTTTTTTTTTTTTTTTTTTTGAGATGAAGTTTCACTCTTGTTGCCCAGGCTGGAGTGCAGTGGCATGATCTCGGCTCACCGCAACCTCTGCCTCCCGGGTTCAAGTGATTCTCCTGCCTTAGCCTCCCGAGTAGCTGGGATTACAGGCATGCACCACCATGCCCGGGGAATTTTGTATTTTTCATAGAAATGGGGTTCACCATGTTGGTCAGGCTGGTCTCGAATTCCCAACCTCAGGTGATCCACCTGCTTCGGCCTCTCAAAGTGCTGGGATTACAGGCGTGAGCCACCGCACCTGGACAGGAATTCTTTTTAAAGGCAGTAGTAATTGACTTATAAGGAATCCAGTAGGGAGTGATGGGGTCTGGACAGACTGGAGAGGGCATGACATTCATCCAGCCCACCTGGCCCTGTTGCAACTGATAATCCACCAGTTCCCCAGTCACAGCTAGAAGTACTTTACAAAAAAGGCAGAGCTAATTATCCAGTGATAAAAGCCCTGCCCTGGAAACAAAGAAAAAGGGGGCAAAGATCCACCTTAAGGTGGATGCTCAGTAGAGTTGCTCCCAGTTCCACTGAGTTTTCCTAATTTAAGCCAACCATCATGTGAGTATTGTGGCTTCTTTATGTAGAAGGCCCTGCTGGAGAATGGCCAAAACATTTGCTGCTCCATTTTCAGGGAGGTGTGGCATCTTTGTTTAAAGTGAGCCCTCCAACCTCACTACTTTTCAATATTAAAAGAATGAATTTTGTTTTTTCCATTAAAAAAGTAATGCATGCTTATTATGGAAAACTGGGAAATACATTAAAGTAAAAAGAAATTTAAAAATTACCAAGATTCACTAACACCGTTAGTAATTTGGAGTAGTTTTCTTCTAGTTATTTTGTTACACACACACACACATACACGAATGCATGCACATATGCACAGATGCTCCTCAACTTTTGATGGGTATTCATCCTGATAAAGTCATTATACGTTGAAAATATTGTAAGTCGAAAATGCATTGAATACACCTAACCGTCTGAGCAGCATAGCTTAGCCCAGCCTACCTTAAACATGCTCAGAACACTTACATTAGCTTACAGTTGGGCAAAATTACCTATCACAAAGCCATATTTTCTAATGAAGTGTTGAATGTCTTATGTGATTTATTGAAAACAGTACACTGTAGAGAACAGAACTGGTTGCTTGCCCTTGAATTGGTTGTTTGCCCTTGTGATGGTGGGGCTCACTGGGAGTTGTGGCTCCTGGCCACTGCCCAGCGTCATAAGACAATATTGTACCACATAAGGCTAGCCTGGGAAAAAGTCAAAATTCAAAGTACAGTTTCTACTGAACATGTATTATTTTCATACCATTGTAAAGTCAAAAAGTTGTAAATCAAGCCACCATAAGTCAGGGATGATCTATGTACACACATTTTATACATATATGCATTTATTATAGATTTATATATAATGATCCTATGATATTAGTAACATGACAAATACTGATTATTTTCTGAACACAGGCATAATGTATGCTTAGAAATGATAGAAAATAAAAAGAAATATAAATAAATCACTATAAATCAGATAGAGTCCCACCACCCAGTGCCAACATAATTTACTTATTGATATATTTACTTATTCTTTTATCTACACATTTTACACACACACAATCCTGACTTTTAAGCATACTATACATCAGAATAATCACAGTCCTAGATAGAAGATAAATAGAAAGAGGATTTGTGATAAATGCAAGCTACTGCTAAGTAGTATATTAGTGTATATTTTTAAAAATCAATAATTCAGATCATTCAGTATAATTTTTTTTTTGAGATGGAGTCTCGCTCCCTTGCCCAGGCTGGAGTGCAGTGGCATGATCTCGGCTCACTGCAACCTCCAATTCCCAGGTTGAAGCAATTCTCCTGCCTCAGCCTCCCGAGCAGCTGGGATTACAGGAGTGCGCCACCACCTCTGGCTAATTTTTGTATTTTTGGTAGAGACGGGGTTTCACCATGTTGGCCAGGCTGGTCTTGAACTTCTGACCTCAGGTGATCTGCCCACCTCGGCCTCCCAAAGTGCTGGGATTACAGGCGTGAGCCACCGCGCCTGGTCAGTATAATTTTAAAATAACCAGAAAATGACTCAGAATCCTTAAATGACCACTATGTTGCTCTCTGCAACTGAAATTTGAAGTCCACACCTACAGCTCTGATTTGGTGCATGTCTCAGCATAATACCACACTGCTCCTCACTGGTCTACCTGCCCTTCAACATGAACTTCATCAAATCCATGTTCTACAGGACAGCTCTAGTCATCTTCTGAAGGGTGACCTTAATCTTCCTCCCATACATCCCATGGCCCATCAATGGCTTCTCCTTTTCCTTAGGATGTGGGCAAATTCCTTAGCAATGGGACACACAGTAGTTCTAACCTCATAAGAGATGGTATGAGGATTCAGTGGGTTAATGCCTGCAAAGTGCTTTGATAGTACCAAGTGCACAGTTAGCATTGAGTGAATGTTAGCTATCATTATTCCTCTTTCATCACCTTCATTCTTTCCCCATATAGTGTAGGACAAGGCTATGGTAGCCCTAGATTTGTATCATTAAGGTCCAGTCCCTGACAAGGAAGACATTTTCTCTCTTTACATTTCTGTCTGGAAATTAAAGAAAAAGACTGCAGTTGGTCTGGCTTGAGCCATTGCCTACACTGGTGACTGAAGTAGGGTTGGAGTCTGTTATCAAGAGGTGTGGGGGACATAGGATGGTGGCCAGGATGATCGATGGAAGGCAAAGACCCAGATGTCCATGAATCTCGTCTCCTTTCTATCCTGTCTTGTTCTCTCATGAAGATTGTTCCTCGTTCGTAAAAGACTTATCTTCTCTTCTTGTAGTCTATCAAGGATCTCATACAGTTCCTTAATCCTGTAATTGTATGCCCCTCCTTCAAGTCTTTAGTACAACGTTCCTTCTTCCTCAATCTGGGGTATTTTGCACAGGTCCTTTGCCAGGTGTGTTTGCTTGTATAACCATTATGCCAAGCAAGTAAACCCAAGTGTGTCACCAGTAAGAAATTTCATTCCTTTTTTCCATTCCCTACTTTTCAGGTTATTGTTAGAAAATAGAAAGTCATTTTGTAATTTCCCAGCCTAATAATTAGTAGTCCCAGACCATTGTAATATTAACAGCTTCCAAATTACTGTAAAACTAAAGCTTCTTCCAGCCCTCAACTCAGTTTTACTTTGGGCTGACCAGTGGCAGGGGGAAAATGGGCTTCTTTCTCTTTCCTCTGTTGGAGCTTCCCTTCCTCCTCCTGTGTTCACCAGGCTGCCTTTGGGGGCTGCACGAGATGTTATACTGCAAGAGAGTAACTGCAGAAGCAGACATCAGAATCTGGTTATCTTCCACTAAGCACAACATTAAAGAACTTTGCAAAAAATGTAAAACAATTCCACTCTTTTTACTAATTCTTTTTTTTGGAAAATATAGTTATTTCCCATAATCATATGTTATTTATGTTAGCACATCATAGATTTACTGTTCTTAATGTAAAATAAATTAATACATACATTTTAAATTCTCTATTTTAATTTTGAGTATGATAATTGTATTTTGTTAAGTCCCACACAAGTGAAGCTCTTTGTGGTCCTCAATAACTTTTAAGGGTGTAAAGACATCCCGAGACCAAAAGGTTTGAGAACCACTCTTGAAAGACTTTGGGTCTTAGGATATTGATGTGCCTGTTTTACACTTTATGGCTGTAACTCAAATATGTAGATTTGTACTTCATTTCATTTCTCTGTAATGGTGGTCTTCTGCTGTTGTGAGCTCTGAGATATGCAGTCTTTGGAGATAGCCTTTAAATTCCTAGCCAGGGTACTTGTCTTCTGGGTATCACTTAGGAGCTCTGGAAGTCTGGGGTTGAGTGAAGGACCGTCTCTCTGTCCTGACAGACAGTAGTCCTGTCTCACTGCTGTTTCCATGTTTCCATCACTGTCATGATGGCATGGAACATTCATTAGGAATTTACCTCCCTAAGATCTAGGCTGGAAGCCAGGCAGAAATGTGTTCTACCCTCAGATTCTCCAATCTATCTGGAGGATTCAGTTGTCCACTTTCCCCGCTCCCTCTTTCCCTACCAGCCCACCCCATAGTGGGTGATCAGGACATCTCAGGGATTCACATATCTTGCTTTCTTTCTGCCTTCTTTGATTCCACTTGAGGTTTTTCCCCAGTGCAGGAGGATATTTCTCTTTGCCTTGTATAGCAGGACATGCTCTTCCACCATATCCTATATGCTGTCTACTCTGTGGCTTATTGTAAAAACTCAAGCTTTCCAAGCTTGGCTCATTGATACTAAAAGGTCAGCTTTCATTGTCAGAGAAAACACTTTCTCTTTCTACTATAAGGCTCTTGCAATTACATGACAATTTTTGCCCTGTGGGCTTGAAAAAAAGTCTATTTTGAAAGTCAAGGTTGAACAAAGACTTCTTCCTCTGGTGTCTAACTACCTTTTCCCTGAGAGCAGAGTAGATGGAGGGTGACTGTTGTTTGGAGTAGTGAGGAAAAGAGTATGGCAAAAGGAAAGGGGGGTGGGTAGAAACCACCACAGTGTGAAATCGTTACATGTTGTAGGAGAATATCTTGATGCGATTCCACAGAATCTACTGTTAGCATTTCATATCCACTGTCCTGTCTGGAGCCCTGAGGTTGGAACTGAAGAACAGATGATCTGTTTATGGGATACTTTCTCAACACTTCATAGATGTCTTATCATAAAGAGGTTGTTCAGTGTACATGCTCTGAAACCACTGGCTTCATATATAATAAGTCGGCTGCAGAAATGTTTCACCTGCCTTAAAAAAGAACACTTTGATGGTTTTATCATGGTGATAGGGAAGGGGACCTTCCCAATCATAAATTCCCAATCTTTTGCTCTAAACTCAACATGGTGACTATGGTAGTCATTGGTGCTGCTCACTGGATATTTTCCATTATCCTGCAGTAAGGTAGAATCACACTTCTTGGATCCCCTTTGGTGGGGTAGGTCCGTGTGGCCAGATTCATACAAGAAGATGTGAGTAGAAGTGGTATGTGCCACTCTCTGCTGCCATTTAATTGTCCTTGTGGGGCCCCCTAGAGTTCTCTTTCTTCTCTGCCGTGGACGATGGTAACATTGCTGATAGAGGCTGCTTCCCTATTTCTGGGCTTTTGAGTAAGGATGGGGAAGTACCACAGAGGTCCTCGCTGATCTACAGCAGAGTGGGAGTGAAAAATAATCCTTTGGTGTCTTAAGGAGTTTGGGAGTTATTTATCACCATAGCAGAATCCACCTTATCCTGCCTGATTCAATGACTCCCTCTCATAGACTACCAAGAAGATTGGGACCCTCCAGGAAAACCACCCTGAGCAGCCCTTTCTCCTCATCTCTCATAGTGGCCGCCATTTTGCCTTCCCGAGAAGCTGCACTGGAGCAGCCCTGCCCACTCTGTCCTCCTGCTGTGCCTGAGGAAATGGATCTTGTTGTGTATTCCCATCCTTTCCTTGTTCTCCATTGACTTTAAATTTTGACACTCTGGTTTGGGGAATCCTTAGAGATTCATCTTTATGATGCTGTCCAATAGCCACATAATTTTTCTTCTATTAAACTTTTTTTTTTTTTTTTTTGAGATGGAGTCTCACTCTGTTGCCCAGGCTGGAGTGCATGCAGTGGCGAGATCTCAGCTCACTGCAACCTCTGCCTCCTGGGGTAAAGAGATTCTCCTGCCTCAGCCTCCCGAGTAGCTGGGACTACAGGCATGTGCCACCACACCCGGCTAATTTTTGTATTTTTATTAGAGATGGGGTTTCATCATGTTGGCCAGGATGGTCTCCATCTCATGACCTCATGATCCGCCCGCCTCGGCCTCCTAAAGTGCTGGGATTACAGGCGTGAGCCACCCGCGCCCGGCCTTCTATTAAACTTTTTGAGTTTATACACCCTACCTCAGCTTTCTCCTCATTTCCTAAATGCTTAATCCTCTGTACACCCATTTTTGTTCTAATCTTGTCACTGAAGCTGGTTGCCTAAAATCGTCAGGCTACATAGACCAAGGCTACTCTGATCCCCAGAGATCCAAGTCTTTATTTTTGTCATGGGGTTATAAAATTTCAAAACTGGAAAAAAAAAAAGGCAAAATGGTATGCTTCTCAAGCATTAATGTGCATAGAGTCACCTAAAGATCTTGTTAAAATGCAAATTCCAGGGCCCTACCCCCAGAGATTCTGATTAGGAAAGTCTGGGGTGGGCACTGGGAATCTGCATTGCAATGAGCTCCCAGGAAATGCTGATGTTTCTCCTCTAGCGACCGCACTTTGAGTAGCACTGGATTAGATGACAGTTTTTAGTTTTCTCTAAGTCTAAAATAAAGACAATGTACGGACCCCCTGCCTTATGTAGCAGAGGAGATCTTCTCCATGATTGCCGTGGTGAAACAGTAAGAGTAGCTCTTCTAAATGCTCCAGGAAAGAAGCATTAAGGTACACACACTTGGGAATAAGGGCAAAAGCCTTAGTATTCTACCTTTGCCACACATCTCCAGAACTTGGATAGAGGCTGGAGGCAAAAAAAAAAAAAAAATTCTCTCTTCTTTGTGGAGAGAGTGCTGGTCCTGCACACACATATGAGCTCTATTTCTAATGGCAAAACACTGTAAAATAATGAACTGCTGAGAACTTTCTGTGAAAATGTATTATTTGAAATTTCTTTGAAAGGCAGTTTGTAGATTTTGGGAAATCACAAAAAAGTCAAACAAAAGAGACAGTTTTCTGAGGACCTTGTTTTTCCTCTCATTCAATATTTTTGCTTCCTCTATAGCGATTTGTTGACACAAGGGTAGACCATGCTGACAACTGGGAAGATACTACCTCATACGTGATGGCTCCAGCTAAGGGTTTTCTCCTTCTCCACATCCACTCTACCCTTCTGCCATGATCCACACCAGCTAAGCTCCCCAATTCCTTGTCAAGTCTTGGCAAAGTCACCAAAGCCAAGACTAAAGAAGCTGAGACGCATTTTAAAGACTGCCTCGTCTGGACTACTCATTTTGTTTTAAATGATAATGTTGAGATTTGAAGAGGAGAAATAAGTTTTTCTAGATCACATAACAAAATTTTGGCAGAGCCAGTACAAGAAACAAGGTCTCCTCACTTCCAGTCCAGTACTCTTCAACGGCATCCTGTTTTGATAGGGATGGGAAAGTTAAGATGGACAGGGCTGAGGAAGACAGCAGGATGGGTGTTTCACAAGCCCTTTCAGCTACCTAGAAGCCCAGATACAATGTGAGTATTGTTTTGTGATAATTAAGTGATAAAATATCAGACACTGGAAGGATCTTGAGTCTATCAAATTCTCCGATGGTTACAGATGAGAAAACCAAGGCCCAGAGATGACATTGGTCAACACATCCAGCACATAAAAGTCATTGATTCCCTTATTCTGGTACTTTCAAGGCACCCCTTTTCCAGCCTCTGCTCCCAAACCCTTTCTCGGTTTTCCATTCCTAACATTTGTAGCCTAAATAGTGAGTGTCCGAGGTCTTCTTAGATCCTTGAAGGAAATCTTTCTTGCTACTCCCTAGAAGTTTTGAGCTTCATTCTCATGCTAAACCAGAGAGGAGAAAGAAGAAAATTAGTGTTCAAAGTGACACTGCAGGCGGAAAGCTGTCCAAAACTCCCAGAGTCTCAGCTTCCAACATGAGTTTTTTGTTGGCCTTGACTTGTTAATGATGGTGTATTAAAACCTCATTTATTCAGATCTCACGAATTTGGAATTAGTGACAGCTGTGGTCAGGGTCTGAATGGAGGTTTACCTTTGAGGACCAAAGAGAAAAAGTTGAACAAATTGTTAAAGTTAAGAATATTTAAAGGGAGATATTTAGCCTATTTAAGAAAATAGTCTTTTAAAGTATTTTAGAAGCACCATTAAGCATATTGAGAGCTCTCTGACCCATACCTCTTGACCGTTTTAATTTTAGTCACATATTATTCTTACATATTCAATAAGGAATATTTCCTGAGAGTTTCTATTAGGGAACATGTTTTAGTCTAATTTAGTCATTATATGTATGTTTAAGCATTATAATTAAATTACACTTCGCTAAAAAAAATTCCCCAATTCAGAATTTGGGTTTTTTTTGGGGGGAGGATGAGGGTTCTTTCCAATAATGGATATAGATTAATGAAGCTTTCCTGTACTTGTCATATATGTATGTGTGTGTGTGTGTGTGTGTACTAGCTATGAGTCATAATAGGTTAGAGACACTATAACTTAGATGTAATTGCACTGCTATAGTGATTGTTGTAATGAGTAAATACATTTCAGAGTATGTGTGGTTATGGGTTATAATGTACAATAATAAACAGGTTTGTAACTTTGTCCTAAGTAATGAATGCCAATGACAGGAGAAAATGAGAGGATTTTTGGAAATAAGTCCAATGCCTTCAATGAGAAGAGTTTTATTTACAAGGGAGTTGGGGAGTTGCTAAGAGAGTGTGACTGACTGTGGATTCTAGGAACTGTGGAGGTGCTGACGTTGGGTGTTTAGACAACTGTCCCATTTGGCAAAACTTTGTTTGCTGAACCTGAGCCCACTGGTATTGAGGTTCTGGTGAAAATTCAGAAACAGAAAACAGATGACTTTAACAGCAAAAGTGAACATGTGCCAAAGAAATAATATTAAAAACATGTCCAGAAAAAGAGAGTCTTGAACAAAACTCCAAATCTAAATCAATTTTCATGGTGCAATTTGATTCTCTGGGTTAAACGGCCTGGATACTTAACTGGCTGTCCTCCAATTATCCATGGTAACTACAAGAACTAACTCAAAGACCAGACTAAGACCTAATGTCCAAGAATATTAAATAGTTCTGGGCTAAATGAGGATGGATAAGGAGGCAGAACTTCTGTTAGGTCGGTGCAAAAGTAATTGAAGTTTCTGCCTTTACTTTTAATGGCAAAAACTTTTAATTATAAAATAAAGCCATTTCAACTTTTAATGGCAAAAACCTCAATTACTTTTGCACCAACCTAGTAATTCTACTTTGAATTAGTATACCTTGTCCATTGACACTTGTCCTAGGCTTGTCTTCCCACATTCCTCATAGTACCCATTGTAGAAAGCATTATTGTGGTTTAATTGGTATATCATAACAGTCACCCATTGCAAGTATAAACTTTTGTGATTTTTAGTAAATTTATGCAGTTGTACAACCATCAGCACAATCCAGTTTTAAAACACTCTTTTCACCCTCAAAGTTCTCTAGCTCCTATTTGCAGTTAATCTTTGTTTCTGCCCCCAACTCCAATGACCTTCTACATTCTTTCTTGCTTTTTAATTACTTTTGGTTTTGACTCTGTAAAAGTCAGCATGTGGCTACTTAAAGAGACACACGTTATGTTGAAACGGCTTTATTTTTTAATCCATAAATATCTGTTACTGACAAAAGTGGAAAAATCCTTAAGACTAAATCTTACTAAAGTGTATCTGTTTACAGTACATGTAGAATGTGCTTTGACAGGTAAGTAGAACGATGAGATTTGTACAGAGAAGCAGTTACTAGAGCACTGCTTACCATGAGGCTTACATATGAGTAACGAAGAAACTGCAAAGATACAGATAGAAAGGTACTTTTCATCAGTACTACCATATAATAAACATGGAATTCATAAATTGGGCTAATGCATAAAAATGTTCATTAATCCCCCCTTAGGAAATTGTGTCCCCAAACTAAAAATATTACAGTAAGAATTGCTTTTTATTAGAGAATTTCAAGAATTCTTTACTACAAAATGTCTAGTTGAGTTATAGAACTAGAGGAATATTTGCCACTACAAAGCCAATGAATGAGTCCTCCCATGGTGTGGCATTCAGGGGTCACTGCAGGGTGGGCAGCAAAGTTGAGCAGGGTCTTCTCCTCCCTCAGGAGGGAGAGCATTAAGGAAACACACAGCCACAACATTATTTCTCTGACTGATGGAAGGTTAATGTGTTTGCTGATTTACAAGATGGGTTTGAATATCACAAACTTGGACTCTCCATTCTTGCTTCACAAGCCTTCACCGGGAGGACGGTAGTGTCATGACGAAGGGCTACAAAGGTACTAGGATGGGATGAGTGCCCCTTCCTAGCAGCCCAGATGGAGATGCCTCCTCCTCCAGTTGGAATGGAGCCTCAGTGTCCAGACTTGGTCTTCAGGACACATATTCCAGAGTGGGTTATCATGACATTCATTGCCACACAACAGCCTGTGAACACGTTCCTCTGCAGCTTGAAATGAATTTCCCAGCTGCCCTCAAGTACAAACTTCATGCCCTTATGGGCCAACCTCCAGACCTTTCTCTCCAGCCAGCTCCCTCTCTGAAATTGGAACCGCCTCCCTCCAGCTATAAGGACCGTATCCAAATGGAAACTCCAAACTCAGAATTCCCCAGAATTCCACAGTCACTTAGGATGGTTTAGGTGTGTCTTTACAAGAGGGCTTCCATGGCACACAGTTGGTGACCTATTGAATGGTTAGGCCCTTAAACTTCAGGTACGAGGGCATCCCTGGGTGGCCGAGCCCATCAGGCCCACCCCAGGCTCTAGTGAGGAGTGCGGTGGCTGTCCAGGACATCTGAGGACATCGCTGTGGGGCAGGCATTGTGGGATGTGTGCAGCTCAGTGGAGGTGGGGAGGAACGGGGAGAGCAGGTGCTGGCAGGGAATGAAAGCCCTACAGTGTAAGAGCTGGATGAAACTTCAGAGCTCATCTAGTCAAAGCCCCTCATTTTACAGATGGGGAAACTGAGGCACTGAGTGGGGAACATGACTCCCCCTCGGAGACAAAGCCAGGGCTGGAAGCTGTGTCTTCAGAGCCTCAGCCCTATGCTTTTTTTCTCCTAGAGTATGCTGCCTTCCAAAATCAAATATAGAGCCCAGGAAGACATGTCCTTCATATTGAATCTGCCATTAAAATGCTGCATTTATAAAAAATAACATTGGAACCCTGAAAAATACTTCATTAAAACACAATGCGCTTTCTTGAAAATACTCCAGAGCAAAATTTCCCAGATTCGGACAGGATGACAGGAAATGTATGTGGGAGGTAACATGCCAGCTCTTCTCAGGGCAGGCACCTTCTGGAGTCCGAGTGATTGGCAGCCCTTTCATTTTACCTTGGGTCAAGTGCACAGTTGCCTGTGGAAGGAATATGAAGTTGGAGGCTGGTGACAGACAAGGTATCTCTGAAGAAAATGGATTGAGTTTGATGGCAGGGATGTTGGCATGGATATTCCTCCATGCTTGGAGACTCAGGAGGCCCTCAAGTCTTTGTGGACAAAGGAGGATAAGTGACATACACAAGCAGGAAGGGGGCAAGTGTGTTGGAGCAGTGGCTGAGAGCCCTCAAGGATAGGAGTCTTTGGCCAGAGCAGGAGCTTCTGGGCTAACATCAGGCTGGGTTGGGAGCTTCAGGGGACTTGCTAGTGGCAGGAACCAAACTGACTATCACAGGCCATGACATCTCAAACCCAGAGCTCCATTCCCTTCCCTCCCAGAGCTCAGAGGGGAAAAGCCCTTGGCTCCGTGCACTGGGGTATCAACTCACAGGGGCAGGAGATGAAGGATACACCAGTGAGGCAAACAGAAGACCGAAAGAATGTCTTATTCTTCCATTGTTTTCATTGAGAGCTCTGATTTTTAGAGCTGGAGATTATAGCAAGACCAGGGAAAAGAAATTAGGAATGGAGGAAGGTGAATGGAGGAAGGTAGATGGAGGAAGAGGGAGATGAGAGGAAGGAATGAGTGACCTGGCCTGGAAATCTGAGGTTTTCTGGAAATCAGGAGTTTCTGGGAGGGAGAGTGGAAAGAGGGGAGGAGAAATTTGAATTGGGGGCAAGGTTGGAACTTTCTAAGAGGCAGTCGTGTGGCCCAAGACACTCCCAAGACACTGGGGGAGCCCTGAGGGCAGAAGCCTGGTTAGGAGGTGAAGTAATTCTTGGCAAAGCCTTTTTGACACAGGAAGGCATGGAGCCAGGAGCCTGGAGCAAGACAGGGAAGGTGGAGATGCAGGAGGGATTGTGAAAGCTTCAATGCCATCAGAGGCCAAGGAAACCAGGCAGAACTTTCAGGGCAGGAGAGAACCTGTGCAGATTCCAGTTCATTTCTGTTAGAGCAACAGAGATGTGCAAAAATGAATAAAACAAGGAGAGGGAAATCTTGGGCTTTAGGCTTCCTTTGTGAGCAGGAGGGAGGCTTTTACTGTAAGGGTGGATGGTACTTCTATGTATGGTAGAGGCCACCAGCCTGGTTGGGCTAGAAATCATGGCATCTAGGTTCCAGCCCCAGAAGCCTCTTTTATCTGCTACGTGAACTTGCCTATTGATGTGGCTTTGCTTGTTCCATGAAGATGGATGGGACAGCTGAATAAATGGGATACCTCTCTGTCCCAGCTATGACATAGTTTTCTGGATTTTGAAATGTGGGACTGAATTGGAGCAAGTCTGTAGACCTATCTCTACTTCTTTTTTCTTCCCTCCTCCCCTCCCTCCCTCCCTCTCTCCCTCCCTTCATTCCTTGCTTCTAGACCCAAAGGTGAAGCAGAAGAAATCCTTGAAAAGAAGTAAGCATTGCAGTAGAATTTTCCAACCCAACTGACATCAGAGCCTTTCAGCCAGACAGTGGTAAGGCTGGGATGAGAAATGTCTTGGAATCAACTCATCAACAACCCCTGAGAGAGACAGAAACCCTGTCAGAGACAGGGCTTGGGGAGGACCCCTGGGGAAAAGTGTCACCCTGGGGGCTGGAGAACTTGGTGCTGAGAAGCTTTGACACTGGAGATGGGATCAGCTTTCTGGTTTGGTGTATACCTGCATGTAGACACCTGGGAAGGGCATTCTCAGCCACTCAGGTCCTTTCCCCTCACCACCAGCATCCTGCCTTCCAAGGGATGGCCACAGATTAGACGATTCAAAGGTGCTGGGCTCAGGGGCCCAGCTGGGAGCCACCTGCTCTATTCAGACTCACTTCTTCCTTTCCAACCCTCTTAGCCTCACCTTCTGGAACAAACTCTTATAAACCCCTGGGGACCAGCCCTTAAGAAGGTTTATGTGTCTGTTGGGAGGAAAGCAGAGAGGGTAGTCCCTGGCCTTCCAGCCGCACGACTCCAGGAATGCATCCCCAGTGTGGGGTCTGACAGTGGCTTTCACAACCCCCAGCCTCCATCCCCCTAAGATCCAGGGTGATGGTTTCCTGTTCCTGTTGGGAGGCACACCCTGCAGAGGGGAGAAGGAGATGAGAGCTTTGGAACTCTTGAAATCAGTGAAAGGACACAGTCCATTGCTTTCTCTGTGGTTTGTGGACTTGGTTAGATTAAAAATCTCCAGGGCTGACACCAATAAATTCTCCTTCTACACTCGCCTTTTTAAAGGGCCATGAGTGCAGAACTGAGGGCAGGTAAAACCCCATTTATAAGGGCACTGCTGTTGGATCTGACTGTTTTTAGGATCACACCTTCACCCAATAGCCTGGAGTTGATTCCCCCAGCCCCAACCCAGCGGGTGCCCTGGCCCTGAGAATGAGGGAACCCCTTCTTTCCCCCACCAGGCTCTCTGGTCTTGGGGGAGCGGATGCTGCTGAATTCACTGTCACCTCCCCAGGAGGCCGTCACACCATGCCAACCCCCAGGCTGGAGGCGGGGAAGAGGCTGAGGTGGGCGGGCAGTGGCGGTCCCCCAACAGAGCTGAGGACCATGGTCTACCAGGTACCCCAGTGCCTGCACAAAGGGATGATGCTGTGGGGACCTGCCCAGTTAGCCCCTAGGCCAGTCGCCTGGAGGACCTTTGTTTGCTTTTGCTAATAGGTCTTTGTCCCTTTGATCCAGAGGAGGCACGGATCTGAAGGATCAGCTAGGAGGAATAAAGTTGCAGGGAGGATGTGGGGGAAGGGGACACAGGCAGTAGGAGTGATCTCTGAACTGAGCAGGTAGACAGAGATGGGGAAGGAAGGATGAGCGGAGAGGATGCAGGACAACCACCTCTCATCCTCCTTGTCTGGGGGCTGAAAAGCTGCTCTCTAGAAACTTCTGTCTAGGTCCTGCCGGAGGTGCATGTGGGAACAGGTGGAGCCCTGCAGGATGCGAATGTTGAGCCCGAGACCCCGCACATCACAGTGGCCCTCCCCACCCTGGCTCTCTGGCCACCGCAGGTGCCTCCTGGGAGCAGAGCAGGGGTGGAGAAGGCAGCCTGAGTGGCAGTCATGGTCAGGTCTAGAGGCCTGGAGGGAGTGCGGAGATGATCGGGTGTCTGGGAGGGCCAGCACCCCATTGCTACTCCCCTCTGCGAAGGCTACAGCCAAAACCCCAGAAAACTCAAGGGTGAAATCCTCAGGGCCAGGGAAGGAGCACAGCCCGCTGAAAGGACAGGCCCAGGGTCCTTATGGGCGGGCAGTCAGCTGGAAGGGGGTGGAGTTCCCACCAATGGGGAGGCAGCTGAAGGAAGGGAACCCCTCCTGGTCCTGGAGTTGAGGGGAGGGGCACAGGGCCAGGGTTGGGCCCTCAGGGGTCAGCAAAGGAAGGGTCACTCAGTGGGGACCAGAGAGTTCCAGCAGGCAAGAAAAGAATCATTATTGTGCTTATGGACACAGCAGCTCCCTGGCTCTGAGAGAGCGAGCAGGCAGTTTTTAGGCACTAGGAGATTTCTGTGATGCGGTTCTAGATGAATGAATGAGACCGAGTAGCCTATCCGGTCAGCCCACTGATTGGACCCGCTGGCCCCTTCAAACCCAGGCAGCTTCAGACCACAGTCAAGCAAGGGTCTCTCTGCTGACAGAACCTGCAGCTGAGTCCCCCGGATGGGGAGAAGGAGGCGCGGGACGGAAAGGGAGTTGGTGAAGGTGGTCGGGGGTGAGAATGGGGCCTAGCCCCCTCCTCACTCCCCACTGATTCTTCTGGAGGAGCAAGAGCGATTGCTCTTGGTCCTGGGTCTAAGTGTATTGGACCAGGCCATCGGGGCTGTGTCCCCGGGGGTATGGCTTTTTGGGCAAAGGTGGCCCACCCCCACTTCCTACAGAGGGGACAAGGGAAGGGAGAGTGGCAAGGCTAGAAGCTCTGCTCCTGGCCCCTCCCGGCCCCCGCTCTGCTCTGCCACGCCCAGCAGCCCCGGCCCTGCCCCGCCGGTCACACGGTCACTTCGGTCTTGCTGGCTGTGTAGCAGGTGTGGTGGCCCGGGATGTAGTGCAGCTGCTCCACCGTGTTGTGTCTGCGTGAGGCAAAGGCATGACGCTTGGCTGCCGTCTGGCTCTGGCCCAGGGTGGCGTATGAGTTATTGGAGGCACTGGGATGAGAGTGCATCTTGCTCATGCGGTAGCGGTCCAGCACGGGTGTGGACACAAAGACGTCCGTGTGCGAGATGGCCCTGGACAGCGACTGCTCGGGAAAGGCCGTCCGCTCCGGGGACAGCAGCGGGTCCTGGGAGTGCAGGCGCTCCGTGGAGAGCAGCTGCTCGTCGGACAGGATGCGGTCGTAGGGCATGCTGAACTCATCTGGCAGGCCCCGATCCGGGGACAGGACCCTGTCCTGGGACATGGCCCGGATGGGCCGGCGGGGTCGTTCCCTTGGCAACGGCTTCTGTTGGGACATCTGGATGACATTGAGGGGGAGGGTGCCGCGGGCAGCCAGGTCGGGCAGGTGCCGCCGTCTCATGTAATACTCGTCAGCCTCCTTGTCGGCTGCAGGGGAGAGACAGAGTGAGAGAAGGCAACTGGGGTGACCCTGCAGCCAGGACTCAGATAGAACCCTGCCCCGCTCCTGCTCCATCACAGACCTGTCAACCTTAAGGGATAATACAGTCAAACTCCTTTAGTTATGGATTAGGACAGACGGGTGAAGGGTGTATTTTCCCATTGAATGTGCAAACCATTCTCTGGGGGCTTGTTAAATGCAGATTCTAATTCAGTGGGTCTGGGGTGGGCCCAAGAGTTTGCATCTCTAACAAGCTCCCAGGTAATGCTAAAAGCCTCTGGTACATAGACCACCTTGAGTAGGGATATGTTAAGGGACTTCCTCAGAATCCCCAGTGTGTTCAGGGCAGAGTTGATAGCAAGCCCAAGTCCCTGAACTCCGCCTGGTCCTGGGCCGTATCTACCACACCATGGTCCTGAAACAGAATGACTATCTGTCTTACTAAAACATCCAAATAGCAGCTCTTGAAGCTTCCTGATGAGGTCCAGAGCCAGCCTCCGGCTAGAATAAAGTAAGATGCTCAGACTAGGAAACACTTGTGAAAATGTTTAACTGGTAACTTAGGAACATCGTAACACCTTCTCTGTAGTAACAGGCAACGCATAGAAAGCCAATACATGGGCCTCCAGTCCCCACACAGCCACATAATCAGCCTACACACACTCCACCTGTGCCCATAACGCAAGCTGGTTGGAGTAATCTTACATGTGCGCCTCATTTAGATGCTCCACCTTTCTCTCTATCCAGCAGGCCCTCCTAAGCTCACACTGCTCTCTGTACCCTTGAATTTGCCTGGAACTTGCATGCTACAAGCCTACTTGGACTTGCATGCTACAAACCTACTTGAACTTGCAGGTTACACACAAACCTGCATTGCCCCAAATTTCAGAAATGAGGCCTCCTACACATGGCCTTCTAGATCTCTGCAAAAGTGTGGGAATTCTGTCTGCTCTTCAGTTGGTGCAGCGGGGTCGTTGATGGGTATCCTTCCTCCTGAGCCAAATTTCATCACCTCGGGATGATTCCTCAGGTTATGATAGTCCCGTCTCTAGCTAGAGACTCCACGTTTCACCATGGAGGTGGCTGATGTGGACTTGGGCTGCACTTCTGTCAGGGTAGGTTACCCTGAAGCTTTCAAGCAAATGCTCAGCCCTTGAGGCTCCAACTGCAGTTGGGTGGTCATCAAAAGAGACTCCTGGGAAAATGGGAGGAGAAGGTCCAAGGCCAGAAAGCCAGGGAGGAAGAGCTGTCCTTTAGGGAAATTTTTTGACATTTTTGTATCTTTAACCCATTGATGCCCAGAGTCTCCCCAGACTCAAGAGGCAGAGCTGGCATCACTGGATAAACTGGATTGAACTGGTGAAATGGGGTGTATGCATGGGAGGTGAAGGATCTCAGGTCCTCAAGACACTGTTGGCTGGGTTGGAGAAGGAGCTGGTTTGTGGGCCTCTGGGAGAGGTCTCAGAGAAAGTTCTGGCCATTGCTAGCCTCTATCCAGTATAGGGTATACAGCAAGGAAGGCCCATGGTTTGAAGAAGGCAGTTGCGTGCGGGACTGGGAGAAGGCTTTCTCCCGCAGTTAAACTGGTGCATGAATTGGAAGGCCGTCTCCTATAGGGATGTGAATCTGAGGATTCCATGGTCTTCTTTCTATGTATGGAAAGAATGGGCTCAGTCCATAAGGAACAAAAGCAAAGAGCTTGTCTATTCTCTTCTCTCATCCTGCAACTCCTTCTTTATTCTTGGGATTTGACAGCTGTCCTATGGGGTATGGAGCAAGAGAGTGTGACATAGGAAGATATCTTGGAGCCCCAGAGACAGACCCCAACTTGGGGGAAATTCAACTTACTTAGCCTCTTCAGAGATGAATACTTGCTGGGGTTGGTCTTTACTGCAGACTCGTAGGATGGGGGCAGGTGGGCCAAGTTCTGGAACGAGCGGGAGAAGGAGAGGTCATAGGGCTCGGTGGCTGATGTCAGGATGTTGTTCATCCGTGGCTTCTCTGCAAGAAAAGGGAGGGGTGTTTTGTATTAATGAGGACCATGTCTGTGGCAGGTGTGCTTTCTGCCTCACCCCTGATTCGAATCCCCATCCTCCTTTCCTGGACCTCTGTGCTTGGACATAGGTGATACTATTGACTCAGTTTCCCTCATGCTCAGTTCCAGTTGTCAATAAGCCTAGGGGCAGATGCTGTTTTAGCCACCACCAAGACAGTTCACCATTCTGTGAATGGGAGACTCGACTCTTGAGTCTGAGGAGCGAATTCTCTCTCTCAGTACATCTCTGGGTTATCTGCTGAAAACGTAAGCCTGATGGAGCTGAGGGGCATCATAAAAATCATCTACTTCTGTGTGAAAGTGCTGTCCTTTTCCTAATAGCTTTAGGCAAACCTAGCTCTCAGGCTCAGAAAAATCTTGAGTTGGAGGACATGGAGTGACTTATGTTATTTATGTACCCATAGAAGAACTGAGTCCAGGACCCAGCTCCACTGAGACCCAACCCATGCTCCGTCCATGGCATCCTTCCACAGCTCATGTAGCCCCTTTCTCCTCTCCAAGCTCTGCACCTGACAAGCCACAGTGAGCCACAGAGCTATTTTATCTTACTCTAATTCCTTTCTCTGAAGCCCCCTTAGCCATCTCTAAGCTGCTGGAGGAAAGAATCTAGACAAAAATGCATAGCACATCATCCCCACTTTCTCCTTCCTTCCCCTGAGATAGAGCATTGAGGTGCAAGAATCTGAAGAGATGGAAAGGAGTGTTGTTCATTGCCAGAGCTGGGGAAAAGAATGGAAGGAAAAGTGGGAGAAAAGGTGAAAGGGAGATGAGAGGATGGCTGATGGGAGCCCAGTGCAGTGTGCGCTGGGCTCAGGGCCAGATGAATGACATCTGGAGAGGGGGCATGCAGGGCCGGTGAGGGAGGCAGTGAGGATGAGGGGACAGAAAGAGCTGGAGATCCTGGGGAAGAAGACAAGCATGCCTCAGTGCTTCACAGACTTGAGGAGGAGAAGCCACAACAAGTCAATGAGTGGCTGCCATGGGAAATGGTGGTACCATTCCCAGAAGTGAGGCAGTTGGAAGGCTATAGTCTCGCTGTGTCATTCCTCCATCCTCTTTTTGTTTGGGACACCTCAAGGCCAAAGAATTTCTGAGAGGGGGCAGGCTCTAACTTCGGTCGAATGTGCAGGAGGACTGCCACACCTCTTGGCAAAAAGAGTGTGGAAACGTGGAAAGCAGGAATTCTGTGGACTGTGTGAGAGGTGGGAGACAGAGAAGCCCTCCTAGGCATTGTCCAAGGGCAGCCCCAAGCACCGGGGACTCCTGACTTTTCTACCCCTTCCTGCCTTCATTGTCACCCCCAACACTGGGGACTGAGCCAGGGAAGCTCAGCCAGTGAGCTGGTGTTCATGCCAGCTCAGGACATATGTGAGGGGGTGGAGGGTGCTCTACATCCCCATTAGAACATGCTGTACAGAAAGAGCCTCCTTGGCATGCATCAGGACAGATGCCAGGAAGTGGAGTGAGCAGGAACTTGGGAGTGCTGCTCCTCAGAGGGAGTAATAGCCACTCATCTCTCAGCACTTGTCTCTTCACTTTGGCTATGCTGGAGAAGAAGGAACCTCCTTCTGCCTGTTGGCATTATACTCTCAACAAGGCATCACTCAGCTCACCCACTTCCAAATGCAATCTTTCTGGATACTCTTGTTCCACCACTGTGTTACAGGACATACCCCTGAGCCAAGGCCAGCTCTCCCTTGCCTTCTGCCTTCATGGGATACTCTCCCTCCTATAGAAATGCCTCCTTTACTCTTCTGTATGAAATTCCCGCCTCACTCAAGACATTTTGCTGTGCCAATGTCCCATCTTTTTAGCCAACGACAATATCTGTTCTTTAAGCCTGTATTGCTCTTCTAGTCAGTTCCACCCACTTTAGTATCTAACATCTCTAATAATTTGACTTGAGTTGGGATTGTGGATCTCCAAATATTGCAATCTCCTTGACAGCAGGGCCTTGCTTTCCAATTTTTTTTGAATCCTTCATAGTGCTTGGCCCAGAATAAGGATCCAATTAATGCTCTTTGTGGAACACTAATTAAGTAGACTCAGGCCCCCTCCTCGCTTGATAGTCACTCTGCCAGCTCCTGGGAAAGAAGGGAACATCCAAGAAAGCAATGCAGAGAAAACTCTACTCTCACTACATTGTGAGCTGCTCAAGGGCAGGGACCAGGTCTCATCAACCCCCATCTCCTTGCACCAGTTGGAAAAAAGAAGACAGGAAGAGAAGGAGGGAAGAATGGCTCCTCCTGTTGTATTCAGGAGTCTGCTTGTGTTGGCTCCTTCTCAGGAAAATGAGCTGGGTAGTGTGACTGAGCAAGTGGGAGCTCTCCTTGCGTGCCTTTTCTGGCTCTTCCTGAGGCTGCTTCATCACTGTGGGCATCCCCCAGGCTCCCTGCCTCTGCCTTCTGCACTTCTCTTTCAGTGTAGAGTGCCCCCACTCCTGAGGCTTCTGTTACTGCCTCCAAAGCTTCACTCACATCTTCAGCTCTAACCTTCCTCCAGACTTCATGTCTGCATTCCTGCCTGTTGAATATTTTTTTCTTGCAAACTCCAGGTGTCCAGATCCAAACTCACTGACAACTCCATCCCCCATACATACTGACTGTTTTCCTGATTCCTTAGATTTTGTTAATAAAACCCTTCATTTTTCTAATCAGTGTCATCATTGGCTCTCATCAGCCACATTCAGTTAGTAAGGAACTTTCTCCAATTCTTTCTTCAAAAGGTTTCATATCTCAACCGTCCTTTCTTTTCCCACTGTCAACATCACCACTGGTATCAACCTCTTTTCACTGATCTCCCCAGTTTCTCCCAGTTCTAACTTTTTAGACCCCACAACCTGACAAATCTGATTATACTATTGCTTTCATCATTTATTTCCACCTGGAGCATAGCACATGAAAATATTCCAATCTCTTCCTCCTAATTATAATATCCCTCAACTTCAGTGCTGAGGCACACCATAATCTGACATAACAGTGGTAGGTCTCTCTACCAGGTAGCCTGTAGGATTTATCATTGTTTTGAGTTTCTCTCTCACTAAAATTTTAATGATGTTTTCACTCTTTCACAGCAAAGAGACAAAAATGACTGATAATTCGCAATTTATGTGGCTGTCTTATGTTCTATCAAGTCTTGAGCAGGTGCCAAAAATAGATTTTCTCTGTTCAGCTGTGATCTGGTGGGAGGATATTATAATCTAAGAGGGAAACATAGTTTTATAACCCTTGGGCACTATGCTAACACTCCTCCACTCAACAATTTTCAGCCTCTTTTTTCTGCCAAGAGGCTAAAGCCCAAATCAGTTTTGAGTTTTATCAAATCTTAATTAGCCTGGGGAGGATCATAAAGTTTAACCAAGTCTCATGTCTTTCGTAAATGATATCACAAATAGCTTTGAACAAAGGAGGGTGTTCCACTCCTTGCTGTGGACATATGGAATTTATGACTGTAAGAAGTGATACAGGTGGCAAGTAGAAATGGGTCTAGCCCCTTTCTGTTTATGTCAAGAGATCATTCTGATATCGGAGACAGAAACACCAAGGGGAAAATAGCCTACAAGTGAGATTAGAGCATTGTGGCCCTGGAGGAGGGCGAGCCTGTGGCTCCTTGGACCTCCTTAGCTTCAGTGAGTTTATGACCGTGTGTTTGATGCCCTGATAGGCATCCATCCTTAGAATGGTGCCACTCGAAATAAGGAGGAAATGCAGAGTGCTCTCAATCATCTCTCACCATGTGGCGGGATCTGGGTAACACTGCTCAAAATCGGATGGTTATATTGATGATCACCTGAAAATCATAGAAAAGAAATTTTTAAAGAAGAGTTCAGGCATTCCACTATCTCTCCAACATAACAGCATCTCTCTTTACCTCTAATGTGCTTCTCTGACTTAAAGGAAGCACTTCTAAGAAAGGCAGAGGTCATTGTATGAGGCTCCAAGAAACGTCCCCTGCTGTTTCTGTCTCTCTCCTTCTGCAACAGGGTTTCCTCTGTCACCATGGTGACCCACCCACATCTCGGGATGAGGCCAACTAGTTATAGAGGCTTCGTAGGGGTGGGTGGAAGAGGAGAAGGATGGAGAGTAGGGAGTGTTTGGCAGGTATGCATGCATGCGTGCATGGACAGGGTGGGGGAACTAAGCCGGGGAAGCAGATTTCATTGAGTGGTGGGTATTAGGGTGTGGTTAACCAAAATGAGGGTGCCCTGACTTAAGGCGCTTCCACTTTACAGGACTCTGATTTGTCCCTAAGCCTTTATACAGGAGGGTCTGGATGCATCCTGAGATGCAGCAAGATGACCTGAGCTGTCCACTGCCTGAGATCAGGAGTCCTGGATTCTAGGCTCTGTCCTGCCTTTAAATGACACAGTCTAATAGTTCAAAGGCATTTCCTTTATTAATAATATTCCACTTAGATGGAATAAGCCACACAATTAACACAGTTACAGTTGCCAAACCCTGAAGTTCAAGGCGTTCCAAAAGCTTTTAAAATTGTTTGAATGAAAATGTGGCTGACCACTACAGTGCACTCTGGCATTCTATGATTGCTTCAACTGAACATTATGTTCTTGTTTTTCATTGTTGCATGTATCTGATTTCAACTAAAGCAAAGGGAAGAGGAGGCATGAGGCCTTTGCTTTAGTTTACCTAAACCGCAGGTTACAGCCCTGTCCTTCTTGCAGTCTAGAATATCTGCTTTCATTTCTTTACATCTTGTGACTGAAGCCTTCTTTCCTGCCTTTGGCCTTATACTCTGGCTACTCATTCCATAGCTCCTTCACTATGTCCCATTTCCCCTTCTATTCTGTAAATACCAGGGCTTCATAATGCTCAGGCATCTTTGTGAAGACTTCAGCTCTACTCCAAGGTTTACATCCACTTGCCCAGATTAATAGTTCCCAAATCTACAACTCTAGCTCAAGGTCCATCTTGATCTGTAGGGTTAGATTTTATGCTTATGGACATGCCCTTGAAATTCCTACCCTCACCCCAAATCATTAAGTCCCAAAGTGAGCTCCTCATTTTATTCTGGTGTCCAGGCTTCTGTCCATGGTACTGTTGTTCCGTGGGCCTGGAATGTGAAACTTCAATCATCGTCACCATTTTCCTCCTGTCATTCTCCATATCCAGTGTATCCCAAAGTCCTCTTCCCTGTAGCCATCTCCTAAATCCAGGCCCATAATAGACCTTTTTGTCAAGATTTCTTTTAGCTCCACTCTCAATTTCCAAGACAAATCCTGTGAATTCCCACCAGACAAAATTTCCCAAACCAATGGAATCATCCAGCATTCCCTTGGTGAAGGCTGAACTCTAAATAGTCAAGCACAACAGGGCCGGGCGCAGTGGCTCACACCTGTAATCCCAGCACTTTGAGAGGCCAAGGCAGATGGATCACCATGTCAAGAGTTTGAGACCAGCCTGGCCAACATGGTGAAACCCCATCTCTACCAAGAATACAAAAATTATACAGACATGGGGTGGCATGTGCCTGTAATCCCAGCTACTTGGGAGGCTGAGGCAGGAGAATCACTTGAACCTGGGAGGCAGAGGTTGCAGTGAGCCGAGATCGCGCCACTGCACTCCAGCCTGGGGGATAGAGCAAAACTTCGTCTCGGAAAAAAAAAAAAATGTCAAGCACACTATCCAGTGGGGGTGGGTTTGGGAAGTAGGCCACAATTTCTCACATGAAGATACTGTCCCTTCGCAAGACAGATTAGGTTGAAGCCAGGGAAGAAACTGTTTGCCAAAGATTGAAACAGTTCTACACTGGACCTGAATTTAAGCAAGAAGAGAGAATCCAGAGAGATTAAAAAACATTTTTTCTTGCTTGTCCTCCAGAGGCAAGAAGAAAACTAGTTCCAATGAGGTTTTGTTGTTGTTGTTGTTTGGTTTATTTGTTCGTTTTTAAACAATATGGCAGGATCACAGAGAAATGGGAGAAACCCAGGTCATTCAGTCTGGAGTTTCTGGAGAGTGGCAGTCAGTAAGAAACACTTCTAGACTTCCATCTCAGAGTTGAGGTATCACCAGGAAAGGGTTATTTATGACTCAGATTCACTTAATAATTGCTGATAGCCAATTAGGCTTCTTGCTCTGTGCTGAACACTTTCATAGGCATTTTAAAAAAACTCGTCTTCACAATGATCTTCATTTAAATGAGGACTGAAGTAGAATGAATATATATTATTGGCCTACCATTTGCCAGACACTATGTAGAACTTTTTAAACACCTTAATTGAAATCTTTGTTGTATTTTTTTAACAGATGAAGTCACAAACAATATATGTCTTGATTTACAAGTACAGTGCTTTTCCTTTTGTTTGAATCTCACTTAAAATGTTTCATTAACAGCGGATTTTTTCCTACCTTGGCATTAAGGAGAACATTTTTAAGTTAAGTACAAGGATGAGAATAACCCTAAAATAACCGCTGTGACATTTTGTTGTATTTCCTTTTATTACCTTCCGCCTGTGGATGATTATATGAGTGCTTACATACACCCTCAACCCCAACTCCCCCACCTAAATAACATTGCAATGAATAATCTTGTATATGTGTCATTTTGTACAGACTGTAGTTTTTAAAATGAATTAAAATAGCATGATTTAATCTTTACATGTATGCAGAATGACAATTGTGTGAGACAATTGGCTGTGGCATTTTTATAGTAGTAAAAGCGATGAAACCACCTAAATGCTTATACATACATTTACTTATGCACACAGATAAAAATATCTAGTTTTTGCATAAGTAATCATGCTGCATATACTACTTTAATCTTCTTCATACCTAATGAATAAATGAAAGTGTCTTGAGTATATTTTTATGTTTTGAAATATTATTTGAAACACCTTATATGGTTTCACAATATTCTATCTATAGAATAGTCTATTCTGTATGTCTATATATCATTTAAGCATAATATATTTAAGCATATTTAAGCAGGTCCCCTATTTTTGGTATTTAAATTGTTCAAAAGTTTAATAATGTGACATCAAACAACCCTGAGCACACATCTTTAGCGATGTCTCATTTCCTTAGCCCAATAACTAAAATCAGCATTTCTAAGTCAACACACTGTCAGTTGCCTAGCAATGTGACAGGGTAGATTGATAGATTTCCTCATGTTGAACGATTCACTTGTCTATTACTGAGAAATATCTTATTTGATTCTGGTGTCTTATTATTTTATTACAACACTGGATTCTATTTTCTTGTGATATATGTATATATATATATATATATGAAATATGCATTCATAAATAACATTTGTATTTTTTGTGCTAACCCTGTCAAGCTTTTGTATTAAGATAATTTTGTAAAACCAAGTGAATAACTTTCCATCTTTTTGTATGCTTTGAAACAGTATAGCATGAAGCATCTGTTTTTTGGATGTTCGGAGGAATGCAACAATAAAAACGTGTAGTGTCTTTTCGGGGGGTCCTTCTATTGGCACAGGGCTAAAGGCTTGGCTTGTGTTATTTCATCAACTGCACAACACCAATTTTGGGAGGCAGATTGTGTTGTTATTGCCAGTTTAGAGATAAGGAAACTGAAGTTTGGAGAGTTTGAATATTTTGCCGAATGTTGCGTAGCTAACAGGTGAAGCTGGGATATGAACCCAGGCAGGCTGGCGCTAGGCCCACATTCTTAACTATGTAATGTTATGTATATTGCCTTCCCATACTTGGCAACACAATCCTTGCATAGTGATTCATTCAAGCTTTCCAATTTCTAAATTCAATTTGCAATTTCAATTTTTCTTTAAAAAAATCCATTGGACATTTTAAACTTCCTTAGCTTAAAACTAAAATATCACTCACAAAAATCTTCATATATGAACTTGGATCGCTTTTCTTCTTAATCTTCTGTGTCAGTGTTTTCTGGATTAGTAATTTATTCATATTAGTACTCTTTCACAGAATTACCTCTTATACATATCAGTTCTATAATTTTTTAACTCTTCCCATCATTATTTTACACTTTTGAATTTGCTAATTCCTGCCTCCTAATTTTCTTTGGTTTCATTTGTTATTGTTTTCTCATTTCCTGGCTTAAATCTTTGATGCATTTATTTTCACTCTTTTCTGTTAACAATATAAGGTCTTTAACTATGAATTTCTCTCTGGCACTATTCCATGAGCAACAATACACAGTGTTCTTATTGTTGTTATATCCTAAATGATCTGTAATTGCAGCCTTAGTTTTCTCTTTGACCCAAGAGTTATTTAGTAGAGTGTTAAAATTCAAAATGTTTGGGTTTGTTTGTTTGAACTTTTGCCATTAATTTTCTATTGTATTGTACTGTGGTCAGAGAGCAGAGCCTGTACAAGTTCTGCTTTTTGGAACTTACTGAGATTTCCTTTGTGGACTAATATACAATCAATTTTTGTAAATGTTTTATGAGTACTTAGAGAAAAGATATATTTTCTTTTGGTAGAGTACAAAATTGACATATATCTCTTAAAGCAGGTTCCTATTATATCTATGAAATCCATTATTCAATTCCTCTGCATCCTAATTCATCCTTTGCCTACTAAATCTCTCAAAGACTGAGGGTGATGTGTTAAGGTCTTCCACTACTCTTGTGTTCCCATCACTTCCTCTTTGTATTTGTTACAGAATTAGTTTTATATATTTCACAGCTACATTATTCAGCACAAAAAGCACATGACGCTATCTGTGTCTTGTTTATCGCATGTACCATTTATCGACATTAAATAACCCTTTCTGTCCTTTGTTTTTCTTTTTTTTTTTGAGATGGAGTCTTGCTCTATTGCCCAGGCTGGAGTACAGTGGCGCCGTGGCGCAATCTTGGCTCACTGCAACCTCTGCCTCCTGGGTTCAAATGATTCTCCTGCCTCAGCCTCCCGAGTAGCTGGGATTACAGGCTTCCACCACCACATCCAGCTAATTTTTTGTATTTTTAGCAGAGACATGGTTTCACCATGTTGGCCAGGCTGGTCTCAAACTCCTGACCTCAAGTGATCAACCCGCCCGGCCTCCCAAAGTGCTGGGATTCCAGGCATGAGCCACTGCGACTGGCCCCTTTCTGTCCTATTTAATGCCTTCTTTTTGCCTTTAAGTCCACTTGATCTGACATTTATATTGCCATCCCAGCTTCCTTTTTGTTTGCACTTGCCTGATAAACTTTGTCTAGCCTTTTATATCTAACCTTTCTGTGTCATTTTATTTTATGCTTATCTTTTGATGACACAGAAAGAGTATTCTATCTTATGTGGTACTTCATGGGTTGTCCAATTAGCTAAAAGGGATTCCTCATTCTCATAGAATGGTCCTTTCTTCATTGGAGTATCTTCTCCTCTCTGCTATAGTTGTGTAGTATGATCATGCCTTCTCCGCAAAGCCCAGACCCCAGGTGTCAGGGCTACTAGACCAAGTATGAGTGCTTGACTTAACCTAAGTCAATTCAAGTCCCTACTCCAGAAATTAGAAATCATTATAAGAGAGAGTTTTGGTGTCTCTGTATGACTGTACTCATGACACATAAACTAGGTTGCTATGGGCAGTCATGTGTGTTTGGAAGAGATAAAGTCAGTCTTTAGAGACCGGGGCATATTGTATTTTCCAAAAATGGCTACAGTTATATTTCTAGTCCCACAGGCTCTCCCATAACCTTGCCATCCACTCATTAGATAGGACTTATTTTCCTGCTGCTCCTTGTAACTGGAGGCCTGTGTGACTGTCTCAATGAATAGAATACAGCAGGAGTAACCTTGCACGACTTCCGAGGCTGGGTGCAAAAAGTGTTACGACTTTCACCTGGCTCTCTTTCTTTTGGCACACTCAACCTTAGATTCCAGCTGCCAAGTTGTAAGGAAATCCAGGCCACATGAGAAGGATACATGAAAGGGCTGATATTCCCAGCTGAGGTCTCAGTTGACAGCCAACATCCACTGCCAGCCCTGTGAGGGGACAAGACTTCAGATAGTTCTGACCCACAGCCTTCTAGCTGTCCTACCTGAAACAACTGGAATGGAGATGAGCCATCTCTATTGAACTTGGCCCAAGTCACAGACATATAAGCAAGCTAAATGTTGTCTTTATTGTACCATTTTTATTTTGGGAGAGTTATAGTCTCACATGCAACTATAATGAATAATACAGAAAGATCCTGTGTACTCATTGCTCAGTTTCTCCATTTTGTAAAAATATAGTACTATATCAAAATCAGAATATTGGCATTAACACAGTCAATGTACAGAACATTTCTGTCAACACAAGGATTCCTCTTGTTGCCCTTTTATAGCCGCACCCACTTCCTTCCTGCACCCACCCCTTCCTTAATGCCTGGCAACCAATAAATCGTTCATTCCTATAATTTTGCTATTTCGTGAATGTTATAGAAATGGAATCATACAGTATGTTAACTTTGGGATTGGGTTTTCTTTCAGCGAGTGTAATTCTCTGGAGATTGTTCCGGGTTGTTGCATATGTAAATGGTTCATTGCTTTTTATTGCTGAGTAGTGAATATTCCATGGTATGGATGTATCATACTTTTTTTTTTTTTAAACCATCGACCTGTTGAAAGGCATATGGGTTGTTTTCAGTTTGGGGATATTATGAATGGAGATGCTGTCAACATTCGTGTGCAGGTTGTCATGTCAACATACAGCTTCATATACCTGGAATAAATACCTAGGAATGCAATTACTGAGTTGTATGGTAGTTGCATATTTAATTTTTTTTTTTTTTTTTTTTTGGAGAGAGAGTCTTTCTCTGTTGCCCAGGCTGGAGTGCAGTGGCGTGATCTTGGCTCACTGCAAGCTCCGCCTCCTAGGTTCATGCCATTCTCCTGCCTCAGCCTCCCGAGTGGCTGGGACTACAGCTGTCTGCCACCACACTTGGCTAATTTTTTTGTATTTTTAGTAGAGACGGGGTTTCACCCTGTTAGCCAGGATGGTCGCAATCTCCTGACCTCGTGATCCACCCGCCTTGGCCTCCCAAAGTGCTGGGATTACAGGTGTGAGCCACCGCACCCGGCCTGCATATTTAATTTTTAAAAAATCTTCCAAACTGTTTTCCATAGTGACTGTACCATTTTACATTCCCACCAAAAATGAATGAGTGATCCAGTTTCTCTATGTCCTTGCCAGTATTTGGCGTTGTCACTATTCTTTTTTTTTAATTTTAGCTATTTATACCTTAGGTATGTAGCGATATCTCATTGTGGTTTTAATGTGCATTTCCCTTATGGCTAATGATGTTGGACATCTTTTCATTTGCTTGTTTTTCATCTATATATCTTCAGTATAATGTCTCGTCGTTACTTCTGCCCATTTTTAAATCAGATTGCATTTTCCTGTTTTGAGAATTATTTTTATATCCTAGATATTAGTCCATTATTAGATAGAAGGTTTGCAAATAGTTTTTCCAGTGCATACCCTGTCTTGTCATCCTTTTAATAGAGTCTTTTGCAGAGCAAATGTTTTAATTTTAAGTCTGATTTATCAATTTTTAAATTTTATACATTGTGCTTCTGGTATCAAGCTTAGGAACTCTCTTCTATCCCTGAAGCCTGAAAAAAATTCTCCTGTTTTTTTCTTCATGCTTTATAGTTTTATATTTTACATTTAAATACATGATCTATTTTGAGTTAATTTTTATATGAGGTAGGAGACTTAAATGTTGAAGTTCTTTTTTTTTTTGCTTATGAATATCCAATTGTAAATACCTGATCTATTTTGAGTTAATTTTTATATGAGGTAGGAGACTTACATTGAAGTTCTTTTTTTTGTTTTTTTTTTTTTTTTGCTTATAAATATCCAATTGCTCTAGAATCACTTCTTTAAAAAGATCACCTTTTTTCACTAAATTGCTTTTGCACCTTTTTCAAAAAATCAGTTGGGTATATTTGCATGGGCCTATTTCTGAGTTTTCTATTCTGTTCCATTTATCTATATGTATATCCCTCTGCCAATGCCACACAGTTTTGATTACTGTTGCTATATGATATTTCTTGAAATTGAGTAGACTTATCCTCCTACTTTATTTTTCTTTTTCAAAATTCTTTTAGCTATTCTACTTCCTTTGCCTTTTCTTATCAATTTTATAATAATATTGTCTATAGCCAGAAAAAAATTTTGCAGGGATGTTGGTAGGAATTACATTGAATCTGTACATTATTTTAAAGAGAACTGACATCTTTGCTGTCCAGTCTTCCAATCCCTAAACGTGGCATGTATCTCTATTTATATTGTACCATTTTAATTCCTTTGACATTTATACTTTAAAAATTGTTTTCTTAGTGGCTCTTCTAGGGATTGCATATGTGTCTCACCTCATCACAATCCTCAGAATTAACTAATTCCAGTAGAATGTAGAAACTTTGTTCCAACAGTGCATCAATGAATCCTCCTCCTTTGTCTTATCATTGTCATATATATTACATCTCTCTCTATATATATGTATACATACATTACACTCAACAATGCAGTATAAAAATTATTGCTTTATATACTTTTATGTCTTTTAAAAGTTAGGAGAAGACACAAGAAAAATATGTCTACGGAGCCTCTTGCATTAGCCACATATTTGTAATTTCTAATGTTTTAAATGTCTTCCTGTTTAAATTTCTTCTTTCTTGATAATGAAATTTTAAATTTATTACCAGTGGAACTGTTTCTTCTAATGAGATCTTAGGTAGAAGCCCAATTCAGAAGACAGATGGAAATCAAGCTGCTCTGGGAGAGGCAGGGGTTGATTGAGTAGGAAGAGTGCTCATACTCCATCCTAGACACTATTCTTTACACAGTGGCCCTTGAGGCACCTGCAAGCAACCCTCAGGTCTCTCTGAAGCCATTTTGGAAATGCTGTCCTAGAAGCACCCTTAAGTGACTGCTTTGATGTGAGAATAAGGTGGTCTTCACAGAGAATCATGTTGGCCCCCATCTGAAGGAGGTAGAGGAAGGCACTGAGCTTACACTTAGGCAAGAACTGCAAAAGGTTCCATGTGGAACCTTTCTTTTTTTAATTTCTGAAAATGTGTCAGTTTGAGGCAACAAATAACTCCCTTTATCTCGGGGTAAAAGAATTTTAGAACCTATTTCATCCTTCTATAAGATGTCTTGAATACTGAATGACTCATCCCCACCAATATTCTAACAATTAATATGTGTGAATTCAAATGCATGAACTCAAATGAGCTATGTCCTAATGTCTGTTTCCTTTCAGCCTGAACTTTCCTTAGTATTTCTTATAATTCAGATTTGCTAGCAAATAATTTTCTCAGTCTTTGTTTGTCTGAGAATGTTTTTATTTCACCTTCATTTTTGAAGATTATTTTTGCTGTATGTAGAATTCTTGGTTGACAGGCTTTTTTTTTTTTTTCTTGTAGCACTGTGAAAAGGTCTTCCCAACTGCCTCTGGCCATTGTTGTTTTGGTTGAGGAGTCAGCCATTTATTGTATTGCTGCTCCTCTATATGTGATGAGAAGGCAAGGGTATCTCACAGTGCCCCAAATCTGCTGAGTCTGTTTTGACCACAGTAGCAGTTGCCAGTACTCACAGGCTGTCCCACCCAGGTAGAACCTCTGTGCTGACCGATCAGCGGGGAGGGTGGAGCAGCTCTGGGCAAGAATGTCTAGAGCTAATAAACCCCTCACTGTTCTTACCTGAAGTTCAGCAGTTGTTCAACCATAAATGCTTCTCAGATTATTGTATACCTTTGGTCAATTTCCAGAGCACTGAAATGGCTGTTTTTATAAATTTTCTCTAGCTTCATAATTGCTTTATGAGGAAAGGATTTGCCAACCTTCTTACTGGGGCATGACCAGCTTCACTGGAGTTCTGGGCACAGTCTCCCCAATCATCCTCTAGCTTCCTAGTACCCTGGAGACCTCAGTGCTCAGCCAAAGAGATGTTAGAGGGAAGTGGAGATGAAGGGGAAGCTCTGGTTGTGTCCTCACTCCCTGGGTAGCTTAAAGGCATCTTAAGATCTTTTGGTATTAGTAAAATTCCAAATACATTTTAGGTTGAACATTTTGTATCCTGGGAGAATGATACCTGTGTCCAGATTTCAGACTCATTCATACATATTAATAGTTAGAATATTGTCTGGGATGAGTCATTTGGTATTAAAGACATCTCATAGAAGGGGAAAATAGGTTCTAAAGTTCCTTTGCCTCAAAATAAAGGGAGTTATTTGTTGTACCAGACTGACACATTTTCAGAAATGAAAAAAGAAAGATTCCACATGGGACTCTTTGCAGTTCTTGCTCTAAGTATAAGCTCAGTGGCTTCCTCTGCCTCCTTCAGGTGGGGGCCAACATGATTCCATATGAAGACCACCTTGTGCTCACATGAAACCAGTCACTGAAAGGTGCCTCTAGGATGCTGTTTCCCAAACTGGCTTCAGAGAGACCTGAGGGTTGTGTGGATGTGGCTCAAAAGCCACTGTTTAAAGCATAGTGTCTAAGGGATGGAGTGTCAGCATTCCTCCTACTCACCTGACCTCCGCCTCACCCAGAGCAGCTGGGTTTCCATCTGTCTTCTGTACTGGGCCTCTACCTAAGATTTCATTAGAAGAAACATTTCCTCTGGTAATAAACTTAAAATCTCTTGATCAAGTTCAGCTACTGCATTTTATAGGTGAGAAAAGAGGTTCAGAGAAGTGAAGTAACCTGTCCAAGATCAGAGAGTTGGTGGCAGAGACAGGACTTTCCCAAGCCTGTACTTTTATTCATTATGCGTCATTGTCTGAAAGCTTCCATGCTATTTACAAAGTCTCTCTGTGCTCCGCAGAAGACACTCCAAGAAGGTTTGTGTTTTCTGGTGGCTGTGCATCTCATTGCTTGTAGCCCTTGGGTGTTGGTATATATCTGGGTTCCATGAAATACTTTCTCTGAACTCTGTAAGAATGGGTGTGGTTTTGAGTTAAGTAAGTTTTGAATCCTGCATACTATATCCTTCCTCTCAGACATTTACCATGCATGTTAAAGGCACTGAGAAGTCCAACCATAAATAACCCATTTTATTAGTTATTTGACCATAGAGCAATTTTTTCACCTAACACAGAGTGTAGACAGGAAACATATACATCCATTGGGGTATTCTGGGGGGACTTTAACAAAAGGACTACATTCAAAAGTGTTAGCAGGATGTATGGAACCCCCAAGAGACACTGTAGTGCTCCAGGACTAGTAGAAGTGAGAGCTTTAGCCAAACTGGGCCTGAGTGATGAAGGAAAGGAGTGGCTTCTGGAACCCAAAGGCAGGGAGAACTGTGTACACAGGGTCCTCTGATCTTTAGTTGAGAGACATAGCCAGACTCCCATTAATGTACAGGAAGGTAGCCTGGGAATGAAGTGTCCCAACTTCACTCTCCTCCATCTCTCTGCTCTCTTTTGGGGATTCCCCATTTATCAAACCCAACCAGCAGCCACAGAATGAGAAACCTAGCAAAGTAATACCCACAGGTCAGCATCCAGGAGCACTGAGAAGGGTGGAGAGTCGATACAGAGGGTCAAATGGAAATTTCCAGCATAGGTTCATTAACCAGCTTTGACAAATGCTACGTTAGTGTACTCCAAAGATGTCCTGTGGGGGTTCGGGCAGATGGTTTTCTATGTAATGGGTGGAGGTCTGGAACGTGTGGGAAGATATGTGTTGATGTGGAAGGGAGGCCAGCAGAATTCATGACGTACACCGAATAGCAAAGCTAACAATTCTCTGATTTTGTCGAGGGCTCTTCTCTGCGGGGATATGCATGCAGTCTGTTAAGTTTGGCATCCTGTCTTTCTCTGGACTTATCAACTGATCATATCTCCTCTCCCTCAATTACCAGTCCCTCCTCCTTCTCTCTTCATGAGTCCTGGGCTTTGGCACAGTGCCCAGTCAGGGATATCAGCCTTCCTGATGGATTGAGCTGGATAACAACAATTAGCGCTCAGGACTCATTGATCGATATGCTGACAAGACCACAAAGTGACAAAACAATCTCCGTTTGAGCTCCAAGGCTGTTTGCAGGAAGCAGAGAAGCAAGCTGGGGCCCCTCTGCCCACTGAGAGCATGTGGACCACCAGCAGCAGTTAGCAGGTCTCCTAGAAGCAGCACATGCACCCTTGCCTCAGCAGCCAAGGCTGAAGAAGCTGACAGTGAGTTTCCTCACGTTTGGTAGCAGGTTTATCTGCTAAGGGAGGTGGGCAGTTGACTCTGTGGTACAAATACACTGTGTGGATATGTATGTGTTTGCATGTATTGATGTTTGCATGTGTTTGGTTATGTGTGTGTTTGGAGTGGGCAGTAGGTGAAACAGAGGAAGGGTGATTTGGTGTCTGCCATTCTTCATGATCATTCAATGGCAGATATAACAAAAGCAATTTCTGTTTAGTGAGTCAAAGGAAAGTTGGGGGGTACAAATAATGCCCAAAGGCATAAACAATGGCTGGATCAATGGGATCCTGAGAGTATAAAACAAAGAGGTGGGCCGGGTGTGGTGGCTCATGCCAGTAATCCCAGCACTTTGGGAGGCCAAGGCGGGTGGATCACCTGAGATTGGGAGTTCAAGACCAGCCTGGCCAACATGGTGAAACCCCGTCTCTATTAAAAGTAAAAAAATTAGCCGGGCATGGTGGCAGGCGCCTGTAGTCCCAGCTACTTGGTGAGGCTGAGACAGGAGAATTGTTTGAACCTAGGAGGTGGAGGTTGCAGTAAGTCAAGATCGTGCCACTGCATTCCAGCTTGGTTGACAGAGCGAGACTCCATCTCCAAACAAACAAACAAACAAAAACAACAACAACAAAAAAACAAAGAGGTGATATAGATATTGGCTATAACTCTCATGTCTGGGGCCTGATCACCACACTCCAGAATTGCTATGATAACCTGGTTTCTCCAATGCTGTGTCATCCTGGCCTTGAGCCTGCAAGTATTTTAACTACCACCAGGTTAAAGTTTAGATGCTTAAGGCCAACGAGTTTTAAACTCTAGTGTACTTAAGAATTACATGAGGAACTGATTAAAAAGATTCTGGGCCTTCGTTCCACCCCATAAATTATGATTTTGGAAGATTCGACACAGGCTCTAGGAATCAGCTTTTTAAAAGCATCTTAGGTGACTGCTGGAAACTGGCCCACACTTTGGGCAATGCTGCAGGTGGAACTTCATTTTCAAGGCTGCCCTATAGTCCAGGCCCATTTCATTTCACTCAACATGCCAGGGACTCACACGGACTGGTTTCCTTCTGCTGTCCCCAAAACCCCTATTCCTCGGTGCTTGCCTTGGGAAGAACATCTTCCACTTTGATTGTTCTTCTCCTTCTCACTTCTCCCAAACTCTTCCAATCCTTGAAGATAAAACTCAGGTAGGTCGGATGTGGTGGCTCACACCTGTAATCCCAGCCCTTTGGGAGGCCGAAGCGGGTGGATCACAAGGTCAGGAGTTGAGACCAGCCTGGCCAACATGGTGAAACCCCGCCTCTACTAAAAATACAAAAATTAGCTGGGCATGGTGGTGGGTGCCTGTAGTCCCAGCTACTTTGGAGGCTGAGGCAGGAGAATTGCTTGAACCCAAGAGGCAGAAGTTGCAGTGAGCCGAGATCATGCCACTGCACCACTCCAGCCTTGGTGACAGAGCCAGACTCCATCTCAAAAACAACAACAATAACAACAACAACAAACTCAGGTTCATCTCCATAAAGCCATACTCAGGTCCTCCAGTGCAAAATGGAGTTCTTTGCTCTTCTGATAATTGGAGAATTTGTCACCACTGTCATTCATTTTTGGTGCTTCATCATATATTGCTTCTTCTCTGTCTCATTCATTCACTCTTTCAAAGTTCATTAAATACTTCTGCATGTAAGGCTCTCTTCCTCAACTATTTATACATTGAATGTTTCTGGAGGTTGAGTTCAATGACAGTGCTTTTGTGTTTACCGTAGCACAATATTTCTTAGGCTCCTTGGAGGTACTTGTGCAGTTTTTTGAATGATTAATAAATAAGTAAATGAATCAACTCTTGAGGTAGCAGAAAATGAACAAGAGGCCATGGTGATAATACTGGATTGCTTATCTGAGCTTCCTTCTTCTTCTTCTCTTCTTCCTAAGGCCCAAAGTGGCAGATATTCTGGGCCTGTAGCCAGGTTTGTGGGTCATAGCATTTCACATATATCTGAGTATGAGCGTGTTGGGGGAAAGAAGGCACCCCTCCTTCCTAATCTCAAATCCAACCCACACTTGGCACTTCGGCTTGAAGATTAGTTATCATTCTAATTCATTCCAACACAGCTCTTTAGATCTTGGTGGCATGAAAAAGTCAATGCACAGAGGCAGGCCTTTGACTCTTGGTGTCAGAAAGTGGGATCCCCCCCGCCGCCACCCAGTAAGACAGGTTGGTTGCTGATGACATTATGAGGTCACTGATTCCTGTGCTTCTGTCCACTCTCTTGCTTTCCCTATTTCTCAGTCTTGTCCCTTTACCCCAGAAGCCCTGACTCAGGGTCCCCTTGGAGCTGAGTAGTGAGTGCTCTTTTTCTTGAGAGCCCAGGTCTGTGTGAACTCCTCTCCAGTGAGCCTGCTCTGCTTCCCTACTTCTGGCAAGGATGTTCATTTTCAATTCTGCTTGAAAAAAAAGTGGCATCACATTGGTTGTCATGCCCACACAGGGAAACAATGTGTCTTCTGCCAGATTCACTTAAAAAGACAAACTTTAGGTCTTCTTGGGAGAGCTGCCTGCCACCTGCTGTGATCCGCGTCTTCAGGACAGCTTTGGCTCGTGTGAGCCTGGAGATGCTGGAGCTGTGTTTGTTCTGCTTGAAGTTATTGTAATTACTACAAAAGACACATTTACCATACCCTGCTCAGCTCCAGGTGACTAATCCTCTTGCTGGTAATAGGGAAAACTCAGGAATATCCTGAGAGCTATTTAAATCATACCCATGGGAAGACAACCTTGAAATGCCCTGGAATTGCTTGGGAGTGGAATCAGGTGTGAGCACCAGATGTGTGATGAGGTGGATATGAGCAAGGGTGGGCTGGGCTTGGCTGCTGACACAGTGCCAAGCGGGCCTGCAGGTGGGCTCCCTATGGAGGCATAAGGCCTATGATATTCCCTCTGAAGTGGGATTGCTGTGAGATTCTTTTGCAAATTTCAGATTCTTTTCACCTCCACCCATGGGCAGGCACCCCATCTTACAATCTGTCAAGCTCCAATCTAGGCACCTGACATAGCTACTTAACATCACAAAACTCAACTCAAGTTGAAATATTGGAATGATAGAATGGTTGCTCTTTTGAGAATGTGCAACCTTTTGGGAAACCCCCAAATATCCCAAATACAAAGTAGATCACCACACCACCTGCATCTACCCAGTAATGCTATGCGTGTACCTGACATACTATCATAGCTCCCCCTGCATCTACCCAGTAATGCTATGAGTGTTCCTGGCATACTATCATAGCTATCCCTGCATCTACCCAGTAATGCTATGAGTGTACCTGACATACTATCATAGCTCCCTTAAGTAGTGAAATTTTCTGTGATCTAGGTCTGTGTTTAACTTTCACATTTGTTCTTCCCATTATAATACCAACTGGAAGAAATTCTGACTCTGGTGCCTGGCCCAAGAATCCACACATATTGCCATCCCTATCAGTGGAGCTTTATTTATCACGTTTGGGAAAAGACTCTGTCTCACTTTCTCTCTCTATATATATCTATCTATCTATCTGTATATATAGATATAAATATCTCTATATATCTATATATGTCTATATGTGTATATATATGTGTACATATGTATATAGATATATACACACACACCACACACACACACACACACACATTGTTTTCCCATCAGCTACTGTTGTTTTGTTGGACATTGTTTGAAGTAATTTGGAAATATCATGCCATTGAACCTCACAACAAGTCTGTGAGCTCATTTACATTTTATAGATGACATTGAGTTGCCCAAGGAGGTCACGCAAAAAATAAGTAGCTGAACCTGAATTCAAATTCACATCTAATAACTCCAAACACGATGCTCTTGATCTCTGCACTATAATGTGGTTTTGCCAGAACGTGCAAATACAGACTCATCTGTTGAGCTGGACAGGGTTTCTAGTGGGATCTAGGTTTGCACACTGGTAATAAATGGCTGATTCTTGGACAAAGGTTCACACTGCTTCTAATCTAGAAATCTGTTCTTACACTCACCCTAAAAACCCCCTAAGGAGTCTGCCTCTGACTCAGCCCGGAGCAATGTAGCTATTCTTTGTCCTTGCATCTCCCTGCTGACAGCATTCTTGTAGCTTCACATTGTAGCCCTTCTTTTCCTTCACCTAAAGGCCATCATCCTATTGGAACATGCAGCCTGGCAGAAACCAGCCACACTGCTGGGGAAGTTGGTTAGACACACAAGACCAGGAGTTGGGCAATGAGTGCTCTTTTTCTGGGAATCTCCATGCATAGCACTGCTTCCAGGTGATGACTCCTGGCCGTATGGACATGGATGAACATGCCAGGGGTCCTCTGCCATCTTATACCTGCTTTCCTGCACCATAGCCTTCTTTTATTTCTATTTTATTTTATTTTTTTTGAGATGGAGTCTCGCTTTGTTGCCAGGCTGGAGTGCAGTGGTGCGCTCTTGGCTCACCCTCACCGCAACCTCTGCCTCCTGGGTTCAAGCAATCCTCCTGCTTCAGCCTCCCGAGTAGCTGGGGTTACAGGTGCCTGCCACCACGCATGGCTAATTTTTGTATTTTTAGTAGAGATGGGGTTTCACCATGTTGGCCAGGATGGTCTCAATCTCTTGACCTCGTGATCCACCCTCCTTGGCCTCCCAAAGTGCTGGGATTACAGCCATGTGCCACCGCTCCTGGCCCGTAGCCTTCCTAGAATAGTCTCAGCACACAACCCCTTATTGATCTTTCCACTGAGTTCCTTTTTTATGCTGTCATCACTTTTCTGAATCTTGTTTCTGTCTCCCTGGAATGTCTTTTCCCACATTACCACTTGTTCAATTTTTATTCATCCTTCAAGGCCCTCTAAAACAACACCTTATCCATGGCAGCTTTCTCCAATTCCTTCAGCTGCAGGTAATCTTTCTTTACTGTGAACTCTCCTCTGCTCTGTCATTTCTTGGGGGTGCTTACCACTTTCTACATTGTGTTATAATTACATATGTACATGCCTTGTGTCTTCTAACACACTAATTTCTTGATGATGGCAGGTGATGAAAAATTCATCTTTTTGCTTCCCAAGGAGTCTAACATAGCCCTTCCACTCAACATGCATCCATTGAGTGGATAAATATGGCCATTATGCCGGGCACTTGGGGAGATATGAAGGCAGATCTGACACAGTGCAACTTGCTCATAGTAGGTGCTCAATTGCTCAATAAATATTTCAAAATGTTAGAATAGGCCGGGCGCAGTGACTCATGCCTGTATAATTCTAGCACTTTGGGAGGCCAAGGTGGGCGGATCACTTGAAGTCAGAAGTTCAAGACCAGCCTGGTCAACATGGTGAAAACCTGTCTCTACTAAAAATACAAAAAAAAAAAAAAAAAAAAGAAAAAAAAGATTAGCAAGGCATGGTGGCAGGCGCCTGTAATCCCAGCTATTTGGGAAGCTGAAGCAGGAGGAGAATCGCTTGAACCCGGGAGAGGAGGTTGTGGTGAGCTGAGATTGCACCATTGCACTCCAGCCAGGGCAACAAGAGTGAAACTCCATCTCAAAAAACAAAAACAAACAAAAAAAAGTTAGAATAAATACTAGTCTGTGTAATTGCAGAGAGTACATAAAATATTTTGAAGATTTTAATAGAGTAAGAATAATGAGGCTGGGCGCGGTGGCTCACGCCTGTAATCCCAGCACTTTGGGAGGCGAGGTAGGTGGATCACGAGGTCAGTAGATCGAGATCATCCTGGCTAACACAGTGAAACCCCGTCTCTACTAAAAATACAAAAAATTAGCCAGGCATGGTGGCAGGTGCCTGTAGTCCCAGCTACTTGGGAGGCTGAGGCAGGAGAATGGCGTGAACCCGGGAGGCAGAGCTGGCAGTCAGCCGAGATGGTGCCAGTGCACTCCAGGCTGGGAGACAGAGCGAGACTCCATCTCAAAAAAAAAAAAAAAAAAAAAAATAATGAAAGGGAAGCTTCAAAAAGAAAGTAAATCTTGAATGCAGCTATAAAGGAGACTTGATTTTGGACGGTGGGGAGAGAGGCCAGGGGAGGTGACTTCTTTCACAGAAAGAAAGGCCAAGAATAAAACGTGAGAGAATGGGGCCTGAGTCATAGAGGGTTGGTAGGAGTGCAGATGAGAGACGGTAGAATGAGGTTAGATTATGGCACTTTAACGCCAAATTGACTTTGACTTTATCCTGAAAGGCTGTTGACGGCATGGCAAGGGTCTTGTTTTCTAAGAATTAACCAGTAGGAAGAATTGGAGTGAAGAAGGGAAATGCGTTGACAAGCTACTATAGAAATGCAAGTGGGAGGTAACGGCAGCTGAATCAGCTCTGAGGTCTCCATAACTTATGGTGTTTGTGGCTAATGAGCAAAGGGCCAGGTAGAAGAAGCAAAGAGGGCTGATAATGAAGATTTGATTCCATTTCTTTTCATCAGAGGACTCATTCCTGCTGGTTGTTGGATACAGCATTTGTCTGAGGCATTTGGGCAGATTTCATAGCTAACAGGCACAGCTCAGCAGCAAAGGCAACACAACCCAAAGTGGCTGTTTACACTCACGCAGTCTGCCAGATCCCTGAGAAGTTCTCTGGGAGTGGAAAGGGAGGAAACTGGATGTGGTGTCTTGCACCAACACGCCTATTTCCAGGTAACCATATGCCCAGTGGAAAGGATGTGGAGCTCCCTTTGCTAATCCTCAGGGAGACCCTGGAGATCACTGTGTGCTGAGAGGTGGAATATGTGTCATGAGGAAGCCTGCAGGAGCTGGAATGAAATGAAAAAAAAAAAAAAAAAAAAAAAAAGCCCTGATAGAATGGGGAAAGGCATGGGCTCCTGCTTTGGGAGGCTTGGGCCTTAGACTGCATTCAATTCAGAACTCTAATTCCAAGACTATAGCAAAATCCCTGTCTGTAGCTAACTTGATCTGAGAATTGTGTATGCTTAAACTGAAACGCTCACTGGAGGGGAGGATGTGGGATCATAGGAAAATGTTCCAAAAAAGGAATCTGGGGGAAAGGCATTTACACACATACGCGCGTGCGCGCACACACACACACGCGCGCGCACAGCCTATTTTGCTTTCTCCCCTTTTGGTTGGACACTCTGAGAGAGATAAGGAAGGGAAAGAAACAAGGATCTATGCTCCCTGGGCACCAGGCACCAACGTCTCAGAGCTCACACATGCTCTTTCTGATACCCACTGTTAACACTTTGCTGCCTCATCAGACACTCCTTCTCCATGTCTTGGCTGGGAGTGGAATATGGTATACGTGGCTTGATCTGCCTGCTGTCCCCTAGGGAAGATCCCGGTGCCTATTTCTTCCCTAATTCTTGCACCACTTACACCGCAGTTCAGAGCCATCGGCTGGCGCTGGTCAAGTGACAACATGTGTCACTCCAAACTTCTCCTGCTTCAATTTTCTCTCCACCCTATGAAATTTTCTGTTCTACATCATTATCTTCTGTCATCTGACTTCTGACTGAATTTCTTCTCACATCTCCTAGTTTTTCATATTTCCTCTGCGTGGATTTCATGAGGCATTTTATTTTACAAATTTTATTTGTATTTGACAAATAATAAACTGGATATATTTATTTGGCACAAAGTGTTTTGATACATGTGTACATTGTGGAATGATTAAATCAAGCTAATTAACCTATCCATCACCTCATATATGCATCAATACTGTGTGTTGAGAACATTTAAAATCTAATCTTTAAGCAATTTTGAAATATACAATGCATGGCTGTTAATTATAGTCACGATTCTGTGCAGTGGATCACTAAAGCTTATTCCTCCCGTCTAAGGCATTGCTTCTGAATCCATGCATGGAGCCACTGATTACTGTCAATGTTATAAATGTGAAGGACTCGATAAACTTTAGGGGCCAACTAGGTTCTTTACATATATTGCTGTATTTAATCTTTATAGCAACTCTAAGAGGTAGAAACTAGTAGTAGCCCCATTTTATAGGTGAGAAAACTAAGGCATGGTGCAGTGGCCTGTCCAGGTCACACAGCTGTGGGTACTGGCTGTGCGTAATGATGAACCAGACAGACCAACAGAAGAGCTGCCATCCTAACCCTCACTAACCGTATCTGAGCTGTTTCTTTGTTTATCAGTACTAATTCCAAGACTGTGGAAAACCCCCATCTGTAGCTAACCTGCTCTGAGAATCGTGTGTTTAAACTGAAATGCTCATCAGGGGGAGGACAATGGCATCATAGAAAAATGTCCCAAAAAAGTAATTTGGGGGAAAGACATTTACACACTTACACACACACACACACACACACACACACACACACACACACACACACACACACACAGAGTAGTAACCTGTCCAGCTCACACAGCTATGGGTAATGGCACCAGCTGATGACCCAGACCGACTGGCCACAGAGCCACCATATTAACCCTCACTAACGGTATCTGAGCTGTTTCTTTGTTTATCAATACTGCACAGTTGACCTTGTCTTGGTGGCATTCTACTCAAATCAGTTTCAAAGACAACTGAAAAAACTTTATTGGTCCACTGGGAATCCTATCCCTACGAATACTGCAGTAACCTACCAAACATCAGCTGATACTGCCTATGGGGAAGAAAGAACAATTAAGAAGTTCACCATTTGCCGTGCAGTTCCATCCATGGTGAAGAAAGTTAGCTTGTTAGCGTGAGAAACGTCGGCCATCATTACAGAGGTCAGCTGCCTCGCTCTGAAACATATGCTAGCTTTGTTTGTGAAAAATTTACACACTGTGCCTTCTTTTCCTCATGAGTATGGAAAACCTTCCACAAAGAAGAACATCTTAAATAAACGACTAACCTTGACAACAGACATGTCAGGGATGCTGCTAGAACTTTATAACATGGTGTTCTGAGACATTCCTTCAACTGTGATCAAGCGGGGGATGTCTGAAGGAAGCATGCCATTTCTCTGCTCATGTGCTGGGCTTCTGGGAGCAGCTGAGTATCTCTGTGTCCTCGCTAAAAACAACTCTGGCTGTTGCTGGTTTTAATGTCTAAAAACTCTATAGTTAACATGTATAATTGTTGAAAAACCAGAAAGTAAAATTGAACAAAAAAGAAGTGTGTGTGTATTTTTTTCCACACAAAAAAGCAACAATGCCGAACAAACTGAGATGTGCTTTTTCAGTGACAAAATACTGTCACTGTTTTTCTAAGTCAATAATGCACACTTCCATGATGACTGTCAATGGTAGCTTAGCATTCAGCTACATCAATACATTGTAACTTGTGTGTGTGTGTGTGGTTTTTTAACCTATCCTTATTGTTAGATAACTAGGTTGTTTCCATTTCAATGGTGTTATCAATAAGGCTCGTAACAGGCAGAACTTAGTGTATGTCCTTAATTGTTTTCCCTAAGGAAGATTACTAGAATCAGAATGTAGAGGGGTTCTAATTTCAAGGTGTCAGAAATGTGCTGAATTAGAATTCTGATTCCGATTGACAGTACTGTGCCCATTTCCCCTCACCCTGAGCAGCACTAGGTGTTTTTTTTTGTTTGTTTTGGGGGAGGTCACTGCCAACTAGAAACGTATACACAAGTATACTTTGTGTTTCATCAGTAACTAGTGAAATTAATCATTTTTTCATTTCCTCTATGTTTGATAGGGGAACTAAGTTTGATATACGTTTGAATATTTGTTGAATATGTTTGATCATTTCTTTTGCCCATTTTTCCCCTATTAGGGTAATTAATTTTTCTTAGAGACTCCTATATATAAAGGATATTGATTTCCCATCTGTCACACATCATAACATTTTCCCCCAAAATCATTTGTCTTATCATTTAATTTTTTGACTCACAAATCTCTTACTTTCAAATATAGTCAACTTTATCAGTATTTTCCTCTATGGTTTGTCCTTTGGTAATTTATTAATTTATAATTCACAAAGCAATTTTTGAGCAGGGACTTTGGGCCTAGTGTAGGGATATGCTCAAAGAGATTATTCCCATCCCCAATTGGGACACATATTGTTTTTCTTATTCTTGTATGGTTTCGCTTTTGGCATCTTAGTATATGTGGAATTTGTTTTGTTTTACATCATGAGATAAGAATTTATTATAAAATAATACATATTGGTTCTAATGCAGCCTTTCCTCAGTTTTATGTCAATTTATCTTAATCCTATACCAAATATTGAGCCATTGAGGAAGACAGCATAGTTTGTTGGCTGAGCATCTAGGCTGCTTAGATTATAGCTGGTAAGACAGGGTTGCCCAAAGATAGGCCTATAGAGTTAACTACGAACTTATATCCAGAAACTATTCCATAGTTTTAAGGCTATTTTCTTTTTTTAATTTTTTTTAATTTTTTTTTTTGAGATGGAGTCTCACACTGTCACCCAGGCTGGAGTGCAATGGCGCAATCTTGGCTCACTGCAAACTCTGCCTCCTGGGTTCACGCGATTCTCCTGCCTCAGCCTCCTGAGTAGCTGGGACTACAGGCGCCCACCACCATGTCCGGCTAATTTTTTTGTATTTTTAGTAGAGATGGGGTTTCACTATGTTGGCCAGACTGGTCTCGAACTCCCGACCTCGTGATCTGCCTGCCTCGGCTTCCCAAAGTGCTGGGATTACAGGCATGAATCACCACGCCCGGCCATTTAAGACTATTTTCATAGTAGAGTAGCAGCTATGGGAATCAAGATTTTGACTGGAAAAGCATCTCAAAATAAGCAGCAGTTGACTATAAAAGGAGAATCGAGCTGGATCTGGTGATGTCTGTGTCATGCAGGCTTCTGTTATGGGAGTCTGTTGCCCAAAAGCATCTCCTTGGGTCTTGGACACCATCTGGGGTGCTTCTGAATGCCTGTGCTGCTGTCTCCTGGGTTGCCAAAATGTGCACATAAATATCAGCCAGTTCTTTGTTATTAAGTGAATATTTCCACCCAGTGTCTGTGTCTCAGTGCTTTCTCTGTGGACCATAATTCATTACACATACAATTCCATGCTGCCTATTCTATCTGTTTGGCACCACTGTTTTAATCATTACAATTGTATATTACCTTTCAATATCTAACTATCTAGCAGTGCAACTGTCCATCTGTATTTTTATACATGCGTGTATATACGTTTTAGCCTCATGCATTTATTCCTCTACATGTTTTTTACTATTATTTTGTCCAAAAGCAAATTAGAATTTCTGTTTGGAATTACATTTGCTGATGAATTTGGGGATAATTAAAATTTTCCCATTTCAGGGACACACAGTATATATCCCTCATTTAATTTAATCTTTTATTATGCACCTTAGAAAATATTAGCTGTCTTCTTTATATTGATCCTGCACATTTTTAATAATAAAATTTATTTGTAATTAGTTCATATTTTTTCTTTTACAATGGATACAACTGCTTAGTTTGGTAAATACTATTGAGTAGCCAAAAACAAATGAAGGCAGTTATAAAGTACCCCCAACCCCCCAAATTTGGAAGGAACTCTCTAGGATTTTATAACATTTAAAGTTTATTGTAAAGTTCTTTGCCTTAAAAACACAATTAATATACCAATGAGTACATAATTACCAGTAAACCTTGAGAGAACAGACTGGTTGATAGATATGGCAATTGGATCATACAAGGTGGTCTGATTCAGGGATATTAGGGAGATTTTGTGTAAGTGAATAAAAACTAGGGACTACCTACCAAAAACAATAACTTCAGATTTTTAGGTGTTCTGTATCAAGAGTTGACAATTTTTTTTGTGTGTAAAGAGGCAGTGAGTAAATATTTTAGGATTTGTAGGCTGTACGGTCTCTCTTGTAACTACTTAATTCTACCATTCTAGAATCGTAGATGATACATATACGAGTGAAGTGAAACTGTATTCCAATAAAACTTTATTTACAAAAACAGATAGCAGGCCAGATTTGACCCACTCTCATAGTGCCAACCCTTAAACTATGTCATTTTTTGTGGCAGTAATTACCCAGACAAACCAGTTTTTTCATGAGGTTATTTCTAATTTAATTATCTAATAAATAATACTAACTGAATATAAAAAGAATGATTATCCTTCTCATCCTTATATGGCTGGAAAGGCATACACATCATCCAGCAGTAGACTCAGTAAGAAAGCAACATTTTTACCAACTCTTATAGTAATACTAGACTCCAATTTCTATATTTCAATCCAAACAAAGAATCTATGTGGAATGATTATAGCTTAACCTTTGACTCCTGTCCATGAACCAAAGTTCAAGGAAACTCCCATCATATTTATGTGTGATCTACTATATTATTTAATGGTTCTCCTCACGGGGCAGGAGTACATATTACAGAGCTCTTTATGGAATAGCCAAGACTCATCCATCATTCTTCATATGAATGGTGAGGAATGTTCACCTGGGGAACCCAAACCCATGGTTAATCAAGCCAGAAGCTGGCCTATTCTTTGGGAAAAATGTCCAGGAAAGAAATAGGTCTGTATTCTTGGGTGGTAAAGGGTTTCCCTTTTGGAAGATGGGATTCACTTTCCACTTGGTCCAGGTAGGCAGGATCTCATCTGGAGTGCTTATTAAAGTCAAGAAGCTATCAAGGCGATGGATAGCCTAAATACCCTGATTTGATCATTATAATATATATATATATATATATATATATATATATATATATATATATATATATATATATGATGATAGATAGCTTGAGGCATCAAGATATCACATGTACCCCAGAAATATATACAAATATTGTATATGTATGAATACAAAATAATTATAAAAACAAAAAGCTAGTAAGGATCAGAGCCACCATGCAGAATGGTTCTTAAGCAACCCAAGAAGCAAAATGCTTCAGCAAAATGCTTAAATGCTCCATTCTGGTTTGTTTTTAAAACTCAGCTGTATAACGTGGAACTATCATTGGGTTCTAAGTAGAAAAGACCCCCAGATGAACCATCGGGGAAGTTAACAGGAGTTAGAGAGACAAGTCATACCTCCTGGTATCATTCAGAGTGTGGGCATGTGGCTGCATGTGCTCTACAAAGCTGTGCAGGGTAAAATGATTTTGTCTCTGCTACATAGAGTACAAGTGCGATGCTCTGGGGACCACCTGTACACGTGTGGAGCAGGTAGAAAATAGTAGTGTGTCTGTGGGGACAGTCTGCAGGCACAACTTTGACTCAGGTCTGCTGTCAAACTAGGCAAGGACTCTTGCCAGGCTTCTTAGTTTTCATAAGCAGATGAGACCTTCTTTCAGATTCATTGTTTATTACAAAACAGAGGATTTGCACTGCCCAGGAATGCAATCTCCAGCTCCCTCCCATGCAGTATTTACCAACAGTTTAGCTGAAAGAAATGATATCCAGAGAGAACTTTAGAAAAGGAATATAGGCCATTTACTCATCCTGATAATTGAAACCATATTTGGGCCACACCAAATCAGCAGAGAGCGGGGGGGGGTCCCCTTGGTAGGGTCATGCCACCATCATGTGTGCTTTTACTGACCTTCACTTCGGAGTGATACCCTTAGTTTATTGAAGACAGGTTTTTTTTTTTTCTTTTTAAGATAGGGTCTCGCTTGTTGCCCAGACTGGAGTGCAGTGACATGATCTCAGCTTACTGAAGCCTCAACCTCCTGGCCTCAAGCCATCCTCTCACCTTGGCCTCCCAAGTAACTGGGACTACAGGTGTGCACCACCATGCCCAGCCAATATTTTTTAATTAACTTTTTGTAGAGATGGGTTTTTGCCATGTTGCCCAGGCTAGTCTCAAACCCTTGAGCCCTCCTCAACCTCCCAAAGTGCTGGGATTACAGGTGCGAGCCACCAGACCCAGCCATAAAGACTGTTATATAAAACAACCCTTAAAATTTATCATTTGTGATAATCTTGTTTATTATAACACGTTTTTTTTTTTTTGTTTTTTTTTTTTTTTTTTTTGAGACGGAGTCTTGCTCTGTTGCCAGGCTGGAGTGCAGTGGCGCGATCTCGGCTCCCTGCAACTTCCACCTCCCGGGTTCAAGCGATTCTCCTGCCTCCGCCTCTGGAGTAGCTGGGACTACAGGCATGTGCCACCACGCCCAGCTAATTTTTGTATTTTTAGTAGAGATGGGGTTTCACCGTGTTTGCCAGGATGGTCTCAATCTCTTGACCTTGTCGTCTGCCCACCTTGGCCTCCCAAAGTGCTGGGATTACAGGCGTGAGCCACCAAGCCTGGCCTCACAATATCCTCTTTAAGAGGACTACTGGGAGAATGCCTCATCTTTGTACCAATAAGTGTACATCTCCCCTACGACTGGTTGTGTTCTTCTTGTGGGCATGATGAATCGTATAACTGAGAAGATTCCATTTCTCTGGCTGGCTGTTGGAATGGCCAGATCAAATATGCAGGTGAGTAGATGCCTGGGCCACATAATTCAGCTTAATTCTATCCCCTCCACGTGTTTCACTTACTCCACCTTTTAAATCCTCTTTTGCCTTTGAAAGGCTCTTTGAATTCCTTTCTGAAACAAGATAAAAGATATACAAACAAAAACAAAAATCAAACTTGTAACCACAAAACCCTGCTGGCCTTTCATTTGTTAGACATGAAAGGATCATCTACCCCCCCGTCATCTCAGGGTTTCAACTGTGTAGGAATTACTTTTCTAAAAAATACAGCGAGATAATCTCTAACTGCTTGATGTTTAAAATAGGACAGTTTTATTTATTTTCAAGTGTCAGATTATAGAAGTGACTGATGCTGCAAAACATTCAGAAATTATAGAGAAATAGACCGGGCGCAGTGGCTCACGCCTGTAATCCTAGCACTTTGGGAGGCCAAGGCGGGTGGATCACCTGAGGTCAGGAGTTTGAGACCAGCCTGGCCAACATGGCGAAACCCCGTCTTGACTAAAAATACAAAAAAATTAGCTGAGCATGATGGCAGGCACCTGTAATCCCAGCTCCTCGGGAGGCTGAGGCAGGAAAATCGCTTGAACCCGGGAGGCAGAGGTTGTGGTGAGCTGAGATCACACCATTTCACTCTAGCCTGGGCAAAAGAGCAAAACTCCATCTCAAAAAAAAAAAGAAAAAAGAAAAAAGAAAAAAAGAAAAGAAATTATGGAAAAATAAATAAAATTATCTATAAGCCCACTACCTAGATAAATACCTTGGTTTTTAAAAACATGCTGCTAATTTTTTATCTATGAGTTCAATCTACCTCTTCTGGGACACTTTCTTTCATAATTATGGACCATATTAACCTATAGAAGAAAAATAAAAGCAACTTGTCTTTCTAGAATACCTGTTTTCTGTCTCCCTTTGAAACAAGTTGCTCTCTTATGATTTTTGGTGTTATCTTTTCATAACTGAAGAAGTGGGGTGCAGTCCCTTTCTCAGTAGTTTCGGGGCCCTATTACCAGATGGCAGAAGTGTGACCTTGTCCTCTAATTCAAGCTGAAAAGTATGTGTATTATTTTCTTTCTTTCTCTTTCTTTCTTTCTTTCTTTTTCTTTCTTTCATCTTTCTTTCTTTCTTCTTTTTCTTTCTTTCTTTTCTTTTCTTTCTTTTTTCTTTTTTCTTTGAGACCGAGTTTCACTCTTGTTGCCTAGGCTGGAGTGCAATGGCGTGTTTCTCGGCTCACTGCAACCTCTGCCTCCTGGGTTCAAGCGATTCTCCTGCCTCAGCCTCCTGAGTAACTGGGATTACAGGCACGCGCCACCATGCCCGGCTAATTTTTGTATTTTTAGTAGAGACAGAGTTTCTCCATGTCGGTCAGGCTGGTCTCGAACTCCTGACCTCAGGTGATCTGCCCACCTCGGCCTCCCAAAGTGCTGGGATTACAGGCATGAGTCACTGCGCCCAGCCGTATTATTTTTAAAGAGTTCAAGATTATAGCTCTTTACTCCCCAGTAAATAGCTGTATGAAGTATCAGGGAGATAAACATGGATACATTTTAAATAAATATCAAAGCATGCCATTTTCACAGCCAGGCGCCCACACAGGCAGAGCCCTAGACTATCCTTGTTAGTCAGAATCAGCCCAACTCTTCAGTGGCCAAATCCCCCTCACATCTCAAGCTCCCACTTTGACTTCTGGCTCCAGCTTTGTACAAATGCTCTTTTCTCCTCTCTCAGGCATATCTATCTCCCTGGCTCACAGAGAGACATCTGCCTGCCTCTGCAGTGATATTTCAGCATTTTCATTCAGCTACACTTTTTGGTGTTTTGTCAGATTCCTTTTGCAGACTCTAATCCTCCCACAGACAAGGAGAGGAATAAATTGCTAGAAATGACTACAGTGAAACTACAGCAGCAAATCCGATCGGAGCCAACGGGGGGTTTTCTGCCTTTTATTTCTTTTGAGCAGGAGATCTCTCCAACTTCTCTGCTCAGCCCTAGAACGTGCCTTTACATAGTCCTTGCTTGTTAACCAAGAGGCTTAGTTGGTGGTTCCTAAAAACTTACCATGGGATTTTTTTAGAGGCTCAGAGAGAGCTCAGCATCCGTATCCTGGATGAAACAAGACTAAACATCTGCTAAGAAACCGGGCATAAACGTTGGCAAAAGAAGAAAAATCTTCAAAAACGTCTGCTTAAGCAATGGTACAAGTTGTTTTGGAAAAGCAGCTCTGGAGATAGTGACTCTAGAGGAAGCCTCAAGGCATGTCTGGAAACTTGGGAAGGCAAAGAAACTTCTGGAAGCCTACGTGTAAAGTATTATTGCATGCAAGTCAGTATAAAATATTTCTTGTTGAAAATGCTTCAGTGTGATAAGGAACAAATAATATGAAATACACTGTCTACTGAGATAGATCCTGGTCATGGGTTTGGGTTTCTTAAAACAATGTTGGACAAACACAGTGGCTCACACCAAGGCGGGAGGATCGCTTGAGGCCAGGACTTCAAGGCCAGCCTGGGCAACATAGAGAACCTTTAACTGATATTTACTTTACTTTCCAGTAAATAGCTACATGGAGAATAAAGGAGATGAACATAGGCACATTTTAAATAAATATCAAAGCACACCATTTTCATAGCAGGCATCCCCAACACACACCCTTAGACTATCCTAATTAGTCAGAAACAGCCTGACTCTTTGGTGTCCAAATCCCCCTGATATCCCAAACTACAACTTCTCTATACAAAATTAAAAAACCAAATACCCAGGCGTGCTGTTGCGTGTCTGTAGTCCCAGCTACTCAGGAGGCTGAGGCTGAACGATCACTGAAGCCCAGGAGGTTGAGGCTGTAGTGAGCCAAGATCATGCAACTGCACTCCAGTCTGGGCGACAAAGCGACCCTGTAACTAAATAATAATAATAATAGGGCCAGGCATGGTGACTCACGCCTGTAATCCCAGCACTTTGGGAGGCTGAGGCGGGTGGATCACTAGGTCAGGAGATTGAGACCATCGTGGCTAACACGGTGAAACCCCGTCTCTACTAAAAATACAAAAAATTAGCCGGGCGTGGTGGTGGGTGCCTGTAGTCCCAGCTACTCGGGAGGCTGAGGCAGGAGGATGGCATGAACCTGGGAGGCGGAGGTTGCAGTGAGCCAAGATCGTGCCACTGCACTCCAGCCTGGGTGACAGAGCGAGACTCTGTCTCAAAAAATAATAATAATAAATAAATAAAAATAATAATTTTAAAAATAGAAAAACACTCAATGTAAAAACTGTATATATCTCTAAGTAGAATTTTCCCTATTCACTACTCCTGTTTCTTCAAAGAGAGAAAAGATAAGCTGAGAGATAAGAGATATAGTCTAGCTAGTTTATCTTGTTTTTAAGAGACAGGGTCTTGCTCTGTCACCCAAGCTGGAATGCAGAGGCGTGATCCTAGCTCACTGCACTTTTGAACTCCTGGGTTCAAGAAATCCTCTCATCTCAGCCTCCTGGATAGCTGGGACTACAGGTGCGTGCCATTCTGCCTGGCTAATTTTTGTTTTTTGTAGAGATGGGGTCTCACTATGTTGCCCTGGGGTCTCACTATGTTGTCCAGGCTGGTCTCGAACTCCTGATCTCAAGCAGTCCTCCCAACTTGGCTTCCCAAAGTGCTGAGATTACAGGCGTGAACCACTGCGCCTGCCTTCAGTTTCTTCATCACTAGTATTTGATAGGTGGCCATCACAATGAAGAGTTTCTAAAACTTTATAGCCAGCAACCCTAAGATGAGCTGCAAGTATTTTTGAAGTCAGATTGACCTGAAGCCTCAAGTCCTAAGAGGATTTTGACCAAACTTAGAATAAGGATGAATTGATATTGGGAATTTATGAAAAAGATACCAAATACATACTACATTTTACTAAAATCTTGCTTTAATTGCAAAATATATATTTAATTATTGTCTTCAAAACCTTGCTTTAAAGAACAATATAATCCACTGGTTAATAGTGTTTAAGATCAGTTATCTTAATAAAGAAATTTTTGTTAGCAAATAAAAATGAGGGAACATTCAGAGTTATAAATTTCTAGAACATGACCAGAAAAGTCTATCTTAATTTGAACCCAAGCTTTAAATCCAAAGCACCATGTTCCATGATGACAATGTTCCCCATTCTGTCAAGCAAGTATTTATTGCGCGTCCATTGTCCCAGGTGAAAACTCTCTCAGGGGTTTCTACAAATACAGTGGTGAACCAAACAGACAGAGTTCTTGTACTCATGGTGTTAAGAATGTATTGGAAGAGATAGGCAATAATAAGTTAAATACACAGAAAGAATTGCTCATAGTGATAAGGCTGAAAAGATGACAATTAGACATAAGGAACAGATAAAAACAGGAGGTGGTGTCTATTAGGGTGATCGAGGTAGTTTTCTCTGAGGAAGTGATATTTATGCAGAGGTCTCATGGATGAGAAGGGGCCAGCCATGCAAATGGACATTGGGTTAGAGGAGCGAGAGAGGGAAATGTGTGCATGGGATGTGTGTGTGCACGTGTGCATACTGTATGTGCAAAGGCCCCTGACGTAGGAAAGAGATGAGCTAAGCTGAGCATAAGCATAGTTGCAACACTGAAATGATCAGTGTAGCTGGATGATCACAGCTTAGAGCAAGAAGGAGAGAGGCTTGAGATACCATTGAAGAAGAAGAATCATTCAAGACCCCGGGCCAGTAAGGAGGCTTCTCTAACAGTCTAAGGAAAGTTGGTGACTTAGACTAAATACAGAGTGGATGTGCAGAAAAGTGGATGGATCTAAGACATATTTTCAAGGTAGGACTGTCAGGATTTACTAATGCATTATATATGGGGTGTAAGGAAATTAGGGATGCTACTGAGATTCAAACAATTCATCCTTTGCTGAGATGGGGAAAAATTTGTTGGGCGCACAGTTGGTGGTGGTGAGACAGGTGGGGAATGTAAAGTCAGAAGTTCCATTTTGAACACATTAAGTGTGAGATGCTTGTGGAACATCTAAGTGTTGATGTCAAGTAGGCAGTAGAATTTATGATTCTGGAGTTCAGAGAAAAAGTCGAGGCTCGAGATGTAATTTTGAGAATCATCCACATGGAGACTGTATTTAAAACTGAGACTAGATGAATTACCCTAGATAAAAGAACAGTGTGTACACAGAGAGGAGAGAGAAAAGGTCTAGGAGAGAACAGAGGAAGCCCTTCAACCTAAAACCTAAAGCTTGGGGCCAATGACAGAGGAGAGCAGTTAGGAGTTAAAAATGAGAAAGCACGATGTCATGGAAACCAAGAGGGCACAGCATCTCAGGAGGACAGCTGAATGCTTCAGCTAGGTTAAATGAAGGAAAGAAAGAAGGTATTTACTGGATTTGCATACATGTGTGTCAAGGTGACCTCAGCTGGAGCAGGCTTGTTGGCGTGGGGGAGGTGGAAACCAGACTGGTTATGGGCTGAGAAACATATGGGAGTTTGGTGGGGGGCAGGTATTTACAGCTGTTATTATTGTTTTTAATCGTGAAAAAATATATATAACATAAAATTTACCACATTAACCATTTTTTATGTACAGGTCAGTGGCGTTAAGTACGTTCGTAGTTGTCCTACTATTACCACCCTCCGTCTCCAGAACTTTTTCACCTTCCCTAGCTGAAACTCTGTCCCCAATAAACAACAACTCTTCATTCCTCCCTCCTCACTGCAGCACTTGGTAACCTCTGTTTTATTTTCTCTCTCCACGAAGTTGCTTACTCTAGATACATCACATAAGTGAAACTGTTGAATTTTTGTTCTTTTGTGACTGGCTTATTTCATTCAGCATAATGTCCTCAGGGCCTGTCCATGTTGGATCATGGGTCAGTGTCCTTCCTTTTTCAGGCTGAATGATATCCCATTGTAGAGATGGACACACTTTATTTGTCCATTTGTCTGCTGACGGATGCTGGGGCCGCTTCTACCTCCTGGCTATTGTGAATAGTGTTTGTGTAGTCAAGGGAAAGGGTTTGCTTTTGTTACTGTTCTCCAAGCTAAGAGAAACTAGAGCACCTTTGGCAGCGGAGGAGAAGAGGCAAAGTCTGAGCAGAAAGAGGGACTGGTGAAGGAGGGAGAGGGGAAGAGGACAAGCTTTCCAATAACACGTGAGGAAGTGGGAGTTGGGGAAACACACTTCCTCTGTAGAGGAGAAGGGAGAGGCTATGGCTCCAGACAGAGATACTTCAATGGTTTTGACCATGGGTGGGTAGGGAAGTTTCCTTCAGACAGCTTCAATTTCCTCAGTGAAGCATGAGACAAGTTCATCAGCTGGGAGTTGAAAGGAGAAGGGAGAGTAGGAGGATTAGAGGAAACAGAAGGTACAAAATAATCCTCTTAAAGGAATGTTTCTCTGTCTTGGCTGCACGTCAGAATCACCTGAATGCAGAACTTTCAAAATATTCCAATGGGTGCCTCCTTTCCCCAGCATTCCTATAGTGATTCAATTGGTCTTGGATGGGGTCTGGGCATCTGTAGTTTTAAAAACTCTCTAGGTGATTCTACTGGCCACATGGGTTGAGGATGACTGTCTTACCACAGAAAAACAAACATGTTAGAGAAAAACAATAAGATACCTGGGAGTGTCAAACCCCAATCTGAGATTTGGAATCATAAATTTCAAGTGAAATAAGCCAGTACAGATCACAGGGTGTGGACATTTGTGTGTGTATGTGTGTATGTGTGTATGTGTTTGTGTGTGTGTGTGTGTTTCCTGGCCCAACATGTTAAAGTTCAGCAAATCTCTGTCCCCAGCCTTTTAAACAAAACAAAGCAAAAAAACTATCATTTGAGAGCCCATCTGTTTCTTATCACTGACCTCTATCAATTATAGTAAAAGCTAATGTCACTATGTGCCCAGCATAGTTCTAAGCATCTTACTTATCGATTCCTTCAGTCTGAACCATAGTCAACATGTTAATTTTACAAAGAAGAAAATAAGGCACAAAAATAAAACCAGGCAGCTGCCAACACTTACAGTTAATGCAAAATGGCAGTGGGACCTGAGACCAGGAAATCTAGACCTGTGCTCTCGACCACGGCACCACGCCACCTCTGCATGTGTGGCCTAAAATGTGTGTGTCCAGCCCTGCCCTTCCTAAGACACAAAGAACCATAGTTCTATTGGTGGTGGAGGATATTTGATGGGGTTGGAAGAAATACTTTGATAAACCCTCTGGCAAGCAGAAAACCCTACAGAGGTTCATAGAAACCAAGAGGGCACAGCATCTCAGGAGGACAGCTCTACCCTACAAATGAGTGGCCATTGATGGAGGTTGGGCCCAATTAATGCTGAGGGTGGGGTGGTGAGCAGTAAGCTGTGCAGGTGTGACAGGAAAATAAAAACTTGGGGCCAAGTGTGGTGGCTCAAGCCTGTAAATCCCAGTACTTTGGGAGGCTGAGGTGGGAGGACTGCTTGAGCCCAGGAGTTCAAGACCAGCCTGGGCAACACAGCAAGACCCCCGTCTCTACCAATAAAAAAAGAAACTAGCTGGGCATGGTGGCACATGCCTGTGGTCCAGCTACTAAGGAGGCTGAGGCAGGAGGATAGCTTGAGCCTGAGAGGTTGAGGCTGCACTGAGCTGTGACTGTACCACTGCACTCCAGCCTGGGTGACAGAGCAAGAACCCGATTCCATAACAAAGACTTGGGCCCTAATTTCATTATGCTAAAAGAAAAAAATTAATCTGAATTTGACTCATACAAGAAGCTGCCTTTGTTTTTGTTCCTAAGCAGATAGCTACAGATAAGAGGTTAAATATCTCCACAGGTAGCTACTCTATGTTCACCTTATCTTATGTAAAGTGCCAATTTACTGAGTGCAAGATGAATACATAATTCACTATTCCCCTACCTGCTCCTTTTCTCTTGCAACAAGTGGATTCAGTAATGTGAATATACCCCACCTCTTTCCCCTCCAGCCTGCTTTCCTCCTTTAAAGAATGAAACCCTCAAATCATCTTTAGAGAAAAGCATAGACCTGTCTCCCTGGTGTGCATCCTTAACCTTGGAAAACGAAACTTCTAAATTGACTGAGACCTGTCAGTTTAGAAGTTTAAAGTTTTGACAGTCTCCTGGATACTTACACCATTATGATCTATATGCTCATTAAACCCAGAATTATCTCCCTAATCCACTTTCTGATTTCTAGACTTCTACCAGGGGTACCAGGTCCCTCAGTCTCAAAGACTTGAATTCTCAGCATGATGTCTGCGCACAATACTTGTACCAGAAGGTGCTGAATTTGGGTTGGGCTTGGCTGCAGCAAGTGGTGTAGCTTTGGGGATTTTTTAATCCATGTGTGTGAAGATTTGGAATGAGTATTATACCAAGACTCTTTCAGAAGTCACTGCAGAGACTATCCATGGCCAGGAACAGTCCTAGTTGTCCCCTTTTCTAACCATTTATCTATCTGAGAAGGTACCAGTGACTACCACTTTGATGGATTTACTGGTAGTGTGCTGTAGCTGCCTTCTACTGGCTCCATTGAGCAGAGTTTCAAACATTCAGGGATTTCTTGAGCTGGTGTTAAACCATAGGTAGTTTGAAGTCTGCCACAGTGGGAATATTTACACCATGGGGATTGGAACATGCTATATATTGGGGTCCTCCTCCCTGAGATCCCCCTCCTTCAGCTTGTCTACCAGCACATCAGTGATTTAGTGTCTTTTCATAAGGTGCTGTTATGTTCATTTGGAATCTAATCTTTATTCTGCCCCTGTGAATGAGCTCACCAAGGTTGAAGGAAGTTAGGTGTGTTGTCAAGGGCCCCTACTCTGGTGAGCAGCAGGACTAGAATTGGACCTAGTGTTTTCAATGGAAGATCTGATGACTGTGGAATTAGACTCTGAGGTATTGCTGCAAGGAGTTGCCTTGGCATCTGCCCCCAACGGTTAGGCAGGGTGGATACCTCCTGAGCTTCCTGTCACCAATCCTTATGTAGCACTAGATGTTTCTCTTCTGAGGCAATGGAATGCTTGAGGAAATGCTCTGGTGTTCAGCTTATAAAAAAGATTCCTAATTATCAGCTTGCAACCCTGGAGGGAATGATGGAGATTTATGAGAATTTTCATGCTAATGACTAGGATGATGTCACAACATTAAAAAATCTGCCACATATCTTTATGTGGAGAGAATCCCTGGCACTCCCCTGAGCTCTCAGTTGGAATTTTGTTTTGGATGGAGAGAGAGATGCTTGTAAAGATTAAGCAGAGAACTGTGGGCGAGGGAAGCTTCAAAGCTCACAGCCAGAGCAGAAGTCTGCATTGTGACAACTTGAAGGAAAAGTGGTCTCTTTTGCTCCTTAGGAGCTCCTCACACAGGGAAACATAGGTGCTTGTGCCCTGCCCAGGTCTCCTTGGTTGAGTTGATGCATCTACCCTTGCGCTCCTGGGAAGAGTTCCCTGCTCAGAATCTGAGCCACCTTGCTAGGACAGTGTTGTGAGGAGGGAGGCAGGCTTTGGTCAGCGTCTGACCCACATGGAGGCACAAAGGGTACATTCTGCCTCAAAGTCTGATCAACATTGCTACACACTCTGTGCCCCAGAGCTCTTCGTAGGATCACGCAGGAGCCAGTCACCAGCTGAGACCACACCTTGCTTAGCTTTCTACCCTGCCCCACCCTTCTTTCTTTTCTCCCCATCTCCTGAGAAAACTCCCTCAATAACACAGTTGCCCAAGAATCTTGTCTCAGGCTCAACTTCTAAGAAACCCGACCCGAGACAGGAAATTCCTCTATTCAGGGGATCCAATAAGTAAAGTCTTAGTGGTTATTTGGAGCATTTTCTCTCCCTTCCTTCCTTCCTTCCTTCCTTCCTTCCTTCCTTCCTTCCTTCCTTCCTTTTTCTTTCTTCCTTCCTCTTTCTTCTTTTCTTTTCTTTCTCTATTTTCTTTTTTCTTTTTTTTTTTTTTTTGAGAAAGAGTCTTGCCCTGTCACCCAGACTGTAGTGCAGTTGTGCAATCCCAGCTATATGGAGCATTTTCTAAGGGTTCTTCTGGTATTGTCACCCTCCTTCCCAATGACACACTGATAGAAGGATTTAGGGGAATCCTGGGTCCTCCTGAAGAGACCACATGCTCCCTGACAGTGGCATCATCACCCACTGTGGTCTCTAAAGGAAGTCCACAGGGCTTCATGAGCTGCCTTTGCAGCCCCTTGTACCCCTGGGAAGACCACTGTTCCTGGCCTCCATGCCACCCCCTCAAAGGCACAGTTAGAGACAAGGATATGGGTGTGTATTATTTATTTGGGGCATGACCCCTGGAATGGAGATAAGAGAGGAAAAGAAGCCACTACAAGGATTTTTAGTTGAGGCTGCTGCTATACAATAGGACATGTGCCCTGTGCAAGAACCTCCTGAGAAATGAACAGGTGCCTCCTGGCATTGGTCACCCGAAGGAAGGGAGCCTAGAGCACCTCTGTGTTGGCTCCCATCCCACAAGGGCCAAGAGTTCCTCTGGGTGCATTAACTCTCTCGCCTTTCTGGGCTTCAGCCACATAAGACATTGCCCTTGAGCACAAAGCACAAAGATGTGCTTCACAGGGGGATGCTGCCCATGTGAGGAAGGCTGAGGTCATATGGAACCATCCACTGCAGATGAGGCTGAAAGCAGAGATGGATGCAATGCAGGCCACAGAGAGGTCTGCTGCAGTTACCTTCCCCATCATTTCAGAGCGGCTAAAATGGCAATTCTATGAAGAAGGATTGACTTAGAATTGCTTCCCCTGAAAAAACTTGATGACCAATACCATCATGCCTTACAAACATGCTATCTCGGGCACCAACAGAAGCCCAAGCCTTATGCCCAATACCAGCACAATACTTGAAACATAGGAAGTCCTCAGCATACATGCATTGAACATGGGAAGACAAAACAAAACAAAAATTTAAACATTAAGTCAGCATGTTAGGCAAGAGTCAAATCACCATTAAAAGACAGGACTGGCAGGACAGTCAAGCTAGATGGTGTTCTGCCTGGAACTGTGATCACAGCTAAGGTACAATAGGGCCGTCCACGAAGAGGAGAGGGTGCCAGTCGGCCACAAAGCAGAGTCAGAACTGCCTCTCCCTAGGCACTGTCTAGGGAAGAGCATGGGAAATGGAGCACCAGACTGTCAGAGCATGCTGCTAGCAAAGTTTCAAACCTATCACCTACTCCCCTCATCCTGCATCTCCCACTCATGAAGCACCCTTTTGAGATGTTGGGCTGCTTCTGTAGCTTGCCTGAGATAAATTGTACTGGAGAGTCCCGCAATTGTCTGGTCTGCCTGACAGTTATAATTCTCATCTCAAATAAATAAGTTGGCTCTCTGGTTTATATACTCGGTCTCCTGTGAGTTTGTTCACGGTGAGTTAGCCACTCAGGATCAGCTCCAGGGCACTAAAAGATTGAGTTTCTGGACATGGAAGACCAATGCTCGACTTGTGAAGGGAATGAGTTCAGATAGATTGCACAGCTAGCTGGCATCCTAGCTGGGATCTTGTCTGCAAGTTTCTATACTTATTTAGTGAAAAGGCAGGAGAAAAACAGGCTAGGAAGAGTCAATAACAAGTTCTCAAGCATATCATTCCGTGGAAGATGGGAAAGGATTTATGCAAGTCAGCTTCCAGAATCTGTTACCCAGAGATGTGACATAGGTTGAAAATGAAGAGACTTAAAAAGCAACTGCTCATTTAAAAGTTACATCTTTCTCCACAGAAATTCATAGAAGAAATATTCGAAGAGTTGACACTTAGGTGATAAATATTTATTGAATGAATGAAATATACTTGGCCAATGAACATATGAAAATAATCCAGCCTCAGTGATCAAAGAAATGCCTGTTAAAACAATGAGATACCACTTCACCCCTCTCAGACTGGAAAAGTATGTGTATATATATATGTATGTATCTTATGTGCATATATACGTATGTATATATACTATATATATATATAACACATACATATATACACACATATATATGTGTGTAATAAACATATATAAACTTACATGTGCTACTTTATATATGTAGATATCATAAATAAAGAAAATAGCACATGCTTCTTGGGAAACGGAAAGAAAAATAGGTACTCATACAATCACTATAAAATTTCTGAAAATAAATTAAGTAATATGTATTCAAAATCTTAAAAATACATAGACCATTTCACCCAGCCGTTTCATTAAAAGGCAATAGATCCTAAGGAAATAATTGAGAAAATTCACTGCAAAATTGTGGATAATACCAAAAAATTGAAAATAATCTGTGTTCAACAATAGTAGATGAGTTGAATAAAATATAGAATGCCAAGCAATAGACGATCCCTCAGCCTTTACAACTCATAATGTAGATCATTAACAAATTTATGCAAGTTAAGTGAAAAAAGGAAGCTGGAAACAGTATATTATACTATAACACTCTCTTAATTATATTAATTGTTTGGATGTACATAATCTAGAAGGATATATAATAAATGGTTATTTTTGAGTGATAGGATTATTGACATTTTTACTTGCTTTTTTGGCTAATTTACATTTTCTAATTTGTCTACAACCTACTTGTTTTGTTGCAATAATATAAAGTTACTTATAATTAAAAAATTAAAGTGACAACTTTTTTCAGTTTAAAAAAAATTCAATTTGAAATACAATTTCAAAAAAAAGAAGTTGACTTGTTTTGACTCAAGAGGTGTAAACATACAGTTACAAAGTGATATATGCAAGTTAACAAAGAACAGGATTCACCACAGAGAGTGGAAGAATGAGCTGTTTCTGGGTGTGTGAGTTGAACAGATTAATTAACAGTAACTAGGTGGTGTACTTGTCTATAAGTGTCCTGTACGGGGAGCTAAGGCAAAAAGGAACCACAGGAGGTGAGACTGTTTTCATTTTCCTGAAAGGAAAGGCAAACAGATTCACCTGCCCAGGCACATTCCTCCAGATATAAAGATGCTTTATGTGTAGATAATGCTGTTTAAAAAATTACATAGGTCATCAAAACCTCATTCAAGGAGGTGATTTTTGAATGGAACTTTCTTCAAAATCAAAGGGTGCCGACATGAAATTGTACTTAAGAAATCTCTTGAATGTTCAAATTGGAAGACAGGAACCTTGGGAATCCAATTCATTTACCAAAGGAGAAACTAAGGGTCACAGTGGTGAGGTAGTTTGCTCAGTGTGCTGAAAAAGTGGCACTAGAATCCGAGTCTCTTGAATCCTGGCCCAAGGCCCTTTGTACCACACGCCCAAGGTCTCCGTCCTGCATGCTTCTGGCTTGTGTACACATCCAGGGCTGGGCTGGCTGTTAGCAGCCATGTGTCAGATGTGTCTGACCCAGACTCCAGATTACTGTCTTCTCTAATGCAGGAACCTTGTTTATCTCCTTCACCAGCTGCATAGTGCTTTGCACACAGAAGGAACGTGGTGGAGTGGGTTTACTGATTTGCAATCAATAAGGGAGTGATGCAGAAGATGAAAGTGCTATGATAATTTTGCTTTTTTACAACTTCATTTTCTATAGCTTTGAAAATGTAGATAACATTAAAGATTGATAATAACAAGCATGATAGTACTAACTGAACCAGGCATTTTTTTGGGGGGTGGGGGCTATACCACATTTTCTCTATTCATCAATTGATGAACATTTTGATTTTTTTCTACTGTTTTTTTGTGGGGGGAAGCTTAAAGTTATTTATTCATTCAGTTTATTTATTTTTTAAAAATTTACTTTAAGTTCTGGGATACATGTGGAGAATGTGCAGGCTTGTTACACAGGTATACATGTGCCATGGTGGTTTGCTGCACCTTTAACCCATCATCTAGGTTTTAAGTCCCTCATGCGTTAGGTATTTGTCCTAATGCTCTCCCTCCCCTTGCCCCCTCACCCCTTGACAGGCCCCAGTGTGTGATGCTGCCCTCCCTGTGTCCATGTGTTCTCATCGTTCAACTCCCACTTATGAGTGAGAACATGGGGTGTTTGGTTTTCTGTTCCTGTGTTAGTTTGCTGAGAATGATGGCTTCCAGCTTCATCCATGTCCCTGTAAAGGACATGAATTCATTCTTTTTTATGGCTGCATAGCATTCCATGCGAACCAGGCATGTTTCTAAGCCCTGTTCATATGTCATCTCATTTCATAGTCACAAATTTATGAGGTGGGTGCTCTTCCTAGCTCCATTTAACAGAAGAGAACACTGAGCCACAGTGCAGGAAAATAACTTCATCTAATAGAAGATGGCAGAACTGGGGTCTGAACCCAGGCTGACCTCAGGGTTTTAGAGTCTGGATCCTTAGCTACAAACGATGCTGACTCTTCTGCACTAACAAGAACACTAATGCCTACCATTTAGTGAGACATTTTTATGGACCAGGCACTGAGCTCTGTTAATTGTAACATACTGCTCATTACATAGTACTGCTTGCATTTGATTTAGAGACTGATGTTATTTACCCAAATCCAAGACAGCTGGTAAGTGGTGAAACTTGGCTTGAAATTCATTCTCTCAAATGTCTGTGCTGTTTCTACCATGCCACAGACAGGAAAAAAGACTGCCACATTAGGGCATATTGTGAACCTTTGCATAGGAACCAGCTAGAACAAGGATTTTACTCACCTTTCAAACAGATCCCAGGGTTTGTGGCTTAAGCACTACCTAGACAGTCCTGGGGTGTGGATATTTTCTTTAATGTGGGACAACCCCATCACTTGGCAAGGTCCATTGGGTGGCTGTTCCTGCATTTTGCAACTGTGGAAATCCTTGTCCAACTTGGAAAGGCTTTAACTGAAGCAACGATACAGGCTAATGTTCTTCTCCCCCTACCCAGGACCCAGGACCACTCAGGCACTCAGTTTACTTGGCAGACAGGTAAGGACATGGTGGCTCTGCAGTGGAGCACTGTGGGAACACAGACCTTTTCGAGTGGTTAGGCATCAGAGGAGGCTCCCTGAAGAAAGTGACATATAATCTGTGACATCATGAAAATGAGAGGAGTGAGCTTCGGGAAGGGGTCAGTGAGTAATATAGCTGAGGGAAAGGACTCTCCAGCCTGGGACCACCAAGAGGAAGGGACAATACCAAGTTACTGGTATTGTCTCTCAAGAAGCCAGCTCTGTGCAAAGCTGCAGGCAGGAAAGTGTGTGCTTTCTTCTTCCTCGGTTTTCCCTTAGGTGCCTTTAGCTCCTTGCAGGTTTGCCTTCTTACCTCTCCCATCTCAGACCTTGAGTCTGCTTCTTTCTTTATGGACCTGTGTTTCCAAAGCCTCTCTTTCCCAAGATGCAAGTGGTCAATAAGACCATAGATGTTCCTCCTTGCAGGGCAGGGTGCACAAAGCACACTAGACAATAGAGTATTAAGAGGATGAGCATCTCTTTTCATCCTGCCCTCTGCCACCTTAGCTTGCTTTCTCTCTTCTATCCCAGAGTGGGACACTGCCGCCCAACTCACTCCATTTCCTCCGAGGAAAGTCTAGCCTTGTGTTTCTTGCTGTTGCAGAGGTTAATTCATTTGCTCTAGTCTGTCTTATAGGCAACTCAAAAGACCTTCAGTTAGGGCAGGAGTTTTGGAGAGACTGGGAGGCCAAGGTGGTTCGGAGGTCAAGGCTGCAGCTGCCAAAGTATATCTGTGAGTATCCAGTAAACAGCTCTCCACAGTTCATGGAAAGTGTTCGTGCTGGTTACACCACCAAGGAGGGAGGTGACCTCAGGCATTTCCTCCAGCTCTCTGAAGCTCAGTTTCCTTCCTGCATCATACAGTTGTGCTGAGCCTCAAATGAAATAATAGATGTTGAAAGTGCTTCATAAATGGTAAAGCCCTGCGTGCATAGAGGACCATGTGTGATGCTGTCGTTGACTATGCATAGGTACTTTTTGAGTGGATCTCCTCAGACTGTGTTCCCCAAGATTGTTCATGGACTTGCGAATACAATCTAAGGAGGGGGCTCCAATGGTAGCTAAGAAGCAACTTCTGCCCATGCCCAGGGTTGGCCTAAACCATGAGCTGGAGAGTTGGGCCTTCCGACACTTCTTTCACCTGGACTATCCAAGAGACTAAGGCTGTGCAGGCATGAAGTCTGAATTCCTTCTCCCTGATGATTCTGAGAGCCCATCCATGCTTTATGCAGTGAAACCTTCCAGGGAGGATTTTATAATCAGCTGGTGCTATTATGTCACTCAGATACAAGCTCTTGTCACAGGTTTTTCTTCCTCAGGAGGGTTTCTCTGACCCCCTGTCTCAAGTGTGTGCCATGTTCCTCTTTTGTATCCTATTGCTTTGTGGCCCCCATCACAACTTGCATCTGTCTTATTTGTGTGTTTGCTCATTGGTTGCCACTGGTAGATATCTTCTTGGACAGAGGGACCATACTTGTCTTGTTCACTGATTATAGCCCTAATACCTAAAGGAGTGCATGGTACAGAGTCACTAACTTCATAAATATTTGCTAGATGAATAAAAGGAAGCCACAAAATTGTATAGCCAAGGAAGAAGGCAGAGAAGGAGAAAGCCTTCTCACCTCTGTCTGCCATATTGCATGAAGCACCCACCTGTGGGCACCCCCAAGGAGAAATGACCTGGGAGCACTGGCAGGGGAGAGGTGGGAAAGGAAGGGGAGGGGAGGGGAGGGGAGAGGAGGGGAGGGGCTGATTCAACCATGAGTGAATTTGAGGATTTGGCCACTGGTTCCTGAGCTTTAGAGGTCCTCAGGATATGATGGTATGAAGTGGTAGGTCCTTTAAGAGGTGATTAGGCTATGAGGGCTCCTCTTTGGTGAATGGGGCTAGGTGCCTTTATAAAGGGGCTTGACATTGGAGTTGTCCCTTTTTACCCTTCTGTCTTCTGCCATGTGAGGTGTAGCCCTCACCAGACACCAGATGCTGGTGCTTTGATCTTGGACTTCCAAACTCCAGAACAGTGAGAAATAAATCTGTGTTCTGTGTCAGTTACCCAGACTGTGGTATTTTGTTACAGCAGCACGAATGACTAAGACAGTCACACAGCTAGTAGATTTCAAAGCAAGAGTTTGAATCAGACCTTGACTTCCAGTCCAGGGTTTTCTCACTGCATCAAGCTTGCTGCCTCCAAAACCTTGGAGTAGAGAAGAATAAAGCTGCTTTAGCAGAAGGCTTAGAGATGGTCCTTGGTGTGTCTGAAAGTAGTTTCCTCATCGTGGAAATGTAGGCAACTGGCTAGTGGTTAGCACTGGAGTCCTTGGGCTAGCTCACTCCCTTTGACCTCATGTCTCCTGTGTGTGGGAGGGGACATATGTCTTAAGCTCGCCAGTCTCACACTAAATGGAATTTGAACAGATGTTTCAATGAGAAATACACAAAGGATGAGGATGTTATGCAATCGGAGGGAGTGCTAAAGATTAGAAATGAAATAATCTTATTGTTTTAAAGGAGAGAGATACTTTCAAGTTAGTGGCAAGAGACACATTAAAACAATGATGTTGAAGTCAGGGTGTCAGTGAACAGCAGGCAGATTTGCACTACACTCACTTCCTCCAAATGCTCTTCTCAAGTAATAATGTTGGAGAGGTGGGAAGACCTCTTCTGGACTGTAGGAAAGCATCATTTCTCAGAGATCCAGGGAAAGAGGAAAGGGGGGAATACATCTGTTTAATGCAGGGTGGCAAAGTAAGAGAATGGGTTACTTTCCTCAGCGGGTGGGAAACATAAGACATCTCTTATTGCCCAAGGCAATGCAGACTGAGATCTGCCTGGGTGGTTCATGAAGGATGAGAAGGGATGCTCAGAGGCTGGGTGGAGAGGAAAGCTCTGAGCAGAAGGCAGGTAGGGCGGAGGGTGGGGAGGTGCTCTGCTCCATACATCATCGGGGCCAAGAAAGCCTGTGCTTGACGTAGGTGGCAGGTCTTATGTGCTCCTTGTAAGGAAAAGATAGACATTCTGTTCCCCAGCCTGCCTGTCCAATTCACCTTCCTTCAATAATACTGAAAATTTAAAAACCAATATTAATTGAGCAATTTATACTACAAGGCATTTTATACACATTAGTTTATTGGCTCTTTATGAGATACTAATGTGGTGGATGTCATTGTCTTCCTCATTTTGTAGATTAGGAAACTGAGGGTAGGACAGGCCGAGTAACTTTCTGAAGATGCAGTTAGTGGGTGGCAGGGTGAAGACTTAAACCTCCACACTGGACTGTTGAACTACATGGCCTCAACGTGCCTAGACTCTAAGATCATCTCTTCACTAGCAGACAGCCTTGACTATTACACTGTTTCTCCTCTCTACTCATGCCCAGCCTGATTCACACTGGTGTTCCTTCCTGTCAATCTCCCTACATAATAGCCTGGGAGTCAGTTGGGGCGACGGTGCTGTCCTAGGTCCTGAACTTTGTTTTGTAAAACTTGAAGTGTGAGTGGGCATAAAAGGAAGGGTCTGAGTCACGTTTTAAGCTCATTTATAAAAAGCTCACAGCAGTTACATGCTTTATGTGGCATGGAATCACTGCTTTTTCAGGTAGTAACCAGTCCAGAAGCTCCCAGATAAATGTTCCACCCCAACTTTGTACTCCTCTGGGCTAAAAATGGTCCCAGGGGACTAGTTGAGTGCAACTGCTAGACCTCATCATAATAGCGTGGGTCAACACACAGTTTAACTTCCTGGAGCTCAATCCTCTGTCAGTTCTCATATGATTGATTATAACTGATGGGTTTTGTGGGGTTAGGGCAAACAAGGAAAATATTTCTATTTTCCAGTGGAGAAAAAAGACCATGACAAAGGATTTGTCTGATGTTAAATTACTTGTGTGTGATACCCAGGGTCATTCAACCTGGATTGAAAACTCTTTTGCTCTTCTATGTCATCTCCCCAAAGTAATTGCAGACAGTAATTAAGGAAAGAGGAAGGGAGAGAGAAAAAGAGGAAGTAAAGAGAGACAGAAAGAGGCAAAAGAAGAAGAGATGCAGGGAGGCCAGAAAATAAAAGGAAGAAAGGTGCAGATATGTTGGGGTGAGGGAAGAGAATGCTCTGACCATCTCCTCAAGTGTCTGTCACTCAGAGAATGAATTTTCATCAGCTTCATGAATATCAACGTTTCACTTGAGAACATAATCCCGTGGATATGCATTGTTCCCTATCTCCTATTTCAGTGGAAATCTGCATTAGGAGTGGTCAGTTGCTGTATCTTAACTACAAATTAAGAACCAAACTCTCTTCCTAATTCCATCATCCCTCAAGGTCCATGAATACTCCCCCACCCTCTTCTTTCCTCATTCTACTGCTATTCCAATACGCATCGTGGACTGCCTTGTGGTATACAGTATATGCCTTTCTTCTCCATTTCCTCTTGCATTACCTTTGAATGGCAGGGTTTTATCCTATTGTTGTTGATTCTCTGGCTTCCCATAGCACAAAGCACATAGGTTCACAAAGAAGGTACTCAGTTTTGTTTAAATGAATAACCGTTTCTAGTTGAAAATATTTTTAGGATGCATCTGGGACTTAATTTTATAAAAGTGAGATAGCCATGAATGAACCCAGTTACCTTATCTGACTCCTGGTTCAGTCTTTGTTCATTCCACTGCTCTGCAATCCATGCCAAAGCTCTGGGAAGCCCCTTGAGCCTGGAAGTCACTGATCAGGGTCTTCATGAAGGAAAGGACGGGTTCCCAGAACAGTGTTTTCAGTGTATTCTAGACTATGTTTACAGTAGCCAGACTTAAGAGTAGGTAGGCTCTTAAGAAAGAACAGAGAGGCACTGTGGGATTTTCCTGCACTAAAGCATGATTCTGCAGTCCACACAGCTACATCCCACTCCATGTCTATCCCTACAAGGTTAACAGACAGGAAAATTCCCATTTCTGGAACCCATCCATGAACCCAAGAAAGTCCAAGAAGGATGCTGCTGGGAAGAACTTATCCAAATGACTATAGTGTGTGAACCCAGAATCCTGGGAGATAAGCCATACTTCCACCTCCTACTTAGAGGAGAGGTAATAATTATAAACTCCTTTTTGGAAAAGAAAGGAGAGAGACAGCGATCGCTGGACTTTCTAAAAGTACTGGAACTTTTCTCCCAACAAAATAAAAAGACAGTATCTGGACAATATCTGGTCCTGGCCAGGTAGTTCCAGCCTCTGAATAATGAGGCTTTGCTAAAACATTCAAGTCCCAGTTAAAGAAGAGATGTGGAAGTTCAGTCTCAGGAATTCCAGATGGGAACTGGCCAGTGAGGACAAGAACAGCTCCACAGCAGTGTCAGACACATAGTGACTGAACATCTTCATGAAACCCCAGTTGCCTCTTGGGACACAGGTGCTGTGCTTACCTCTTTTATCAGGGTTTTCTGGCCCATGGTAAGGGCTAATGGTATTACATACCTGAGACCTGAAGCTCCTTTTCAGTCCTAACATCTCCAGCTCCTTAGAATAAGTCCCCTTCCCATGAGGAATCTGAGGGAGTGTGTGTCCTTCCCCTTCTCCCATCAGTGTGTTATTCGTGGCATCCCTGCTGAGTTGACCCTGATGTTCCAGCTCACTGTAAGCTACAAGGTCCTTGGATTAAGTTGTAAATAAACTTTCCATTCCTTTTTCTTGCAATACCCCCCACTTCTTTTCTGCCTGGGCCGATGCATGTGATTTGATAGATACTTTCCTACTCTATGCCTTCTATTCTCTGGCCAAGGCTAGGAATGCTGGTTTCACTTCTTAACAATAGGATCATGTCAAAACCTTGAGACAAGTCTCTTCTAAATGAGTTCAGTTCCCTGGGCTCCTACGATCAGGACAGAGAGGGCAGCATGGGAGGGATGCTTCACCTCCTCCTCATGATGAAAGAGCATTTCTCAAGGTGAAATTTTGCAGAGTGCTTTAAAAGTTTAGCAAAGATTGGGGCCATGGAGCTTTCACGGATACTAACAAACAGTCCACTAAGAGCTGTTTGATTTCTGCTCTGCACTTTGAGATTTCACACAGGACACTCTGGATTGCAGTGATTCACCTGCAAAGCCCATGAAGCCAGCCTTCCCTCTTCCTCCTCATATACAAGCACTTTCTTACCTGCCTACCCTCAGCAGAGGGCCAAAGGACTCATGGACCCTTCCAAGGTCATCAAGAAGTCATTTTATATACAACCCACTGCTTTTTGGTAATAACTCATGCATCCATCCCAGATAAGTGAGCATCTCCCCTAGGTTTAAAAATCGCCAGAAGGCATTGTGTTATTTTAGTTCTGCTTTTATTACATTGTGAACATTGGTACAAGGTTAAATACACACAGAGACAGACAGCAGAAGGCTGCAGAGAGCATACACATTAACACACTTGTACATAGAGAAGGAGTACAGAGAGACTGACAGAGCATACAAATACACATACAATACAGACAACAGCCACAGTAGCGCCGGCTACATCTGGTATACATTCCTATATGAAACAGCATAGGATACAGACAGCAGATGTCAATTGATAAACATCATCCATGAAAATCCAGCCATTTGTGTTACATTTGACGACAACAATATACAAAGCCTTATTACATCTCCAAGGGGCAAAAGGTCTAGGGAACCTCCAAGAGCTTTTCAGAACGGTCTCTGAGGCTGGTCTCTGAGGGCAGGAAGAAGCCAGCAATGACCACAAAGATAAAGAGGGGAGGAAACCGACTGTCAGGCTGAGAAGTGGGAACAACCAGCAGGAGTCAGTATGGACAATGGGACAGCATTTTTCAAGAATCTTAGTGACATCAAGACAATCAAAAGTGCTTCTCTGTGGCTGGGCGGGGCTCTGTCCAGACCCTCAGCCCCACCCCCACCTCCACTCTCCAGCCTTGCTGGAAATATCCAGAGATTGCAAATGACCGAAGGGGAGCCTGTTTTTGCTTCGTTTAAGTTATATTTGGTGGCTAAGTTTTCGCAGGCAGATAATAGGCAAAGGACGTCACCTCTGCATGGTAAGAACTGCCTTCAAAGCCTCTGTGCTGTCAGCCATGGGTTCTATTCCTGGCTCTGCAATCAGCTAGCTCAGCGATCTCAGTCAAGTCACTTAACCTCTCTGGGCCTCAGTTTCTTCATCTGTTATATGAGGACTAGATGACCTCTAGATGACCTCTAGAACCCTTGCAGCTCTTACAGAGGGAAATTCAGGTGAGTTTTACTAGCATCTTTTTCTGAAGGAGAAATAAAAGAAAAAGTACATGGTTGATCAAAGGTAATCCAGTTTTCCAACCATCCTTCTACCCCTACCCCACAGTAATCTCCAAAGACCCGACCCTGAAATTAATCAAGGAATTAGACAGCTTGAGACCCAGCTCTGTGCCCAAACCCATCCAAAAAGGCTGCCTACTGTTCTGTTCATGGCAGACTTCTGAGAATCAAGAGTAAACTACTGCATACAAAGGTGAGCATGACATTGCATTTGCTTTGCCAACCCCGGAACCCCACCCAGTGCCTGCCAAACAGGATATTTTTTATTATTTATTTATTTTTTTGAGACGGAGTCTCGCTCTGTCATCCAGGCTGGAGTGCGATGGCACGATCTCAGCTCACTGCAACCTCTGCCTCCTGGGTTCAAGCGATTCTCCTGCCCCAGCCTCCCGAGTAGCTGGGATTACAGGCACACACCACCATGCGTGGCTAATTTTTTTACTTTTAGTAGAGAAGGGGTTTCACCTTGTTGGTCAGGCTGGTCTCAAACTCCTGATCTAAGTGATCCACCTGTCTCGGCCTCCCAAAGTGCTGGGATTACGGCTGTGAGCCACTGCACCTGGCCGATGTTTTTAGTCTTTTTTTTTTTTTTTTTTTTTTTTGAGACGGAGTCTCGCTCTGTCGCCCAGGCTGGAGTCCAGTGGCGCGATCTCAGCTCACTGCAAGCTCCGCCTCCCGGGTTCACGCCATTCTCCTGCCTCAGCCTCCCGAGTAGCTGGGACTACAGGCGCCCGCTACCACGCCCGGCTAATTTTTTGTATTTTTAGTAGAGACGGGGTTTCACCGTGTTAGCCAGGATGGTCTCGATCTCCTGACCTCGTGATCCGCCCGCCTCGGCCTCCCAAAGTGCTGGGATTACAGGCGTGAGCCACCGCGCCCGGCCTGTTTTTAGTCTTAACCCTCTGCAATGGTATATGGCAGTGTGGTTAGACTGAATTTCTGTGGGTATGAGTTTCAAACATTTCAGCCTTTCTCTTTGTTCCTAAAGCCCAGGTAGAGGAACCTCAAATAAACCCAAAGTTGAAAAAGGGAAAAACAAAGGAATTTGTTATCAAGGAATTGTCCCCTTCCTAGCAAAGCATTTGCCAGAGGATACAGTAATACCTCCACCATCTCTGTCCATCTCTCCTGCCCTTTTCTCTCCTTTTCCACTATATTAGGAGAGAGAACAAGAGCTCTCTTGTCCTTGTCTATCTGCAGGCAGGGTACCACTGGCACCCTGGGGAGTGTGTCACCGGAGGCTCTTTTTCTCTAAATATCTCTGGGTGGCAGCACTCATATCTCTCTTTCTCTCTCTGTCTCTCTCTCTCTCTGTCTTCTCTGTTGCCCATGCTCAAGAAGCACCACTTTGTGGCCATCTGAATTCTCATCGCTCCATGTCTTTTCTCATTGCTGGCCTCTAGCACCTATGGAGGCCCAACTGCCTGCCCAGCAGCCTCCCATTCCTAGAAATGGGATTAAGTCATGCCTTGGTCTTTTCTTCTAGTACTAAAAAAACCTCCTTAATTCCTGTAATTGGTTTTAGCCACTTCATAATCTTTGTTGTCTTGAAAATAGCATCTGTTTGCTTGGCTCTCCAGCAGCACTTTGGTCTATATACTTTTAAAAATTTGTTGGACACCTGTAATCCCAGCACTTTGGGAGGCTGAGGCGGGTGGATCACCTGAGGTCAGGAGTTCGTGACCAGCCTGACCAACATGGTGAAACCCCATCTCTACTAAAAATACAAAATTAGCTGGGCGTGGTGGCGGATACCTGTAATCCCAGCTACTCCGGAGGCTGAGGCAGGAGAATTGCTTGAACCTGGGAGGCGGAGGTTGCAGGGAGCTGAGATTGTGCCATTGCACTCCAGCCTCGGCAACAAGAGCAAAACTCCATCTCAAAAAAAAAAAAAATGTGTTGGAAGCATTAGAGATTAATAATTAAGCACCTGGCCTCTGAAGTCAAACAGATCTGAGTTCAAGTCCACTTACAGGCTATGTATTCATGGCAAGTTGCTTAGTTTTGCTGAGCTGCAGTTTCATGTGTAAGAAGGGACTCATGACACCACTTACAGCACTTGTAAAGACTGAATGGGGTCCTACATGCAAAGTGCTTACCACAGTACCTGGCACACTATGCTTTGGGAAAAAACAACCTTTCTGCCTTGCCTTCCAGTTTCCCTGTAGACCCAAGTATAATCCATAATCCATCTATGTCCAATAGCACTTTCTGAGATGATGGGAATTGCAACACACCAGCCACCAACCACAGGTAGCTACTGACTACTCAAAATGTGGCTGATGCAACTCAGAAAATGAATTTTTAATGGGATTTCATTTGAATTAATTTAAATTTAAACAGCCACATGTTCCTAGTGGCTACCGTATTTGTTAGCGGAGATTGCTTTCTCTATGGATGTATCTTGGCCTTTTGAACAAACCAGGAAAACTATGGTTTAAAACGTGGCCTGGACTGGAGGTCCCCACTTGACACTACCATGGAACCTTGAGCAAGTCAGTTCACTCCTGCGCCTCAGTTTCCTCACCTACAAAATTGAGAAGTTGACCAGTATTCCAAGACCTCTTCCATCCAGGGCAGCTTTATATGAGTACACAGGCCATGCACAGCACTTTTGCAGGCAGGTGGCACCATTTACAGAGACTGCAATGGGAAGGGCATCATTGGAGTTGTGCAACCTCATAATCTGGCTTCCATCTCTAAACATTCTGGGGCACCACGACGCTGCTTTTCCAAACTGCCTCTTCTGACACCTCCCGTAAGTGAGAAGGGGCTTCCAGGCCATATCAGAATGCAATCTGTGAGGAGACTGAGGATGGAGAGCAGCAGGGAAGGAGTGCATACATATGGCAGGAGGTCAGATTCCCTTGGCCAGGGTGTGCCCGTCTGAATTCTCTTCACTCCATGTCTTTTCTCATCTCTGGCCTCTGCCTGGGTCCCTGCCCAACTGTCTGCTTTGGTCTCAGGCTCCACAGGCTGATGCTCATAGCCATTATTTAAGAGGGACAAGGCCAGGCACGATGGCTCATACCTGTAATTCCAGCAGTTTGGGAGGCCAAGGCAGGTGGATCACTTGAGGCCAGGAATTTGAGATCAGCCTGGGTAATAAGGTGAAACCCCATCTTTACTAGGAATACAAAAATTAGCTGGGTGTGGTGGCACACACCTGTAATCTTAGCCACTCAGAAGGCTGAGGCAGGAGAATCACTTGAACCTGGAAGGCGGAGGTTGCAGTGAGCTGAGATTGCACCAGTGCATTCCAGCCTGGGCAACAGAGTGAGACTCTGTCTCAAACAACAACAACAACAACAAAAAAAAAAAAAAAAAGAAAGAAAAAGAATAGATTTCAAATTACTTAAAAGAAATAAAAAACAAAAAAGAGGGACTAATGTAAAGCATTGCTCCCCTATTAAAGTTCTGAATGAGTGAGTGTACATGAAGTCTTAGTATCCATTAACACTTTAGCATAAAGTAGCCTATTCTAAAGTGCTAACTAGCTGGGAGTTGTTTTGCTAAGGAAGAGAGATATTTGGAGCCTGTCACTGGCTTGAGATGGGAGACTTAGGTGGGACAGGTGGGGGAAGAAAGCAGAGGTTGTGTGTGTGTTTGTGAGGTTCCATGAAGAGGTGCTTCATAGAGGATAAAACGTCCTGAAAGGGGATAATGGTGCTTTATAGTCCACTCCCCAAGTGGCGTCATTCTGCTCAATGCTAGCCTTGCATGAGGAGGGAAGATGCTTCTTGGACAGCAATGCCACTGCCACCCCGTCATCTCAGTGTCAGATCTTGCCTCTCCCAATTCAGTGAGGCACTGAATTCTGGCCCTGGTGAACTTCCTGCCCCAGGGTAGTTCTAGGGCTTGCATCCTTGCCCTTCTTTTCAGAAGCTAAGCTTCAGTGGGCTGGGTGCTCATCATGCATCCTTAGAAGCCAGTCCACGTGCTGAGGGTGCAGCCCAGCCCAATCTCTGAAGGCTCATAAGGTGCCCTTGTCACAGCAAGGTGGTGTGACTGCAGCTTCCACCTCTGCCTCGCTCTTTCCCTTTTAATAATAATAATGACAATAAAGTAGCAAAAACAAACACTTACTGAGTGAGGACTCTATGCCAGGCACTGTGTGCTAAGCACTTTCTATCCATCACCTCACCAAATCATCAAGCAAATCCTTCGTTGTTATGGGGATACAGGCTCAGAGAAGGATAGTAGGTCCTACAAGTCCACAGCCTTTATTACACGTTTGAGCTGCTAGTCCAGCCCAGGTCTTTCTGGCTCCACAGTCCAAGCCCTTCCCTTCTCCTCCTATCCGCCCCCTTCTTCTCTTCTCTTTACTTCCCTTCTTTTTATTATTATTGTTTATTGATATATAACAGTTGCCCATATTTGAGGGTTACATGTGGTATTTGGATACATGGACATAATGTGTAATGATCAAACCAGGGCAATTGGGATGTCCATCCCCTTAAACATTCAGCCCCTTTTTATGTTGGGAACATTCCAATTCCTCTCCTCCAGTTATTTTGAACTGTACAACAAATTATTAACTATAGTCACCCCACTGTATTATTGAACACTAGTTCATATTCCTTCGATGTAACTCTTTACTTCCCTTCTCTCTTAAAGGACATCTTAGAAGACAGATTCAAGCTCTGTCCTCAGGAAGACAGATACTCATACCAATGATTCTGAGTGTGAGATCAGTAGGATATGGATGTGTCCAAGATGTTTGGGGATGGAGGAGGAGGAAGGACTAGCTCAGGGAAGGTGCAAGATACATCAGGAGTGAACACTCTACAAAGGACTTTCCCTTGAACTGAGTCTTAATCATGGAGACAACATCCCTGTTTATCCTGAGAGCCTCTGCTTCCCCAGTATCTCCCACCTGTGGATTCTATTGAGGTAGGAAGAAAACAGGAAGAGGAAGAGCAATGAGCTTCTAAGCTAGAACTAATTAACATTCCCCCAGTTCCCACTCCTTTCTTCTCTTTCTTCCAAAAACACTGTATTTATTAAGCACTTACTGGGAGCTGGGGGATGAATATATAAAGAAAGAGAACCCAATACCTGCTCTCAAGGTCTCACCTCCAAGCCAGGAGTAGGTATAGCCATGACTTGTACTGTCAATCAGCAAGAGAGGAATGGGCTTTAACAACTCAAATGGAGTGCTCTGCAAGCCTGGGGGGTGAGGAGGTGTCTGAGCCAGTATTGAGGAATGGATGTCGTAGGATGCGAGAGACAGAGAAGGCCAGGAGGAAGCCCTTAGAGGCAGAAGGAATGGAAATAAAGGTGGCTGCTGGAAAGATCTTATGAGGAGTGAGAAGCTTAACCCATGTATGGAGAGCCCAAGGTTGTGGGAAACAAGACTGGTGACAATTTATGGCCAGCTTTGGGGTCAAGGAAAAGATTTTGAACAAATGTTTGCTAGGGTATGATTGATCCCTGAAGTGGCATTTCTCATTGCTGTGTTCAAGAACATTCGTCTAAAGTGTCGAGGAGGGAGGCCTTTCTCATTCTCAACACGGTCTCAGACCCCATGACTGATGCCCTTTAACCACAGCCAGTGTCTTGTGCTTGGATGGTTGTAGTAGTCTATTCAGTGGTCCTCCCGTTTTCAACTGGATCCTGCCACAGCCCCTCTTTCTCCTCACAGCAGTCAGAGTGATTATTTTAACCCATAAATCAGATCACTTCCCTTCCCTCCCCCAGGTTTGATGAAAATCACGGCACTTGAAAATGATAGCGGAGACACCAGAATTTCTAGAAGCAATCTCAGAACACAAGCCAGGCTGGTCCCCCATGATTGCAGGTTCCTCATTCCTCATCCATTTATTTGGCCCATGACACTGTCTTGTCTTCTCCTTTCCCCAGGTCAAGGCTTCAGGGTGTCTCCTAGCAGAGCTGGTCCTCAGGAGAGAATCTACAGGGGCCCAGGACATGGTTCTGGGGGTCCCCCCACTACAGTGTGTAGCTCAGTGTCCAAACTTATGGGAGGCAGCATGCAAACTGAATCTGGTCTGCAAAGGGATTTCTTTGGCTGCCATTGTTTTAAAACTTGGGAAAATCTGTGTGAAATCTGGATTCCTATCTTCTCTTGAAAAATGAAAAAATGTAGTCACATAGGATCTGCATTCCCACATGGAAATGTTTGCAGGAATCTCAATAATTGGCTCCTTTAGCTGGGGCCGTGCTTTCCAGTTTGCCACAGTGCCCACCACTTCTCATTGTTTCCTACCTATCCCACTTCTATCCCATTCTTTTTTTTTTTTTTCTTTTTTTTTGAGATGGAGTCTCGCACTGTCACCTGGGCTAGATTGCAGTGGCGCGATCTTGGCTCACTGCAACCTCCGCCTCCCAGGTTCAAGTGATTCTCCTGCCTCAGCCTCCCGAGTAGCTGGGATTACAGGCGCCTGCCACCAGGCCCAGCTAATTTTTTGTATTTTTAGTAGAGATGGGGTTTCACCATGTTGGCCAGGCTGGTCTCGAACTCCTGACCTCGTGATTCACCCGCCTCAGCCTCCCAAAGTGTTGGGATTACAGGCGTGAGCCACCGTACCCGGCCCCCACTTCTATCCCGTTCTATGCCTAGCCCTTGTAGGCACTGTAAACCCTAAGCTTCACAGTTTCTAACATCTCTTTCAGCCCACCGTGTTATTTTTAGCCTACAGTAAATTTTAATCAAGATGGCAGCACTTGGAGAGTTTGCTTTGAAGTCTCACCTGTGGTGGATGGAAGGGTGTTAAAGAAGTTTTGGGAGGCAGAAAATTGGTTGGAGGAAAACCATGTGAGAGAATGAACACTCTCCTGTGGACCTGGAAATCTCACCAGGTTGGACACCCTTGTTTGACTAATGGGGAGGCCCCACTGGTTCCTAGGAGATTACACCTGGCAAATCTCAAGTGTAGTTGCAAGTAGACTCTGGGTACTAAGACAGCAGGCACCGTATTGTGTCTGGTACAGAGTAGGCCATCATTAATCTGTTGTGTGATGGATGGATGGATGGATGGATGGATGGATGGATGGATGAATGGATAAATAGAAGGATGGGCCAGACAAGAAAGAACTGCTCTGGGAGAGGTCATTTTGGGACTTCTCCAGATGCAGACAGCCTGGATAATTGACGCTTCTTTCCCTCAGCTTCTAACTGTGTGATTTAGAAGTCTGGCCTGCAGCCAAAACAGCACAACTGTTACACATTCCATAGATAAATCAACTCCCTGATGGTTTGAAACTAAGGGGACCTACAGAATGTTAGCCCATAATATATGAGCTAGCACGCCCACTTAGTTCTCAGAGGGATGGCAGGGTGGCCGGCCTGTTTCAGGAACAGCAGGAAGATGCCTTGCATCCTTGCAGTCTGACTGTTTTCATGTCACTGCCAGGCTGGGACATATCTAGGGGATGGACTGGTAGGCAGCCACCCTAAGAGGAACCTTGAAAGAAACCCTGGACACAGGGCTTGTCTTTGCAAAATTCTGCCAGCCAGCATTGCAACAAACAGAAGGAGCACATGTGTGCTCAGAGCACACCTGGGCCAGCCATGCCCCTCTGCATGGGCTGGCCTCCTCTTCCCTCCCTCTCCCCTGGTCACCTGTCCAGTGTCCCCAGTTCTTTTGGCTTCTGTGGACTTGTTTTCATCTGGCCCCCATGCTAGAGAACACAGCCCACAAATGCAGCTTAGTCTATGAACCCCAGGAAAGGTGAGAAGGAAGGAGAGAGGAAAAAACAGAGCAGTGCTAGGTGGAGCAGTCAGCTTGCCCAAAGTCACACAGCAGCTACGTAGTGGAGCCTGGGTCTCTCCAACTCTAGGGCTCAGGCTGTTTGATGAATAGACACCAAAGAGTTGGCAGTGGGCAAGATGCTTTCACCCCGAGGTTTGGGTCTATCCCAGATAGAGCTCTGAGAAATCTACTGGGGCAGGATGATCAGCTTATTCCACCTTGCTCAGGCCTTTCCTGGTTTTTGCCCTGGAAGTCCCATGTCTCAGGAAACCCCACATGACTGGGCGGATGTAGCCTGGTCGGCCATTGTCATCAGGAGGTAGGTCATCCTCAGGCTCGTGGTCCTGTTTGGCTGTACTGTGATGGGCAGTTTGAACAATATTAATGGCTGGCTCCCGACTCCAGACATTTTGATGTAATTGGTCCAGGATTCAACCTGGGAACTGAATTTTAAAAGCTTCCCAGGCGATTCTAATGCACAGCCAACATTGAGAACTGCTCCACCTGAGGAATCGAGCCTGGCACTGTCACCGGGTTAACCCATCACCTGGGTAGCTTTGTCCATGTCCCTCCAACAATTTCCTTCCAAAATAAGCAGAAACTCCTCAGCCTGGCAGCCAAGAGCTTTCCCCTGATGGCTCCAGCCTAATTTTAAAGCCCTATCTTTCCTCAGTTCTGTTATGTTTTCACTCTATTCCAGATAAACTCCCTGTTATTTTGGGGAATTAACCCTAGGAGTTCTAATGCAAGAGGTCCCTAGACTTGGTGCAACTGTTTTCACAATCCCTTTCTGAGGCTCCCTGTTCACTGGAAGTTCTGTGGGTGTGCAGAGGTGCACTGCGGAGGACATTCACTTTTAGCTAATATAATAGCACATTACACCTCTGAGCACCCTAGGTGATAAGTAACAAACAATTCAGAAAACAGAGACCAGGGAATGGAGGGCTAGGTTCGGGCAGCAAGCCACATGTGGGAAGAGGTCTGGGCCAAGGACATTAACAGCAGAGGAGAGCTGGGGCAGATGAGAGTCTTTAAGGCAGGGGATGCTAATGAAATAGGAAGAGAGTGGCAGGGATGAGGGGGCTATCAGGGAAGCTGGGGTGGGGAGGAAAACCCTCTGCTCCTATCCCTGTTTGGCTCTGCCTGAGATAAGTCCCTGAGTCCTGCTGAGCATATGGACTGGGAGCCTGCTGGGAAGACACAGAAGCCCCCTGCTAAGCCACAGTCTCAAATAACAATGTGAATGAGGACTGCCTTATGCTTGCAGAGCCTGACTTAATTGGTATTTCTCCTAATTATCAGATTTAATCACCACCTCTCCAGTGAAATAATTTTTGACTCAAATGAGAGATTAGTATAAAGAAAGAACAAGTCAAAAAAAAAATAGAAGGGAGAACAGAATTTAGTTAGAGTTTTCATTTTAAAATGACTTTGTGCGTGTACAAATTGTACACAAAACATTTCCTTTTCCATTCTATCCATCCGACAGGAGTCAAAATGCCAGGGTTTCCAAGGAGACCCCTACCCTTGTCAGCTCTGTAGAGTTGGAAGAGAAGCCCAGGGGCTCTGAGGTTGCTGAGGCTGGGAATCCCCAAATGGCTCTCGTTCTTTGATGCCTTGTATACGGTACCCCTTGGGCCTGGCAACTCTGCTGAAGGGTCCAGAGGAGACTCACAAAGGTTTTGGTAGATGGTGTGTGTATGTGTGTGTGTGTGTGCGCGCGCACGCGTGTATCCACATGGTACCAAAAAACAAGTAGGAGTTGCATTATTGGCCTGGCACAGTGGCTCATGCCTGTAATCCCAGAGCTTTGGGAGGTCGAGGTGGGCGGATTACTTGACATCAGGAGTTCGAGACCAGCCTGACCAACATAATGAAACCCTGTCTCTACTAAAAATACAAAAATTAGCTGAGCGTGGTGGCATGCACCTGTAATCCCAGCTACTCCAGAGACTGAGGCAGGAGAATTGCTTGAACTCCGTGGTGGATACTGCAGTGAGCTGAGATGGCACCACTGCACTCCAGCCTGGGTGACAGAGCGAGACTCTGTCTCAAACAGAAAAAAAGAAAAGAAAAAAAAAGGAGTTGCATTATTTCCTTTTAGGAGTCCTATTTGGCTAAGTGGTCACAGTTGTCAGGAGGTGGTCCTGCTATATAAATGAGGGAGGTCCTCTGGACTCACAGCAATCATTAGCCAAAACATTAGCCAGAACATTCCTTATCTCCATGGAAAAGTTGGATAAATGTTAGTGTTGAGGCGATCAGGGAATGGTTCCCCACCTGCAAGAAGACACCTAGTGACAAATGGCCAATCTCCAAGTTCCCTTGCTACTGACGCTGAGATTCTGTGATCCAGGCTGGCAGGACAGACAGACTGTGGGACAGGGGAGGGGAAGAGAGGAGCAGAAGCCTGTGAAGAAAGTGTACTGTGTGGGACAGTAAACAAGCAACATGATGAGAGGGAGGAGAAGTGGGGATTGGGGCTTGGGAACCCTAAGACTTCTTGAGCATGAAGAGAGCCTGTGCTAGGGTCTGAGTTCAGGAGTGGTGCATGCAGGGCACTGGGCTTCAGGGAGGAGGTTGCAGTTGCCTTAACCTACCATCAGGATGCCAACACTTGATGCACACAGTAGTGCGTGCAAGGAGGAAGGGGTAGAGAGGAGACATAAGTGTTCACTGAGCCCTCACCATGCACCATGATGTGTAAGACACTTTCATGCATTTACTCCCTACAACAACCTTGAGAAGAATCCATCATCATCCTAATTTTATGATTGACAACATTCATAAAATTGGGGGCTTAGAGAAATTAAATGATTTACACATAGTAAATATTGACTGCTGGTAAAAGGAGAGCTGAGACTTAAACTCAAGTCAGTATGATTTCTAAACCAGCCCATTCTCTACCGAATCACCAAGGCTTGGGTAGCTTGCTGGTCAATGCAATAGTGGTCTTTATGAGTCAGGGTTAGGGTTCATTCAGCTTAAAGCTGTTGTAACTACTGATGCTATTGAGCCTAGATTGAACACTAAGAGGCTGAATATTTTGGAGCCTGTACCCTCAACCCTCTGTGGCCTTTTAGCACTTCATCCTCCTCATCCTTCTTTGACTGGGTGTTCCTGGAAAGCTCAAGAGGAACATAAAGATCCAACAGGAGACTCCTCCCCCACCGCATTCCACCCAAGACTCTGCTCACATCACACTTCACTTTTCAAAAACCTTCACCAGCGGCTGGGCATGGTGGCTCACGCCTGTAATCCCAGCACTTTGGGAGGCCAAGGAGGGTGGATCATGAGGTCAAGAGATCGAGACCATCCTGACCAACATGGAGAAACCCTGTCTCTACTAAAAATACAAAACTTGCTGGGTGTGGTGGTGCATGCCTGTAATCCCAGCTACTCAGGAGGCTGAGGCAGGAGAATTGCTTGAACTCGGGAGGTGGAGGTTGTAGTTAGCAGAGATCGCACCATTGCACTCCAGCCTGGGCGACAGAGGGAGACTCTGTCTCAAAAAAAAAAAAAAAAAAACACTTCACCAGCTTCCCTTTCAGTACACAACACACTGGACCAAATTTTCTAATTTCTGAGTTGGTATTTAAGTCCCTATGCATATGGCCTCAATGGGCTCTTCCAGGCCTTTTGTCCATTACTCCTCCATAGTCCAACCTAAAGGGATACCTCTGGGGCTGCTTTCCTCCTAGTTCCATTTACTTGAAATTCTTTCCACAGATGCTTGGGTGGCTGAGGTGGGAGGATGGCTTGAGGCCAGGAGTTCGAGACCAGCCTGGGTAACAACATAGTGAGACCCCCGTCTCCACAAAAATTAAAAAAGTTAGCTGGCATGGTGACACTCGCTTGTAGTCCCAGCTACTTGGGAAGCTGAGGCAAGAGGATTGCTTGAACCTGTGAGTTGAAGGCTGCAGTGGGCCGTGATTGTCCCTCCCACCGCCCACTGCATTACAGCCTAGGTAACAGAGAGAAACCTTGTCTCTTAAAAAAAAATTCTTTCCCTCTCTAGACCCAACTCTTATTGGCAAAATCCCTGCTCGAGGCCATTATTTCCATGAATGCTTTCCTGGTCCGTTCTGTTGACAATATGACTCCCCTCCAGGTCATTCAGTGAGTTACAGAGCTGGGCCTGCCCTACAGAAACCCCACTTCCCTGGCCCCTAGTCCAGACTTCTTCTAGAGAATCTTGACGTTGGAGATGCCCCTAACCCGACACTGACACTGGGCTGAAGGGGCTCCAAAGGAACTCCGGCTATTGAAGGGTCTCATTTCCTCCTTCTGTGGTCAGGGAGGCTGAGATTGGGCAAGAGCCCTGAATTTGCCTCCTAGATCTGTGCTTGCCCTGTTGGCCCTGGGCATGGCCCAGATAGGGCTTGCTGCATTCCTCACAAAGCCCCTGGAAAGACCCTTTCTCTTCATTGAGTCATCAGTCAGATGGGCAAAAGGTCATTAAACTTCAACATCTCCTATAGATGAGCATTCCTCCCTGGGCCTCTTAGCCCCATACAGGGACTCCTTTCAACACACACCCCTCCCTTTACACACAATCTGGAGGAAACAAGACCAGAAACACCAAGGAAGGCCTCTGGCTCAGGTCTGACCACCACGGCTGGGAGCCAGCCTGCCCTTCCTCCTTCCTGCAGTGAATATGGATCCGAAGTCACCACCGGCTGCACTTCTCCAGAACGTAGTAGCGCATGTGGGCTCAGAGACCGCTGGAGCAGAGTGTGAATAATGGGAACTGCTTCTGACTTAATTAGACTCACATTAAAATCGCACTCCCTGAAGCTTGCAAAGGCATCAGGGAGGCCTCATTCCTCCCTGCTCGGTGACCTGGAATGCTCTTCTCATTCCAAACACCTCCTGTTTCATCGGCAGGAGAATTCTGTCCCCTTTGTCTCCATGTCCCTTCTTGCTCCCTGCTTCTCCTTCATTTTTCCTCTTCTCTTACTCCCTCTCAGTGTCTGCAATTGGACTTTATGTCACCGCCTCCACCGTTGTGATTATTCACCACTCTGCTCTGCTCCTCTCCCCAACTTTTGCCTCCACCTTCTCGGGTACTCTGCAGCCCCACGCTATGCATCTACAAGGTCTCTCTACCCAGGAACTATGAGCGCAGGCCAATGCCTTGGCATCCTCTGGTCATGGGAAGACCTGGAGAGGCTGGCAAGAAGGGATGTCCTTCTCCCCTGACTCTTGTATCCAGGCCTGTATATTTCTGACCTTTCTGACAAAGAGGAAATAATGGTAATGACTGATTTCATTTGCCTGTAGCTGAGGACAGAAAAAAAGGCCATTAGGAGCTATGGATGGAAACCCCTATTCTTTGAATGCTCCTAAGCCAGGATTTCTCAGCCTGGGCAGTACTGACATTTGGGGCTGCATAATTCTTTGCTGTGTGTGTGATGGTGGTTGGGGAAGGGGGGAATTGCTCTGTGCATTGTAGGATGTTTAGCAACATTCTTGACTTTTACCCACTAGTTGCCAGTAAACTGACATCATCCCCAAGTTGGGATGATCAAAAACATCTTCATACATTGCCAAAGGTTCTCTGGGGTGCAAAACTGGCCCCCGGTTGAAAACTGCTGTTTAAGTAAGCTTGGCTTCTCATTTGAGCATCTGTGTGGTTTCAACAGAAACATGCTGGCCTTGGTCTTCAGGTCCTGGATCTGCCACTTCCCTCTGCCTACCCTTCAGCTCTCCTACCCTTATGTTCTCTGAGTTGGGTTTTTTCATTCTGCAAATGGGGCAGTTGCCTACTTCACAGGATTAATGCAAAGGACATATGAGATACAAACTATAAAGCACCACATAATATTACATAAAATATATTTCAGCACTCTAATATAATTACTGGGTGCAAATAAGACTAAAGCTAGACACTCAAGGGAGAGTTAATGTTAAGTGTTGATGGAAAAGGTCATGTCAGATGCTCAGTGGACTAGATTGGGAGATTTGCAAAAAATAGATAAAAGGGAAGAAGGGACCCAGCAGTCAGGATGGCAAAAGGAGAACAACATGAAAGCAGAAGAGAAAGATTTTCATAAAATTGGGGCCCCGAGAAGCACTGTGGCTAAGATGCTGACCATTGGTCTGGGGTGGTCTTCTCCCTAAACAAAGGGAATAATTTGAGGAGTCAAATAAGGGCTCTGTAACCCAGAGTTAAAGAGGAAGGATGGCTAGACTGCGGTGAAGGGGATGACCAGAAAGATTTTGGAGACATCTTGCCTAGCCTAGAAGAGAGAATCTAGACAAGGAGGCTCCAAACTAGGAGTTGACATACCCCCAATTGAGAAAAGACAGCTTCAGAAACAGACTCATCAGGGAGCAGCGTGGACTCCCCAGCATTTCCCCAGCATCTCCCATTTTATCCCCTGGGCATAGTACCCTGATTTTTCTTTGAGGAACCATCCATTTGCCATTCTCTGGCCATGTGGCTTCAGAAGTGAATATGACTATCACATCCTCTAGGTTGCAGCAACAGATTCAGGGATGAGCATATAATTCAAGTGCGTCCATCAGAACCAATGAGCATTAGCCCTGGGGCTTCTGCCTGAATTACTGGAAAGGATGCACACTCTTTTTGTTAAGGTTGCTGATTTGGAAAGATGGATGTAGAGGAATCTGTCTGATAAGGACACCAACAGAGAACAAAGCAGAACAAGAGATGGACAGAAATAGATCAGTGATGACATCATCTGTGCACCTGGATCTAACCATGCCTGAAGCCCAGTACTCCAAGCATTTGTAGTAAAACGAGGCCATAAATTCCACGAAAAAATAATGTTTTTTCTGCTTAGTCCAGTTTGAGTTGATCTTGTGAAGCTGAAAGAGTCCTTAGTAATATAAGTAGGCAGAATAGTGAAACAGCAAAAAGCCTGGCCAAGAAACTAGTAATTCTAATCTTTACTGTGGGTAGCCATCTCACCTCTTTGGGTTTCAGCTTTTGCTCATCTATAATACAAGGATGTTGAACAATATGGTGTTAAAGGACCCTCCATACCAGTGAGTGTGATGATTCTGACCACTCTATGACCAATAATTCCTGCCTATAAATAGTGCACACCGAGATTTCTCAGGGCCAATTCGCAGACACTATTCAGCTATTCAGTGTGGCTTTTAGTTATCTATTTGTCCCGACAGCTGAGGGCTCACAGGGCTGGCCTTGGACAAAACTATCAAGTCAGGGAAGTTTGGCTCCGTTGGAAACGTAATGCTCCTTGGGTGTTATAACACTCTTGGTTCTTCATCCCACTGCTCCTGAACCCCATCCGACACAATAAAAACCCAGGATATCAGACTTTTGACCTTTAGTCTGAATGGGATTTAAATGGGTTTTTGCCTTTCAAGGCAACTTGGGCAAACATTTGGCCAGGCTCCTAATAATCTTCACTGAGAGGCACTTTACGGCCCTCACGGAAGCTGGCCTGAAGGTGAATTGTCACCAGTGACTTGCCTTCAAGAAGGGTCACATCCCTAAGACTTAGACTCCAGGTTCTCGGGAGGGGGCAATGCAAGCTAATTTCATTCCAAGCTGGAACTCAAAAGAGATTGACAGACTGGAGAGGATATTTACAAAAGGGTCCTGGCAGTAGCAAATTGCTAAATTGAAATGTTTCCAGTCTTCTAAAGAGTCAGGGGCATTAGTACACTTTAGCTGAGGCTAATCCTATTATTTGGAACTCTATCAGTACATTCCTCCGGCTTGAGCCTAATCTCAGGGGAGGATTACTGCAGGGGGCTGTTTTTCATGCTTTCAGGATGTTTCCTGGGTACATGGCTAGATAGGATAATACTGCAGCAGGTCTGACTCTTGTCCCCACTTTCCGCCCAACCAAACCCCACAACATTCTCTGGGAACAGTTTATGGCCAGTTATGACAAGCTAGTGTGAAAGTCTATTTTGCAAGTAATGAAAAATAACAATTGAGATATACTTTCCACCCTAACTTTCAGGCTTTAGGTGGCGCATTCAGTGGCCCATTCCCCTGGATGCCTGATGCAGGAGGAGAGAATCTTGCAACACCTAGGATACTTATTCAGTCTCTTTGGGGCTGTCAGGTGCCATGGCTCTTGATGCCCCTCGACGGTGGACATGGTGATGGTCTCCTGTGCTGAAGCAAGCCCATGCACGTGTGTGAACAGGGGTGCCTGTGTTTCCTCTAGATCAGGGGCTAGTAAATGTTTTTCTGTAAAGGGCCGGGGAGTAAATATCTTAGATTGTAAGTTCTCTGCTGCAACGATTCAACTTTGCCATGATAGCTTGAAAGTGACCATGGACAACACATACATGAATGACGTGGTTGTGTTCTAACAAAATGTTATTTATGAAAGCAGGTGGCACCGGATTTGGCCCCCAGGCCTCGCTGGCAGACCCCCGGGCTAGACACCAACTGTGCTGAGTGAGCTGGTTTACCAGTGTAAACTTAGTAGTGACAGTCTGCCTATTTCTTTCGCGCTCCTTCTGTAGTGGGTGTTGGATAGCTAGTCTCTTGGGAAAGTCTGAGGACAGCTGGTGACAACAAAGGGAGTGGATGAAATGGCTCCTTGAGATTATTCCTAGTGCCCAGATGCTGGGGTGCAGGAAAGATGAAGGATGACGGAAAACTCTTCCTCAGCATGTCTATTTATGGTCTCACCTTGGGTGGTGTCTCCACTGGTGAGGAAAGGCACTTAAGGATAACATGCACAGCCCAACGCAGGGCTGAAGTCTCTGACCGCCCATTTGTCAATTCTGCTGGTTGCGTCATTCTGTGGCCTATATTTCACTTATTCAACTCCTTGCTCTTCTCCTTAGCATAGTACTTTGCATATTTACGGTGGCTGTGTTTCATAACTATTTGTTGACTATCTGCCAACTATGTGCCAAGCCTTGTGCTAGCATTGTCATTCAGAGCAAAGAGACCCGGGTCCCTGGCCCCGGAGGGCTCACAGTGCAAAAAGAAAAACAAACCATTACAGTACAATGTGTTAAGTGTTGTGACAGTGGTGGGCAAATGGTGCTTTTGAATGACAAGCTCCAGGGCAGGCTGGGAAGGGGAGTAACCCCAAGGCCCCAACTCTTTCAGGGACAGAATTCCAGAGCACACAGCGCCACGTGGAAGAAATCACTCACCTCTTGGCAGCCACTTCAGCACAATTGAGGGCTGTTCACCTGCTTAGAATCACAGTGAGCTGCGGCAGAGGCCTCCAAAGCACATTTGTAGAAATGAAGAGCGGCCCATTCAAGGAAAAAACTCCCCCTGTTTGCTTCTTACAGCAGTTTTTGTTTATCTCATTATCTCCCAACCTGAAGAACAGGACCATCTGGCATGCGGGCATGTTAACAAGATCATAAATTAGGAGGAGAAATGAAGCCAGATTTCCATAATGGTCGCAAGACAGAAATCAACAGCGCTGGGATGGAATTTGCTTGGAAGGTGGGGTGGGAGGGAAATGGAGCAAAATAAAAATGCCTCAGCACATCCAGCCTGAATGAAAAACACAAATCCAGAGTCATTTAGAAGGAGTGATTTAAAAAAAAAAAAAAGTGCTGGCAAAGCATCTCTCCTCTCCATTTTTCTCCCCCTTTTCTCTCTCTTCCTGTTTGCTGGGTCTTCCCTTAGGAATGGGGCCAACTCCAATCCTCATGTTCTCGTAGGTCGTGATTGTAACAATTGTGTGAAAACTCGTTTTGCAGAGAAAGAGGCTCACTCAGTGCGCGTGGCCGTCTACGTTGGCCAGAGCTCTGGGGCAATGTTTAGCAACTTCTGCAGAGTGTTTCCTGGGATGTCCAGCATATCCTGGGATTCTGGGCTTTGGGTATGGCAAAGGCAGCAACTGTAGGTAGTTAATGTGAGACAGCATTGCCCACTAATCACCTGGAAGCTAGGCATCCCCGTTACATGAGCATGCAATCCCAGCTTTGCCCAGTGTTAGCCCTCATGAAATTGCTCTTGGCTTCTTGGCAGAGAGAACCGCCCCCCATTCCCCAGAGTGTTATTAAATGAGTATTAAATGCCCCATCTATGGTGGTTCTGGCCTCTTCCCCTCCTCTGCCGCAGCATCTCTCAGTCCTAACTCCTTCTCTGGCCTCCTTCTCTAGAGTCTCTTTCCCTTCTTTCCCATCTATCCCAATAATAAAAACACCTCATCTGTTTTAAAAATGAAGAGAGTAGGAGATAATTGTTTTCCAATGATTGTACTTTTAGAAGAACATCAAGGAAAAAGGTTGGTCCTTTTTAAAAATTAGGGGGATATTTGAAAAGAGCAAACTTGAAGAAACCAAATGCATGCCAGTTTTAAGCTACCTGATGGGCTGAGACTGTGAGGGTAAAATAACACGCTCTTTTATCAATTGGAAAAGCCACGTTATTATGGATTCACTTTGGTGATGTTTTGTAGCATGAGGCTCCAAATACTGCCTGAGAATTTACCTCTACTCAGACTCTTTTCAGAGGGCAATTCACTGACAATTTTTTCAATTTCTTCCAGGATTTTTCACCAATTTGGGCTTTTAAAGTTTTTATAATGTTGATTTTGATAATATACAATTTTGATGATAGTTTCCTAGAAATTTTCTCTTTTGTGGATATTAACAAGACCCTATTTTAGGCTGGGTGTGATGGCTCACACCTGTAATCCCAGCACTTTGGGAGGCCAAGGAGGGTGGATCACTTGAGGTCAGGAGTTCAAGACCAGCCTGGCCAACATGGTGAAATCGTCTTTACTAAAACTACAAAAATTAGCTGGGCGTGGTAGTGCATGCCTGTAATCCCAGCTACTTGAGAGGTTGAGGCAGGAGAATCATTTGAATCCAGGAGGCAGAGGTTGCAGTGAGCCAAGATCATGTCACTGCACTCCAGCCTGGGTGACAGAGCAAGACTCTGTCTCAAAACAACAACAACAAAAACCCTTTTTTATATCCACTGTGGTTTCTTACTTTATTTTGGTCTTATTTTGTGTGTGCAGATCTTTCTCTCTAGTTTGTTCTCATTGATGTGGATGCATGCTTTGCATATTTTATTTGTATTTATTTAAGCCACAATTTTTGAATGAACTAATCAATTCTGCTTTTATTTAATTAATTTTGGCTTTCATGATGATCAATTATGCTCTCCTACTTTTTCAGAATTTATTTAATTGTATCCTTTTACATTCTGAGATGAAGGGATAATTCATTGGATTTCATTCATTTTTGTCCCGTTAATTCATGTTGTTTTCTTTACAGCCTAATATATGGTTAATTTTTGTAAATATGTTTTTACTTCTCTGCATGTTAATGATGGAAATAATTATTGAATAGTCAATATTGACCGCTTTCTTTAGTCTTTCAATTCTGAATTGTTCAAGAAATATTCCCCTTTATCTTGCTGTCACCAATACTGGAGTGCTGTGGTGTGATCACGGTTCACTGCAGCCTCAACCTCTTGGACTCAAGCGATCCTCCTGCCTCAGCCTCCTGAATAGCTGGGATTACAGGCGCACACCACCACTCCTAGCAAATTTTTAATTTTTTTATAGAGACAGGGTCTCGCTATTGCTCAGGCTGGTCTTGAACTCCTGGCCTCAAGCAATCCTCCCACCTTGGCCTCCCAAAGTGCTGATATTACAGAAGTATTCTGATGTAACACTACTATGTGTGTAAATAGTTAGGACTGTTAGATTTTCATCATGGATTATAAACTTCATAAATAAAAAATGTGTACTCTAAGTGGTTTATCACTTGAATTCTGTGCAACACTGCTTTATATTATATTTGTGTCACCTGGTGTTTTTTTGTTCTTGTTGCTCAGCTCTAAACTTTTACATTTTTGGAGTAATTATGTTGTAAGTGTATATCTTGTAGATAACATAAAGCTATACTTTATTTCTTGAACCACTGTGAAAGTCTGTGTTTTAATGTAGGAGTTAGACCCACTTATCTTTGTCTATTACCTGACCTGTTTGTCCTTATGTCTGTATTATTATTATTATTCGTATTTTGGTTTGCTGCATTTTTTTTTTTTTTTAGACGGAGTTTCACTCTTGTTGCCCAGGCTGGAGTGCAATGGCACGATCTTGGCTTACTGCAACCTCCGCCTCCCAAGTTCAAGTGATTCTCCTGCCTCAGCCTTCCGAGTAGCTGGGATTACAGGCACGTGCCACCACACCCAGCTAATTTTGTATTATTAGTAGAGACGGGGTTTCTCCATGTTGTTCAGGCTGGTCTCGAACTCCTGACCTCAGATGATCTGTCTGCCTCGGCCTCCCAAAGTGCTAGAATTACAGGCATGAACCACCGTGCCTGGCCGGTTTTCTGCTTTTTATGTTTTTTTTGCTGTTTGCTTTATTTCATACCATTAGTTGTATGAGACCATGTTTTGTTTTGTTTTTTCCTCTATAGTGTTATATTTAACTCTATAAGTAGTTACTTTTGATTTTCAAAATATTATAAAACCTATATAGTTTTTATGATGATGACAGTCATTAATGAAGCAGTACCTAATGACTTATTTACATACAGGAGGAAAAACTTATTGCATCTTACTTCTTCTCCTCTCTTCCTCCCAGATTTACCTGCTGTCAAAGTTTTGGCCCCAATATTGATCAATTCTAATTATCTTTGTTTACATTGTGCTTTCTTTTGCTTCCAAGGACCATGATATTTGCATTCCATTTCATAACTACATTGACAATAATTATTTAGACCCGTAGTTTAAGTAGTTTCCATGTTCACTAGCAATGCGATAGTCTTGTGAGCTTTTTCATTCATCGTGGGGTCGTCAGATAAACATGTTAGTGTAATTTTTTTTCCTTGGCAGAAAAGCCGCAGGATACATTTTTAGATTTTTATGTATCTGAGAAAGTCTCTGTATTGCCTTGAAAAGTAAATGATACCTTGGTTGGCCGGTGTATTCTTAGATCAGAACCTTCCCCTCCACTGTGTAGCTGCCGTCTTCTGGAATTTACATAAACTTATGTTACGGAGAACATGGCAAATGTAACTTATGTTCCTTTGTAGATAACTTTATTTTCTTTTTAAATTTCTTGCCAGGACATTGTCAAATTCTTGATTTATTCTGAAATTAAAACAAACATCACCAATATATTTCTTTGTGTTGGTTACTTTTAATTAATTGTGCCTGGGGAGCTTATTCTATCTACCTATTCAAGTATCTCTAAATTCATCTAAGTTTTCTTCTACTGGATCCTATTTTATACTTTATATTGATTCAATTCCATTTTTCTGGTCTCCTATTCAAGAACTCCCATTATCTATGTTAGTTCTTACTCACTGAGCTCACACTTCAAAGTCTTTTCTCTGTCCATTCCCATCTTTTAGTCCTTTCGCTTCTGCATCTGGAGAGCATCTCCAGCTGTCCTTCACTTCCTTGTTGGTATTTTTTTATGGCATTTTTTATGGCATTTTTTTATGGCATCAATTTTGCTCTTTGCCACTCCCAGTGCCATTTCTCATGCTGTTATTTGCTTCCTTTCATTCCTTCCTTAACCTACCATGCTCTTAAATATATCTTCAGGGGCCAGGCGTGGTGGCTCACACCTGTAATCCCAGCACTTTGGGAGGCTGAGGTGGGTGGATCATGAGGTCAGGAGTTCGAGACCAGCCTGATCAACATGGTGAAACCCTGTGTCTACTAAAAATACAAAAATTAGCCAGGCGTTGTGGTGTGCGCCTGTAGTCCCAGCTACTCTGGAGGCTAAGGCAGAAGAATTACTTAAACCTGGGAAGCACAGGTTGTAGTCAGCCAAGATCGCGCCACTGCACTCCAGCCTGGGCGACGGAGCGAGACTCCATCTCCAAAAAAAAAAAACAAACTTCAGTTTGTCATTTTATTATTTCATTTTTCATATTATATTTTAATAAGCATATAGTCTCTTCTACTTCAAATAAATGCCATCTAATATTTACTTATGTTTCTAAATATATATATATATATATATACACACACACACACACACACACACACACACATATATATTTTTTGAGAGGGTGTCTCGCTCTGTTATATGTGTATATATATATATATTTTGAGAAGGTGTCTTGCTCTGTCGTCCAGGCTGGGGTGCAGTGGTGCGATCTTGGCTCACTGCAACCTCTGCCTCCCGGGTTCAAATAAGTCTCCTGCCTCAGTTTCCTGAGTAGCTGGGACTACAGGCACATGCCACCACACCTGGCTGATTTTCACATTTTTAGTAGAGATAGGGTTTTGCTGAGTTGGCCCGGCTGGTCTCGAACTCCTGGCCTCAAGTGATCCACCTGCCTTGGCCTCCCAAAGTGCTGGGATTATAGGCATAAGCCACCACACCTGGCCTCTAAATATCTTTAAGATTACTTGTATCTAGTTCTTGAATGCCATGTTCATGTTTTTATATACTCTATTTTTTTAATATACTCACTTCCCCCTGCCTTCAACTGATTTTTTAAATAAGACACCTGTCACAATTTAAAATAGCCCCAGAAGTAGTACCATTAGGTTCTCCTCGGGGACCTTCTATCTTCTATCCTGGATGGTGTCCCCTATTCAGATCATAAGTTGGTGTAAGTTTACACACAACTAGCTTAATCATCACAGAGCTCAGGAGCAGGTGGACAAGCACAGCATGGGACCATAATTGCTGTGTCATTTCTTTCCTGACAAGGCTTAGCTTTTTCTGTCTTGTAGGTATCAATGTGGGGGAGTCTAGTCTCTTCTTGGAACCCATGTGGGGAGCATAGTGATGGAAAACCCCATCACTGAAAACAGTACTCCATAGAGTCAGGGGAGAACCTACCAGAAAGGGGGGAACCTGTGATTTTGGGGTGAGCCTGGCCATACCTTCCTTCTCCTGGCAGCTGTCCGGTGTGGTGGCATATTAACTGGATAATACCTACTCATTCTTCAGATTTCCATTTTATTCATTCATTCACTCATTCACTCAATGAGTATTTATTGATTCACTCAACAAGTATTTAAGAATATATGATAGGTTCCCCAAATTAATAACAGGTATCAAACTACAGATCCAGAAAGCACAAATAATACAAAGTAGAATAAATGCAAAAAATACACCTAGGCACATCATTATCAAACAATAGAATGTCAAAGATAAAGAAAAAATTTTGAAAGAAGCTAGGACTGTGGGACTCTTACCTGTAGAGGAACAAAGGTAAGAATCACATCTGACTTCTCAGAAACCATGCAAGCAAGAAGAGCGTGAAGTGAAATACCTAAGGTATTAAAAGAATAAAACCACCAACCTAGAATCCTGTATCCTGTGAAATTATCCTTCAGAAGTGAAGGAGAAATAAAGACTTTCTTGGACAAACAAAAATTGAGGGAATTCGTTGCCAGTAGACCTGCCTTGTAAGAAATGTTAAAGGAAATTCTTTAGAGATAAGGAAAATGATATAGGTTAGAAACTCAGATCTACATAAAGAAAGGAAGAATAATGAAGAAAAAATAAGTGAAGATAAAATAAAAACTCTTATTTCTCATATTTTTACTTCAGCTAAAAGGTAATAGTTTGTTTAAAATAATAGCAACAATGTATTAAATTATATATGTGTATGTATATATATTATATATATATGCTTGTATATGCTTAGCCATAAGTGAAATGAATGATGCCAATGTTACAAGGGATGAAAGGGAGGAATTAAAATTATTTTATTATTATTTTTTCTTCTTTTTTTTCTTTTTTCTTTTACTTTAAGTTCTGGGGTACATGTGCAGAACATGCAGGTTTGTTACATAAGTATACATGTGCCATGGTGGTTTGCTGCACCTATCAACCCGTCATCTAGGTTTTAAGCCCTGCAGGCATTAGGTATTTGTCCTAATGCTCTCCCTCCTCTTGGCCCCCACCTCCTGACAGGCCCTGGTGTGTGATATTCCCCTCCCTGTGTCTATGTGTTCTCATTGTTCAACTCCCACTTATGAGTGAGAACATGTGGTGTTTGGTTTTCTGCTCCTGTGTTAGTTTGCTGAGAATGATGACTTCCAGCTTCATCCATGTCCTAACAAAGGACATGAACTCATTCTTTTTTATGGCTTCATAGTATTATAAGGTACTCAAATTATTATTTTTTTTAAGAAGGAGTCTCACTCTGTCACCCAGGCTGGAGTGCAATGGCGCTATTTCGGCTCACTGCATCAAACTATTTTTGAAGTGGTATAGTATTATTTAAAAGTGGACCTGGATTGGCTGTAGGTGTATATTGCAAACTCTAGGGCAACCATTAAAAAAAAGGTTTTTAAAAAAGTAGTTTAACTGGGGATGGCATTGAATCTGTAAATTACCTTGGGCAGTATGGCCATTTTCACGATATTGATTCTTCCTACCCATGAGCATGGAAGCTACCAATGACTTTCTTCACAGAATTGGGAAAAACTACTTTAAAGTTCATATGGAACCAAAAAAGAGCCCGCATCGCCAAGTCAATCCTAAGCCAAAAGAACAAAGCTGGAGGCATCACACTACCTGACTTCAAACTATACTACAAGGCTACAGTAACCAAAACAGCATGGTACTGGTACCAAAACAGAGATATAGATCAATGGAACAGAACAGAGCCCTCAGAAATAACGCCGCATATCTACAACTATCTGATCTTTGACAAACCTGAGAAAAACAAGCAATGGGGAAAGGATTCCCTATTTAATAAATGGTGCTGGGAAAACTGGCTAGCCATATGTAGAAAGCTGAAACTGGATCCCTTCCTTACACCTTATACAAAAATCAATTCAAGATGGATTAAAGACTTAAACGTTAGACCTAAAACCATAAAAACCCTAGAAGAAAACCTAGGCATTACCATTCAGGACATAGGCATGGGCAAGGACTTCATGTCTAAAACACCAAAAGCAATGGCAACAAAAGCCAAAATTGACAAATGGTATCTAATTAAACTAAAGAGCTTCTGCACAGCAAAAGAAACTACCATCAGAGTGAACAGGCAACCTACAAAATGGGAGAAAATTTTCACAACCTACTCATCTGACAAAGGGCTAATATCCAGAATCTACAATGAACTCAAACAAATTTACAAGAAAAAAACAAACAACCCCATCAAAAAGTGGGCGAAGGACATGAACAGACACTTCTCAAAAGAAGACATTTATGCAGCCAAAAAACACATGAAAAAATGCTCATCATCACTGGCCATCAGAGAAATGCAAATCAAAACCACAATGAGATACCATCTCACACCAGTTAGAATGGCAATCATTAAAAAGTCAGGAAACAACAGGTGCTGGAGAGGATGTGGAGAAATAGGAACACTTTTACACTGTTGGTGGGACTGTAAACTAGTTCAACCATTGTGGAAGTCAGTGTGGCGATTCCTCAGGGATCTAGAACTGGAAATACCATTTGACCCAGCCATCCCATTACTGGGTATATACCCAAAGGACTATGAATCATGCTGCTATAAAGACACACGCACACGTATGTTTATTGCAGCATTATTCACAATAGCAAAGACTTGGAACAAACCCAGATGTCCAACAATGATAGACTGGATTAAGAAAATGTGGCACATATACACCATGGAATACTATGCAGCCATAAAAAATGATGAGTTCATGTCCTTTGTAGGGACATGGATGAAACTGGAAATCATTATTCTCAGTAAACTATCGCAAGAACAAAAAACCAAACACCGCATATTCTCACTCATAGGTGGGAATTGAACAATGAGATCACATGGACACAGGAAGGGGAATATCACACTCTGGGGACTGCTGTGGGGTGGGGGGAGGGGGGAGGGATAGCATCGGGAGGTATACCTAATGCTAGATGACGAGTTAGTGGGTGCAGCACAGCAGCATGGCACATGTATACATATGTAACTAACCTGCACAATGTGCACATGTACCCTAAAACTTAAAATATAATAAAAAAAAGTAGTTTAACTGATAGGTTAAGAAATTAGAGAAAATAGAATCATGTAAAATGTTCAATTAAAACCACAAAAGACAGAAAGAAAATGGAAACAAAAACATAAAGAACAACACAGAAAACTGTAATAAATATGGTAGATACTAATCCAACTATATCAGTAATTGCTTTGTACATCAATGGTCTAAATGCACCAATCAACAGACAGAGATTTTCAGAGTGAATCAAAAGACAAACCTAATTATGCTGACTATAAGAAACCCACTTTAAATATAAAGACACATATAGATTGCAAGTAGAGGAATGGAGACAGATAAGCCATGTTAATACGAATGAAAAGAACATGAGAGTAGCTATATTAATTTTATGCAGAGCAGACTTCAGAGCAAGGAATGTTATCTGGAATAAAGAACAGGTATTACATAAAAATAAAAGGACCACTTCTCAAAGAAGACGTAACAGTTTTTAATGTTTATGTGCCTAACAAGAGAAGGCCAAACTTTGTGAGGCAAAAACTAACAGAACTACAAGAAGAAATAGATAAATCCACTGTTACAGTTGGAGACATTAGTACTTCTGTATCAGAAGTGGACAGATCCAACAGGCAGAAAATTATTAAGGACCTAGTTAAACTCAATAACACCATCAATTAAATGAATGTAATTGCATCTACAGATTACTTCATCTAACACTAGCAAAATACACATTTCTCTCAAGTTCACATGGAGCACTCACCAAGATAGACCATATTCTGGGCCAGGAAATATGCCTTAATGAATTTAACATAACATCTGTTCTCAGAACATAATGGAATTAAACTTGAAATCAATAACAGAAAGATGACAAAAAATTCCTCAAATACATAGACATTAAACAACACATTTCTAAATAACAGGAGTCAAACAAATCTCAAGAGAAATCAAAGATATTTTGAACTATGTGAAAATAAAAACACAACTTATCAAAATTTGTGGGATTCAGCAAAAGCAGTACTTAGAGGGAAGTGCATAGCATTGAATGCATATATTCAAAATATCTAAAATCAGTAATCTAGGTTTCCACCTTAAGGGACTATGTAAAGAAGAGCAAATTAACTCCAAAATGAACAGAAGTAAAGAAGCAATAAAAAATAGAGCAGAAATAATTGAAATTAAAAATAGGAAATAAATAGAAAATAATAAACTAAGATGAAAACTGGTTCTTTGAAAAGATACATGAAATTGATAAGCCTCTAGCTGAGCTAACTAAGAAAAAAAAGGGACAGCACAAATCACTAATACTAGAAAGTAAAGAGGGGACATCACTACAGATCCCACGAATGTTAACAGAATAATAAAGAAGTACTATGAAAAACTCTATGCCCACAAATTATATAACCTAGATGAAATGGACCAATTCTTAAAAAGATACAATCTGCCAAAACTCACACAAGAGGAAATACACAATCTGTATGGGCCTGTATATATTAAAGAAATTGAACCAATAATTAATAGCCTTCCAGAACTGAAGTCACCAGACCCAAATAGGTTTACTCATGAACTCTACCAAACATTTAAGGAAGAGATTATAGAAATTCCCTACAATCTGTCTCAGAGATGAATAAAGAATACTTCCTAACTCATTCTGTGAGGCCAGTATTACCCTACTACCCTAAAACACATAAACCAAAGACATTACAAAATAAGAAAATTAAAGACCAATATCTCTTATGAAGATAGATGCAAAAATCCTCAAAAAAAGAAACCTAAGCAAATCAAAACCCAAAATGTATAAAAAGGATTATACACCATGACCAAGTGGGATATACCCCAGGTATGCAAAGCTGGCTCAACTTTAAAAAACCAATTAACTAATCCATCACATCAACAGGCTAAAAAAGAAAAATCACATGGTCATATCAATAGATGCAGAAAAAGCATTTGACAAAATCAAAAACACATTCATGATAAAAAATTCTCACTAAACTAGGAATAGAAGGGAACTTCCTTAACTTGACAAATAATATTTCAAAAAACCTATAGCTAACATCACATTCAATGATAAGAAACTTAAAATTTCCCAGTAAGATCAGACACAAGGCAGCCATGCCCCCTCTCAACACTCCTTTTTAATATTAGACTGGAAATACAATTAATGGAATAAGACAAGAGAAGGAAACAAAGTATACAGATTGAGAAGGAAAAAATAAAATTGTCTTTGTTTGCAGATGACACAATCATCTACATAGAAAATTGAGAAGATTCAACAACAAAAAACTGGTACTAATATGTGATTATAACAAGGCTGCAGGATATGAGGTTAATATACAAATGTCAATGAACAAGTAAAATTTAAGTTAAAAACATGAAATACTTAGGTATAAATCTAACAAAATGTGTGTAAGATTTATCTGAGTGATACGAAACTCTGCTTAAAAAAATCACAGAAATAAATAAATGGAGGAATATTCCATGTTCATGGATAGATTCAATAATGTCAAAATACCAGTTCTTCCCAACTTGATCTATAGATTCAATGCAATCCTAATCAAAATCCCACCAAGTTATTTTGTGGATATTGTGGATATTAACAAACTGGTTCCAAAGTCAATATGGAGAAGCAAATGACCCAGAATTGCCAACACAGTACTGAAGTAGAACAAAGTTGGAGGGCTGACAGTACCCAACTTCAAGACTTTAACTATAAAGTTACAGTAATTAAGCCAGTGTGGTATTAATGAAAGGACAGACAAATTAAGCCTGTGTGGTATTAGTGAAAAAACAGACAAATAATTCAGTGGCACAAAATAGAGATCCTAGAAATATACCCATGTAAATATAGTTAACTGATCTTTGGCAAAGAAGCAAAGGTAATACAATGAAGCAAAGACAGTTCTCTCAACAAATGGTGCTGGAACAACTGGAAATCCACACACACAAAAATCAATCCAAACCTTACACTCTGCAATCTATCCATCTGACAAAAGTCTACTATCCAGAATCTACAAGGAACTTAAATAAATTTACAAGAAAAAAAAAAAAAAACCATCAAAAAGTGGGCAAAGGATATGAACAGACACTTCTCAAAAGAAGACATTTATGTGGCCAACAAACATGAAAAAAAAAGCTCATCATCACTGATCATTAGAGTAATGCAAATAAAAATCACAATGAGATACTATCTCATGCCAGTCAGAATGGCAATTATTAAGAAGTCAGGAAACAACAGATACTGCCAAGGCTGTGGAGAAATAGGAATGCTTCTACACTCTTGGTGGGAGTGTAAATTAATTCAACCATTGTGGAAGACAGTGTGGCCATATACATCATGGAATACTATGCAGCCATAAAAAGAAAGAATGAGATAATGTCCTTTGCAGGGACATGGATGAAGCTGGAAGCCATCATTCTCAACAAACTAACACAGGAACAGAAAACCAAACACTGCATGTTCTCACTCATAAGTGGGGGTTGAACAATGAGAACATATGGACAAAGGGAGGGGGACAACACACACTGGGGCCTGTTGGGGGATGACTGGCAAGGGGATGGAGAGCATTAGGACAAATACCTAATGTATGTGGGGCTTAAAACCTAGATGATGGGTTGATAGTTGCAGCAAACCACCATGGCACCTGTATACCTATGTAACAAACCTGCACAATCTGCACATGTATCCTGAAACTTAAAGTAAAATACAAAAAAAGGAGAAAATGGGGGAAGAAAAACAGAGGAGAGAGAGAAAGAGGTTATCCATTTGTCCATCTGTTTTTTCCATAACACCAAATGCTTCCATTCCTATGTGCTAAATTATATAAATATATGATATATATAAAAAATTAATTGCCATTGTAACAATATTAGGAGGTGGGATCTTGGAGAGGTAACTAGGCCATGAGGGCTCCACCCTCATGGATGAGATTGGTAGATTTTGGCCCCCTCTTGCCCTCTCTTACCCTCTCTTTGCCCTTCTACTCTTCTGCCATGTGAGGAACAGTGTTTCTCCCCTCTGAAGCATGCAGCATGCAAAGTGTCATCTTCGAGTCAGAATTGCCAAATCTGCTGGCACCTTGGACTTTCCAGCCTCCAGAACCATAACAAATAAATTTCTATTCTTTACTAATTAAAAAAAACCCAAAATGGATTTATAACCTAAATGTAAAGTCCAAACTATAAAACTCTTGGAAGATAATGTAGGAGAAAACCTAGATGACCTTGGGTATGGCAATGACTTTTTATATACAAAGGCATATTCATGAAAGAAATAATTGACAAGCTGGGCTCCATGGAAATGAAAAACTCTGCTCTGTCAAAGACAGTTTCAAGACAATGAGAAGATGAGTACAGCCTGGGAGGAAATATATGCCAAAGACACATTTTATTTTTTATTAAGAACTATTAACTAAAGTATACAAAGACCTCTTAAAACTCAACAACAAGAAAACAACCTGATTTTTAAAATGGGCTAAAGACCTTAACAGACACATCACCAAAGGAGATATATAGCTGGCAAATAACCACATAAAAAGATGGTCTAGATCATATGTCATCAAGAAAATGCAAATCAAGACAATGATAATGTAAAATTGGCTGAAATCTGGAACAGTGACAGCACCAAATGCTGGTGAAGATGTGGAGCACAGAAGCTCTCATTCATTGCTGGTGGGAATGCAAAATGGTATGACCACTTTGGGAGAGAGTTTGGTGGTTTTCTACAGAACTAAACATAGTCTTACCATATGATCCAAAAATTGCACTCCTTGTTATTTATTCAAAGGAGTTGAAAACTTATTTCCACACAAAGAAACCCTGCACATGATGTTTACAGCAGCCTTATTCTTAGTTACCAAAACTTAGAAGAAACTAAGATGTCCTTCAGTAGGTGAATGGATAAATAAACTGTGGTACATCCAGACAATGGAATATTATTTAGCACTAAAAAGAAATGACCTGATTGGGCACCATGGTTCATGCCTATAATCCCAGCACTTTGGGTGGCCAAGGTAGAAGGATCACTTGAGGCCAAGGGTTCCAGACCTACCTGGACACCATAGTGAGACCCTGTCTCTACAAAAAACTAAAGAAAATTAGCCAGGTGTGGTGGCATGAGCCTGTAGTCTCAGCTGCTCAGGAAGCTAAGCTGGAAAGACTGCTTGGACCCTGGAGATCGAGGCCGTGGTAAGCTATGATTGTGCTATGAAAAGACATGGAAGAAGCTTAAATGTATATTACCAAGTAAAAGAAGACAATCTGAAAAGACTGCATACTGATATGATTCCAACTATATGACATTCCAGAAAACAAAAAACCATGTAAATAGTAAAAAGATCAGTGGTTGCCAGGGGAAAACGGGGGATGAACAGGTGCGGCACAGAGGATTCTTAGGGCAGTAAGAATACTCAGATACTATAATAATGAATACACACCATTATACTTTTGTCAAAACCCACAGAATGTACAACACCAAAAGTGAACCCTCATGTAAATTATGGACTCTGGGTGATAATGGTCTATAAATGTAGGTGTATCAATTTTAATGAATGTACCACTACAGTGGGGGATGTTGGTAATGGGGGAAGCTATGCATGTGTGGGGGTAGAAGATATGTGGAACATCTTTGTGCCTTACTCTTAGTTTTGCTGTGAAACTAAAACTGCTCTAAAAAATATCTTTTAAGAAAGAATATGTGCCAGGCATGGTGCTCCCCTCACTACACTTTCATTCCAGTGGTTCAAGTAGACTCCACGGTCCCTAGTCTAAAGATGTACAGCAAAGGAGTACCACCCAATCAATAAGTTGATTACTGACTGTAGTAGATGACAGGAAGATGTCCTAAGAGTCAAGTGCATTCCTTCAAATTGAGAGGTCAGCAAAGGCTTCCTCTGAGCAGATGACATTTGATCTGACACATGAAAGATGAGAGGAAGCTGGGCATATCAGAGAACAGAAAGGAGACCAGCATGTTGGAGAGTAAGCGTGCTGATATCTTCCATCAGCACTGCAAATCCACCCTCACCTTCACTCTGTATCCCCCAAGTTTCCTGATGCTCTGGTTTCCAGTTGAGCTTGGTCAATAGGGAGGACCAGCAGGAGGCTGGAACAAGACTGACAAGGAAGTCAGTTGGGCTATGCATTTCTGCAGGTCCTGCCCATCTGAGTTGCTCCTGTACATGGCCTTTCTCTGCCTTCTCTGGGGTTCTAGCACCTTCCCCTCCTCTTTCCTTTTTTTTTTTTTTTTTTCTGAGATGGAGTCTCACTCTGTCGACCTGGCTGGAGTGCAGTGGCATGATCTTGGCTCACTGCAACCTCCGCCTCCCGGGTTCAAGCGATTCTCCTGCTTCAGCCTCCCGAGTAGCTGGGATAACAGGCATGCGCCACCACGCCCAGGTAATTTTGTATTTTTAGTAGAGACAGGGTTTTGCCATGTTGGCCAGACTGGTCTCGAACTCCTAACCTCAGGTGATCCACCTGCCTCAGCCTCCCAGAGTGCTGGGATTACAGATGTGAACCACCACACCCGGCCTCTTTCTTCTTTAGACCTAGGGATTGCAACAACTCTTCCATCACTGTCAGACCCTGGGGACTGCATTATCCCTTGTTAGTCCCCCTAACCTATGCTCACCCTTTCCTCAAGTACCTTCATTTCCTGCCAGGAGACAGTGATAGGAGATGATGCTGCACACATTTGTCAGGGCAAAATGAGAAGACTACTTACTCTCTGTCCCCACCCCCACCCCTCCTCAGAAGCTCAGTTATAACTTCAATGCCTACTGAATTGAATTACTGTCTCCCTCATGTCTGCCTTGTTGTCCCTTTTAATCTTGTTTCACCTGCTGTTGGTGGAGGCTGAGGACGGGAGGCCTGCTTGCCTGGAAGGCTTGGTCCTGGCTGTTCTCAAGGAGTATGTGTCATCATACTTGCAGACGAGAATCAAAACTGATGGAGTTTGGGGTGACCTTGGGGTCTTGTTGTGGGGGATGTTCTTCCTAAGCAAGGGAAGGCTAAAGAGCATCAGCAGCTTTCTGCATTTGTCTCTGGGGACTGATACCTGTTAGGAATTCTCCCTAGAGATGCTCCTGACCTCCTTCTACTGTGTGCATAATTGGCCATTTGAGTTGGGGAAGCTCAGAGGGGAAAACAGCAGAAATGCTCTGAGTTGGTCCAGCTGTGTGAACAGAGGGCAGTAGAGGCTTTGCTCTAAGTTGGAACCTTGACAGACCTGGGATGAGTGACTAGTCGGCTACAGTCTTCTAATAAACTACCACAGACTGGAGGCCTAAACAACAGATATTTATTCCCCCACGGTTCTAGATGCTGGAAGTTTCAGATCAACGTGCCACCAGGATTGGTTTCTGGTGAGGTCCCTCTCCTTGGGTTGCAGAAGGCAACTTCTTGCGGTGTCCTCACATGGCCTTTCCTCTGTGCATGCTCAGAGAAAGAGAGAGCCCTCTGGTGTCTCTTCTTCTCTTTGTATGGACACCAGTTCTATAGGATTAGGGCCTCATTCTTATGACCTCATTCAACCTTTACTACCTGCTTAAAGGCCCTGTTTCCAAATACAATTACATTGAAGGTAAGGGCTTCAACATGAATTTTCTGGGGACGCAAAGTAAGGATTTCTATCACAGTAAGAAAATCCAGATTTGGAAGGTCTGTTGCTGAGGCCAGCTGGGAAGCCAGAGAAGAGAAAACTGCTTCCTCATGATGCTCCAGTCTGGAGCTGGAGCTCTGTTGGGTATCAGGGAGAGGCAGGGAGAAGGGGGGAAAGCCCAGTGCTTCACAGAGGGATCCAAGGCAGAGGAGACTCTCAGGACACCTCCCACGAGGCTCATTTAGATCACGTGAACCTCACCCACAGGAACCCCCGCCAACCCCTGCTCTGCTTTCTTCCTTTAAGCAGAGTGCATTAATTTCCTATTGCTGTGGTCACAAGTTACCCCAAACTCAGTGGCATAAAACAACAGGAACTTATTACCTGACAGTTCTGGAGGTCAGAAGTCTGACATGGATCTCATGGGGCTAAAATCAAGGTGATACTGGGGCTGCATTCTTTCTGGAGGCTCTAGGGGAGACTATTCCTTTGCCCCTAGAAGCTCCCTGCCTTCTTGGCTCTTGGCCCCTTCCTCCATCTTCAGGCATCTTCCAATTTATTTCTCCGACTTGCATCTTGCTTCCTCCCTATTGTAAGGACCCTTGTGATGACATTGAGCCTGCCCAGATAATTCAGGACCATCTTCCAATATTATATCTCTTTTGCCAGGTGAGGCACCATATTCGCAGGTTCTGAGGATTAGGAAGTGGACATCTTTGGGGCCATTATTTTGCTACCACAGAGGGTTCATTTTGCTTGGGCCAGATGCTGTCTTCTGTCTTTGGAAAGTCACGGAGGCCCAAAGACTTATCTTTTTTTTTTTTTTTTTTTTTTTTTTTTTGAGACGGAGTCTCTTTCTGTTGCCCAGGCTGGAGTGCAGTGGCACGATCTTGGCGGCTCACTGCAACCTCTACCTCCTGGGTTCATTCTCCTGCCTCATCCTCCCGAGTAGCTGGGATTACAGGCTCGTGCCACCATGTCTGGCTAATTTTTGTATTTTTAGTAGAAATGGGGTTACACCATGTTGGCCAGGCTGGCCTCAAACTCCTGACCTCAAGTGATCCAGCCACCTTGGCCTCCCAAAGTGCTGGGATTACAGGTGTGAGCCACTGTGCCAGGCCCAAAAGACTTATCTTCTAAGGAAATGGTAGAAGCCGTTGCACCCAGGATCATCCAGATAGGAATGAAGTTATCCTTTTCTGTTTTGAAAGAAACAGTGGGCTTTGAGCTTCTCTCCAGTGAGAATCGGGCTTGGACTAGCCCTTGTGCTGACAAATCCAGGTCCTGTTCTGTGTTTTCTCCAGGAATAATCCCCAGGTACCAGAGCCCCCCTTCTCCTAAGATTAGTGTTCAGATGAAAACCAGCCTCCAGTCCTCCTGAGTTCTCACTGTACTAACAGAATCAGGCACAGTAGCCCACTTTTGTAGGAGCCCTAGAATGCAGGCTGCACCCCAGAGGATGTCCCTGGTTGATTCCGTCCCTGCTTGCTTACAAAATCTGGACCTTGGCTCTGTACAGCCATCTGTATCTCAGCTAAGATACCCAGAAAGCATCTTAGAGCATGGCTACAGTCATACTCTAACTTTAGGACGGGAGAGAGAATCAATAAAGCTCATATGGGCAGTGTTGCAAAAAAGCAAGGAAAATCAAAGAATGGTTTTCAAGGAGAAAGTTGGCCTGGGGGGTGGAATGGGCACCAGGAGGAAAGGGCAGCAATTGGGCAATGAATGGAAACAGGCCAGAGAACAGAGGGAAACAGAGCAAATAAACTCACCTCCCTGAAGTTGTTGAATTAGGAAAATTAAAAATATAAATTAAATAATATGGCTGTTCTCTGAGGTCCCTTCCAGCTTTGAAATTTTTTATGCTTCTGTAAGCTTTCAGGGAAAAGAATAAACCAACCACTAATATCAAGGACGTTATGAAAGCTTTAAGGGTTTTAGAAGCTGTACCTAACAAGAACAAGGATGTTTGCTGCACATACTGGAAGGCCTAGAGGGAGAAGTGGGTACTTGGTTCGCCATTATCTGAATGGAGGCTTATCCAAAGCAAACCCTGCTTTCAGGCACTTACCCTGGATCTGTTTGGCTGTGCTAAACTCTCAGAACAGGGATATTGTTTTCCTTTTACATCAACAGGAGCTACAAGAAGAGGCCCTTTAATCCCTTATGTATTCTCACTCCCCAAACAGGTGAGAACCAGTTAAGAGGAAGTGAAAGGCTTTCCTATTAGAGTGCCTGATGAGGGCTGGTCCTGCTGCAGGCTCAGAGGCTCTTAAGTGCATTAGATTTGGATATCACAATGAGGGAGATGGGTCCCTCTCTTGTCTCACTTTCCTCTAGCTTTTCTTCATTAATGAAGGAAGAAAATCTTCCTGACATGTCTTTTGTCATCTAAGAATTAACAGAAGAGAGAAAAATATGACATCATATGTCATACTGACACTGAAGGACCATTGTCATTCTATGATCAAGGTAACAGAAATTAGAGGTGATCTTTAAATCTACAACTTGAGGGTGGTGTTGGTGGTGGTGGTTTATCTTTGAATTAAACACGAACTATCTCTCAGATGGGGACCAGCGTGAGCTTGTTCATCATTATAACCCTGGAGCCAAGAGCAGTACGTGGACATGGTAGACGCTTACTAAATATTTGCCAAGTGAAGGCATGAATGAATACTTATGACGGAAATAGATCCTTGAACCCACAGGAACTAACTCTGGACAGCTTGTGAATAAATACATCTTGATAACGTTCCCCATAAGGTCATTGATGGTAGTGAGAGGGATAGTCCATGTTAAAGAAAAACCTGTCATTTTACAGCTTCTGATGTTTCCTTGTAGCTACTGAGAGGGGTGACAAAGAGCCACAGCACTCAGTTTAGGCACTTAATGACACTTGAGACATGCATGAAGGAGGCTGAGATGGGAGAGATGGGCCTGAGTAGAGAGCAGCCCTGATCTGCACAAAAGTGTCCTAAGCAGGCCGAATGGAGGAGGGCCAGGATGGGTTACAGGGGGTGGTCTCTGAAGAAAACACGGGCTGAGAACGGTCCCCGTGGGAGGCAATTGCCAATGAATTTCCAGGATCAATGATGTCTGACATCAATTTAAAAATTGTTTCCTGCTTTCTGCCTTTTAGAATAAAAGCCTCAAAGTTCAGAAAAAAGTGCCTACAAAATCTTATGTAAGTGGGTCTTTGAGGACGGATGGCATCTGGAATGGGGGTCTAGAGATGAGGGACATCAGATGAATTATGGACAGGCACATGGAGACGTAAACTGCAGTGTGACTTGGGAACAGAATGGGGCACACCCACTGGTGGCAGGCTGAACAGTAAGCCCTGAGGATGTCCCTGAAGTGTGTGAATAAGTTACCTTCCATGGCAAAAGGGACTTTGCAGATGTGATTAGGTTAAGGATTTCAAGGGCCCACTGGGGGACCTTGGGTGGGGGGCTGCTTGCCTCTTTCAGGACTATTCCCCTTCCTCAAGCTATCGCATCCTGCTTGACCCGTTTATCATCCTTGTATTCCTTCCTGACCACTCCACATGGATGGGCAGCTGTCAGTGGATCCTAAGCACAAGCAGCCTCAAGTTCAACCCAACATTCTTGACTTGACAACAGGTGTGTTCTCTTATTCTGTGGATATTTGCATTGATTTGTTTATGTGTCCAGCAGGCACTTTGAGCAGTGATTGTGTGCAGACACCCTTCCAGGACGGTGTGTGTGTCATTTTGAACCCTGGGCCCCACTCCTAGTTCAGGCCTGTAGACTGTGTGTGTAGATTGTGCTGCAGCAAGCTCTCAGCATCAATCTAGAAGAACAAGGTGCCACTGCATTCCTTCAGTTGTAGTCCCTTCCCCAGAACTCCGTTTTATAAGAACTTTCTTTGGGATGGTGGTAGAGGGAACGTTGCTGCTAGTAGTTGAATTGAGAGCAATACAGTCACTAAGTCTCTACTGAGTCTCTATTCTCAAAAAGGTGTGTCTTCCAGAGCCGGGGAGATAGGCCTGGAGACTGCGTTCGCCACGGCTCCCGGGACAGATGCAGTTGTGCAAACCATGTGTCCTTCTCAAGGGCACTGCAAAGTGACCATGTATGAAGCTCAGCCTTGAAGCAGCATCACCCCCACTGCTGCACCACAAAGCAGGGAGTGGATGGGAAGAGTGAGATCAGGCAGAGGAGGGCCAGGATGTGAGTGGAGGTGTGCGCCATGACTCCAACATTCTAGAGAAGCTGTCAGATCTCCTGGGGGCAGTAGCTAGGATATCCTACAAGGGAAGCTGCAGAAATAGCCTTCCAGGTCTAAGCAACCTGGTCCCAGCTACCTGGGAGGCTGAGGCAGGAGGATCTCTTGAGCCCAGAGGGTCAAGGCTACAGTCAGCTGTGTTCACACCACTGCACTCCAGACCAGCAGAGCCAGACACTATTTCAAACAAAAATGCTTCATGTGGCCTAATTCATGTCCTCCAAGATTTGATAATCTAGTATAGGACATAGGCTATATGGAAACAGTAGCAATGCAAGGCTGCATACGAGAGGCATGAGCATATTAAAATAATTTAAAAGACACAATTGCTATAGCCGATGCTTCCCCGAGTGGTGGCCTTGTAGGATTCAGTAGGCTGGAGGTGAGAACACAGAGGGGACAGAAAGCGCACCGAGGGGAGCAGGAAAGGACACTGCACGTTGAGAATGCAGCAAGTGGGTTGTTGGACCAGATCCTTTGGGACATAAAGCTGGGACAGTCAGTTGAGGCCAGGTGGCTGAAGACAGAGGTACTGGTACAAGGAGTTTAATCTTTTGGTAAGTAATGTGGAGCAACTGAAAATATATGAAAAAACTAGAAACATAATCAAGTGGCAGCTTTTTGAATAGCATGAACCTGGTGCTTATAAAAGGGTTTTTTTTTTTTTTTAATCAGTTTTGCTCTTGTCACCCAGGCTGGAGTGCAATGGCATGATCTTGGCTCACTGCAACCTCTGCCTCCTGGGTTCAAGCAATTCTTCTGCCTCAGCCTCCTGAGTAGCTGAGATTACAGGCACCCGCCACCACTCCCGGCTAATTTTTGTATTTTAGTAGAGACGGAGTTTCACCATGTTGGCCAGGCTGGTCTCGAACTCCTGGCCTCCGGTGATCCACCTGCCTTGGCCTCCCAAAGTGCTGGGATTACAGGCGTGAGCCACCGTGCCCGGCCAGGGATTTCTTTTGGCTTGATTATTTTCTTTGCCTGAGAACATGATAGGGTCTTCCTCTACCGTGGAACTCTGAGCTTGCTTGGCTCCCTTCTCCACAGAGTGTAATGCATTCATTTCATGGACGTGGGTGTGTATAGACAGGGGCCTGCATGGACAAGAAAGCTGTCACCAGGCAGAGGTGGCCAGTTTCACTTCGTGCAACTTCTTCCACAGGGTGACAAGACTGGAGGATCACTCAGGCAAGATGGAAAGTAGAGCCTCCTGCCTCCAGCCCCCAGAATCTATGTGAAAATCTCTGTTGGGTGATGGACTGGGACCCAGGTGGGCCTGGGAATTGAGCCAATTTTATGATGCAAACAATTATAGTTAATCCAAAAAGGAGGGAAAACCTGTTGATCATACAGCTAATGGTGTATTGTAAGTTTAGGCAAAATCTTTTCCATGGCTGTGTGCAGTGGCTCACGTCTGTAATCCCAGTACTTTGGGAGGCCGAGGCAGGAGGACAGTTTGAGCCCAGGAGTTCAAGACCAGCCTGGGCAACATAGCAAGACCCCATCTCTAAAAAAAATTTAAAAATTAGCCAGGCATAGTGGCACACACCTGTAGTCCCAGTTACTTGGGAGGCTGAGGTGAGTGGATCACTTGAGTCCAGGAGGCTGAGGCTGCAGTGAGTTGTGATTGGATCACTGCACTCCAGCCTGGGTGACAGAACAAGACCCTGTCTCAAAACAAACACACAAAAAAAACCTTCTGCACAATCTAAAATTCAACACTTCTTTTCCAAATACCTACAGGTGCTTTGCATGTATTTACAAAATGTATAAGCAAATGATTTTTCATATCAGATCACACTTAGGATCCGTGAGTATTATAACCTAAATATCCATCAACAGGAAAATGGATAAATAATTGACTGCGTACTTGTACCATAAAGTACGATGTAGCTGTTCAAATAAGAACCTAGTAGACATGAATGAACTGGTTAGGAACATTCTCCATGATGTATTGTCAAGTGAAATAAACAAGTTCCAGACCAATATGCATAGGGTAATCTCACTTTTATATAAAAAGAAATAGATACAGACCTACAGATATGTAATAAAGGACAGCAAAATGTTGGAAAAGATTCTGTTAAAAGCATTTAACTAACAGAGGGTGGGATTGGAGAAGAGGCTGTAATTTCCACTTCTTTCTTTAATCATTATAAATGTTAGAACTTGAGGCAACTTTTATTTTCTTGTTGTTCTTCAGTATTTTCTTTAAAAAAACCTTTTAAAAGATTCATAAAAGGTTTTTACTATTTACAGGAGTGGTGATCATTTAATAAAGTGAAGAATAGTAATAGCTATTATTTATTGAGCGCTGGCTATATGCCAAATCTGTGTCAAGAGCTCTACAAACATTATCTCCTTGATCCAATACCCTTTTGAAGTAGGTACCATTATTATCTCCACTTTATGGATAAGGAAACAAGCTTACGGAGCTTAGATGACCTGTTGAGGGTCCCGAGTTTTCCTTTGCAGCCTGTTGGCTCCACAGATTACTCTTGCCTGGTAAACTGTTCCTGGATAATCCTTTGAAAATGTGAATAACACTGTGCTCTGCATCTAGGTTTTTCATAAAGTAGATTTTTAAATCATGGGTATGTGATGCTGTGCTTCATGGTAGTGATCAGCTTCCCAAAGACAAAATTTGCATTTGTACGCTTCTTCGTTTTTTATCCTACCTCAATGGATAACACACTGGATAACACGCTATAATCCCAGCACTTTGGGAGGCCAAGGTGGGCAGATCACTTGAAGTCAGAAGTTCGAGACCAGCCTGGCCAAAATGGTGAAACCTCATCTCCACTAAAAATACAAAAATTAGCCAGGCATGGTGGCACATGCCTGTAATCCCAGCTACTCAGGAGGCTGAGGCAGGAAAATTGCTTGAACCTGGGAAGTGGAGGGTGCAGTGAGCCGAGATCGTGCCATTGCACTCTGGACTCCAGCCTGGGCAACAGAGTGAGACCCTGTCTCAAAAAAACAAAAACAAACAAACAAAAAAAACCCCACACTGTCAGCTGTGTTTATTATCTCTGGAAGGTAGGAAGTAGAGGAAGCTCTTATTGAGGGTTGCCCAACACTCCATATTGATGGTAGTAGTAGCCAGAGAGTAGACCCTGCTAATGACACCACTCATCAGCAAGAACACAGCCTGGCACTCTGTATTTGGTGTGAGGGAGGGGTCAGCTGTTGCCGGATCCATGACTAGTGGCTACATACACTTGGGAGACAGCTGGGATAAGATGAGAATCTGTGGTCTTTGAACACAGACAAGCATCTTTGCCCACCTTGGGGAGAAATGCTTGCTGATGGAGTCCTTAGCCTTAGAATGCATGGCATCCTGACTGGATAAAACATTCAGCCTTCAGGGCATACTTTACAGAACACAGTCTCACACTGACTTTGCCCTCTCTCCCAGAGAGGACAGAAGCAAGAGGGGGAGGGAAAGCAGGGGTGAGCTTTAATCTCTGCTACCTGTCACTTTGCCCTATTTTTCTAACTTGTTTTCTCTCATTATGATCCAGCTGATCTTTTCCCCTCTTATATGGCTTTGCCTGAAATTTCTTGCATTTCTCTAAGGCTTACTAAATCCAATTGTCCACCAATATCAACACAAAATGAACTGTGCCCATATTTGCCCTTGGAAAGGATTGTATTAACTATATTTTTAAATTTTCTGTATTCTTCATGCTCTGGTATCTGGGGTCTTGCTGACCTAGGAGGGAATACCCCTCCCAGAGTTAACTAATTCCTAGAGATAGTGAAGGACTTGCTGGAGAGCATGCTTTTCGTAAGCAAGCTGACCAATCCAGAGCCCACAGCTCCCCACCTCCTCTACTGGGCTCTCAAACTCTGAACTACTCTCTACCTGCCTTAGTAATCCCAGGGCCAGGAACCAGACAACTAGAGACAGCCCCTATGTCCCAGAGCCTGCTGAAATTATCCCAACTAGCCAATCCTAAGCCTGCTTACCCTGCTCTGCCTTACCTTCCTGTGGAAACCACAATAAAACTCTTACCCATGTTTTCCTGCTGCTCCCTCTGCCTCTTGTCCTATCCTGGTGCTTCCCCATGTAGCCCTATGTGCTGTGTCCCCTTGTTTATAGGCATCTGTGAGTAAAAACCTACTTCATGTCAGCCATTTCTATGTCTGTGTGTCTTACCATACCTGATTAAAACAAATCCCAGGTACCTTTTTTTTTTTTTTTTTTTTTTTGAGATGGAGTCTTGCTCTGTTGCCCAGGCTGGAGTGCAGTGGCACGATCTCAGCTCACTGCAAGCTTCGCCTCCCAGGTTCACACCATTCTTCTGCCTCAGCCTCCTGAGTAGCTGGGACTACAGGTGCCCGCCACCATGCCCAGCTAATTTTTTGCATTTTTAGTAGAGACAGCGTTTCACTGTGTTAGCCAGGATGATCTCAATCTCCTGACCTCGTGATCCGCCTGCCTCCGCCTCCTGAAGTGCTGGGATTACAGGCGTGAGCCTGCTATTCAACTGTATATCAAAGGATGATATTTATATTTATTATAAATACTTTTATTTTTAACAGATTCAACACACACTCTTTGTACATACTAGTAATTCCTCAGGAAGACAGAAACTAGTAGATAATCATTCATTAATTAATCAATAAAATCCTATGCTAAAAAAATCCCTCTATGTTGTAAGCACATTTGTGATCCCAGTTGCAATCCATTCATTATGGCATTCTGCTAGTGTTTTGCTGATTAAAACACATTCAGGGACTTGTCCATTCTCTGTAGGCTCAGCTAGGCCCTGGGGCCAGTGGCAGGACCCATGTTGAGGGATGTGGGCTTTGCTTAGTCAAAGTCTCAATGTCTCAGGCCCCAATGTCGCCTTGGCCTCACTTCCTTACCTACCCTATCCAGGAGTTCTGGATCTACTCAGAAGGGTGATGCATAAAAACTCATCACTGGCTCATGCCTGTAATCCCAGCACTTTGGGAGACTGAGGCAGGCAGATCACCTAAGGGCAGGAGTTCGAGACCAGCCTGACCAACATGGAGAAACCCTGTCTCTACTAAAAATACAAAATTAGCCAGGCATGGTGGTGGGTGCCTGTAATCCCAGCTACTCAGGAGGCTGAGGCAGGAGAATCGCTTGCACCCGGGAGGTGGAGGTTGTGGTGAGCTGAGATCATGCCATTGCACTCCAGCCTGGGCAATAAGAGTGAAACTGCATCTCAAAAAACAAACAAACAAACAAACTCATCACTTTTTCTTTTCCAACTCCTAGATATTTGTATCGTTGTTTTTTTTCTGCTGGACTCAGGTCTATCATTTTTACAAAGCTGCTTCTGGGAGACCATCCCGGCGCCTAGCCTAGCTGGTTGCCAGGCAGTAGGAAAGTTCTTCCTTCCTGCATCTGGACAAAATCCCTCATGTGGCAGTTCATGCCCTTCTTTCCTTGTTCCGGCCTCATTGAGCTGGACATTGCTATTCTTCTTGTAGAAAATTTCCACAGCCTTGCACACTGTTATTTGTTCTTCTTCACAATAAATCAAACAGATGGCTCCATCCTTTCCTCACAGGTCCTATTTTCTGGCCTTTAATCATGTTTGTTGCTTAACGTTGGCCAATCCACTCTGCAACCATTTGTCTGAGACCTCTGCAGCTGAGGCTGTCGACGGTCCCTCTTGAACGCATCAGGGTTCTGGGGTTTGATGAGCAATCGCTCCTATCAGTGGGCTGGATATTAAACAGCTGGGGCTCTCTGCAACCACTGCAGGGACTTGCCCAGAAGTCAGGGAAGCAATTTCAGAGACAAGAAGCAATTGCTTCAAAAACTCCAACTAGTTCCCGTGATGTGTTCTGTGACTGAATACAACCCAGTGATCGAGGGAAGGAACTGGGTTCTGTGTTTCATATACAGACTCCGTAAACTTCCCATTTTTTCCCACTTATATCACCAGCTTGCTCAACTGGGGACTGTCACGCAGGCTAGGGAGTGTGGACCTTCACAGAACCTTTCCTCTACCTGCAGATATTAAACAGCACATAAAACCTAACATGAAGGCTGGATCCAGGCAGAAAGAGGTCTTGATTATTTCATTAAACACTTACTGTACATGTGCCATGTGCCTGGCACTGTGCTGCCTGCAGAGGTGTACACAGAGATGCATAAGAGCCATACCCTGTACACCTGCCTCATACAGCTCATGGTCTAGCAGGCCAACAAATGCATGTGAATAACTCCTTATTATCCAGGGCAGACTCTGAGCAATGCTATAGCAGGGGCATATTATTAGTATTCAGGAGGCAGTCCAGAGCAATACAAGATTAATTCAGTGTAGGAGGGTAGGGGAGGGCTTCATGAAAGGATGAGATATTTGAAATTAGTCTTGTATTCATAATGTCTTTTTTTTTTTTTTTTTTGAGATGGAGTCTCGCTCTGTCGCCCGGGCTGGAGTGAAGTGGTGCGATTTTGGCTCACTGCAAGCTCCACCTCCCAGGTTCATGCCATTCTCCTGCCTCAGTCTCCCGAGTAGCTGGGACCACAGGTGCCTGCCACCACGCCCAGCTAATTTTTTTGCATTTTTTTTTTTTAGTAGAGACGGGGTTTCACCGTGTTAGCCAGGATGGTCTCGATCTCCTGATCCTGACCTCATGATCCGCCTGCCTCGGCCTCCCAAAGTGCTGGGATTACAGGCGTGAGCCACCATGCCCGGCCCATAATGTCTTTTACACCATAACTCCTTTTAATTCTCACAACTACCCAACGATGGGAACAGGCCGGGATTATGCCTGTTTGTCAAGTGAGACATCGGGACCCAGAGAGGTTAAGTGACCTTTCAAAGGCCACACAGGGAGTAAGCAGCAGATCCATGTGGAGCCTGTCTAAATCTGGGAGGAGCATTATGCTATCTTCTCAGGAGAGTAGCATGGGTCAGAAGATGCTGCACTGGAGGCTGGTTCTCCCAGAAGATAGAAAAGTGGGTTTGTGCACTGAATAAGGGGGCCTGGCTCAGCCTGAGAGTTTGCAGAGGGGCCCCTCATCCTGGCCATCAATTGTCTGCATCCATAGTTTGGTCTCCTCCAGGAGAGCAGATCCTTTCTACCAAACAGCCTCATCCATCCTCATTAGCACATGGTCTGCTACACTCAACAGCGTGGCGACAGAAATCATCACTCCTTCTTCGGCGTCTGCTTCTGTAGGGCTCAGAGCTCACTCCTTGGGATATTGAGCTTTCTTTATTCCCTGACAACACACCCAGGGGAGGGGAGAGTGAAGAACAAAGAGAGAGGAGGAACATTACTATCAGAGCCCACCAACTAGCTTTGCAAGGTTGACTTCTTTTCATCATTTCATTAAGGTAACATCACAATAGGCAGACATGTTCACCACCTACAGATGAGAAAACCGAAGCCTGAAGAAGTTGCATTATCACCCAGAAGATACTCACTGGTTGGACTTAAGATAAGTCTGGTGAAGTATTTAAGGCAATTCTTAACACATGGTAAGTGTAAGACCCTGTTTTTTCAGGCATTCTATTTTTTTTTTTTTTTTTTTAGACAGAGTCTCGCTATGTCATCCAGGCTGGAGTGCAGTGGCGTGATCTCGGCTCACTGCAACCTCTGCCTCCCAGGTTCACGCCATTCTCCTGCCTCAGCCTCCTAAGTAGCTGGGACTACAGGCACCCGCCACTAAGCCCGGCTAATTTTTTGTATTTTTAGTAGATACGGGGTTTTACCACGTTAGCCAGGATGGTCTCAATCTCCTGACCTCGTGATCCACCTGCCTCAGCTTCCCAAAGTGTTGGGATTACAGGCATAAGCCACCGTGCCCGGCCCAGGCATTCTCTATTTTTATGGAAGGCATCTATCTATCTCATCTGTCTTTTTTTTTTTTTTTTGAGACTGAGTCTCACTCTGTCACCCAGACTGGAGTGCAATGGCGTGGTCTCGGCTTACTGCAACCTCCACCACCCGGGTTCAAGCGATTCTCCTGCCTTAGCCTCCCAAGTAGCTGCGACTACAGGTACATGCCACCATACCCAACTAATTTTTTTTTTTTTTTTGCATTTTTAGTAGAGACAGGGTTTCACTATGTTGGGCAGGCTGGTCTCGAACTCCTGACTTCGTGATCTGCCTGCCTTGGCCTCCCAAAGTGCTGGGATTACAGGCATGAGCCACCGTGCCCGGCCTATCTCATCTACCTTTATGGAAGTTAATGAGAAACTGGCATTTCCCTGTGCAAGGAAAGCTTCTATTCCAAAAGACAGATTTTAACCTGTGTTGTAACTGTCGACTGCATGGGTGGTGGTGTAATTCAGAAAAGCTTCCTCGGGAAGACTGAGGATTGATGGATTAGGATCAACAGTAAAGGAGAAGGAGTGCAGGGTAGAGATGAGTGGCAGGGACACCACTGGGGAGCTACGGAATGGGTACCAGGGAGGGCTGCATGCATTCGAAACGCTGGGGCCCTTTGGAGACTTTGGGGCATCATAAATATTCAGTTGGTCACCATGCATATTCAATGAGGCAGAGATTTGCAGATAGGCTCTTGAGAGAGCTGGAACTGACAAGGGGGACTGACTTCTTTTAAGAATCTCCCAATATCAAGGGAGCATACGGCACAGCAGAGAACTGGATGAGATTGTAGGTAGTGGCAAAGAGCCAGAAGCTTCGATGAAGGGAAGTGGATGAGTGACAGCCTACAGGAGCTGAGGACCCTGCTAGAAAGACTTGAAAAGCATCCCCCAGTTGAATGGCCAGGGTACACAGTGGAATTGTGGGTCTTATTATTTCTATCTGTGTGTAACACTCTATAATCTCTGGGGAGTTTTTCTTGCTTGACAGGTTCTTATAAAATCCCAGAAATATAGCCCTAAAGAGAATATTTGAGACAGCCTCCAAGTCCTGCAGTTCTTCGTGTGCAGAGGGGGGCGGTCCAGCCCTGGTGAGGGCTAAGGGCTCAGGTCCCCTCCCACCTCCGACAGCGTGGCCTCAAGGTCATTTGCTTCACTTAGGAGGTTCAAAGAACTATTTCACTGGAGGACATGGCTCTGCAGCTACAAAACAAAATGTGTGAAAACCAACTATCTTGTCTGAATTCATCATCTTATGGATGTAGATGCCTGGAGCTAGAGGAGGGAAGAGTCTTAAGTTAGTGGCAGAATCCAGGCTAGAACTTAGCTGTGCTCATACCCAGGGTCCAGTTTCTGCTTATTTCTGTTTGTGAAGGAGACTGCTTATGGAACCAGGTGACTGTCGGCACACTGAGTGCCTCTGGAAGGCACTTAGGAAGAGGAGAACTCCCCTGGGAAGTCACAGCCCCAGTGAGCAAAATGGCTCCCTCCACCAGGTGCCTCGGTGCAGAGCACAACCGGTATGACCATCCATATCAAGTAACAGAGGTGGGTTTGGCAGGGCCCATGTGCTGTTGGTGTATCCTCCTCCCTCCCTCCGGTCCTCCGTCTCCCACCACTTTTTGAAAATGTGCATTTAGTAAATGCCTCCTGCATGCACAAGGATGCTTTCATGACTCATCTCATAAAGAATGCCCTTGGAAAGGTAAAGCGATGGGTTTACATTTACAAAGCGCCTTTCTAACCATGACAATTTTAAATTGTTGGGAGGACAGGTCTGGGTGCTGTTAAGACAATATGGACTTCCATATATTTGAACATCTACGGTCAAACCTCAATCCTTCACGCACCCTAGAAGAAAATGCACTCATTTTAGTATCAACAGGATTTGGAGAATATCTTAAAATGATGTGTATTGCTTTGAGTGCAAAGGTACTCCCAAGAGCTTTTCGATGACCAGAAGGGTTTTCGATGGCCAGTAGGTAGTGCACCCACTGCAGATACAAATAGTACCCAGCGTAGTGCCCTGCTGTGAGGATGTCGCCTTCTAAAATGGAATGTGACCCCTCTCCCATGGTTTCTGTGCAAATTGGGGGTGTCAGGGAAAAGGAAATGCTCAGCGGGGTGAGAACCTTTACTCCTGGGCTCTTCTGGGAGCAAAGTGTGAAGGGTCTGTGTTCTGTTCTTGTGAAGAGTGCCATTTGGGTGTGACGCTCTCCACGCTTGTACACACACTTCCACGCTTGTACACACACTTCCACGCTTGTACACACACTTCCATCTGTGCAGACTCAGTAAATATTTGTGAAAGGAATAAACAGTTTTGTTCTCCTAAGAAGGCTGGAACTCCTCTTCCATGAATTTGCTTCCATCATTATTATTTTTAGTCTCACATTTACATCACGTTTGCTGTGTGCCAGGCATTGTTGTAGGTGTTCAGCATATGTTGACTCATTTCAATTCTAACCTTATGAAGTAGGTGCTATTATCCCATATGAAATCTCCACAAACTCCCTCTCTTTTATTTTATTTTAAATAAGGAGTACAGGATGACATTGCATTGAGTCATTCATTCATTGAACTGTTTTTTTTGTTTGTTTGTTTGTTTTGTTTTTTTGAGACAGAGTCTTGCTCTGTCGCCCAGGCTGGAGTGCAGTGGCGTGATCTCGGCTCACTGCAAGCTCCACCTCCTGGGTTCACACCATTCTCCTGCCTCAGCCTCTGGAGTGGCTTGGACTACAGGTGCTCACCACCACGCCCAGCTATTTTTTTGTATTTTTAGTAGAGACAGGATTTCACCCTGTTAGCCAGAATGGTCTTGATCTCCTGACCTCGTGATCCACCCACCTTGGCCTCCCAAAGTGCTGAGATTATAGGCATGAGCTACCGTGCCCAGCCCATTGAACATTTTTAAAGCACACCTGCTATGTGTCAGGAACTGCTCCAAGTAGGAGTGACAACCAGGATGAGTTCTCTGCTCTGAAGGTTCTCCCATTTGAATCGGAAAGAAATAGATAACAAATGAGTGAACAAATGTCTATAAAAATAACCCATTTGGATAAGCGCCATGATGGACATGAAGGGCCTTTGAGAAAGTGGCATTTAGACTAGGGCATGAAGGAGCCACACGCCTGGAGCACAGAGAAAAGCATTTCACAGTGCGGGCAGGGTGTCCACAGGCCTGAGGTCTGGGATGGCTCAGCTTGGTCTGGGAACTCACAGGAGGCTAATTGACTGTGCAGGACAATGAAGAGGAAAGTGGAAAATTGGCTGAGTGTAGCCATGGGCCAGAATGCAGAGTCCTCTGAAGGCCAAGTACAATGGGATGTCAATGGGAGGCTTGAAGTAAGGAGTTATCTGATCAGATTAATGTCTGAAAAGGATCACTTTGCCCGCTCTGTGGAGAACAGGCTGTAGGAAGAGGGTGCAGAGAGGATGTCGGATGTGGGCAGAGAGGATGAACAGTAGCTCCTGAAGAAGCCCAGGCGAGAGATAACGGTGACTCACTTCAAGGAGGCTGCAGTGATGATGGAGGAGGAGGGAGCATTGGAAGCTATAGTTTGGAGGTAGAACCTTGAAGATGTGCAGAAATAGATTGAATATGGGGAGTAGGAAGAGACAGCGATAAAGAATGATTGCCAGGTTTTGACTTTAAAAATCGAATGAATGAGACGCACTCCAGAAAACAGTTTAGCTTATTGGTTTATATAAGCCAACACGGATTACTGATTTAACTTATAAAATTAAACATAAACATACCATAGGACCCAGCAATCCCTCTCCTAGATATTTACCCAAGAGAAGTGAAAATTTACATCCAAACAAAAGCTTGTACCCTAAATGTCCTTCAGTGGGTAAATCGATAAACAGAGTGTAGTACGTCCTAACCCTTAATCCCTGGCAACAACTGATCTGTTCTCTGTCCCTATAGTCTGACCTTTTCCAGAATGTCATATTAATGGAATCATAAGTTTGCAACCTTTTGAGACTGGCTTCTTGCATCTCGCATAATGCCTTTGGGATTCATCCATGCTATTGTATGCTTTGATAGTCTATTCCGTTTTTGTCGAGTAGTTTTCCAGCAACGTTCCCACCAAAAGCTAATTTTAATGTATGTAAGTTTAAAAATAAATTTCAAAAATATTTTTAAGTAGAAAAGAGAAAAGAAGTGAGAGGCAGAGATGAAAACTAATGGAGTGGATAATTTTGCTACTTTCTGTGATGGGTAAGATGGGAGAAGGCACAGATTGGTGAAATAGTGGGGGAAATGAAGAAGCTATATTTAAATTCCATTTATTCCAGTTTGGTAGGCTTGAATTATGCTTAAAAGCAGGTTGGGTTAGGCAGTAAGTAAGCACTGTCCCGCTGAGGGTCTCTGGAAGCAAGGACGATAAACTCCTTGAGTGAGGGGAATAGGGCAGGATGAGGGGTGGGAGACAGAAGAGCTCAGGTTTCCCGAAGCTGCTGTTGCTGCTGCCTGGACCTCAGGCTCTCTTCTACCAAGTGTCTGTTCTGTGGCCAATACTGTCTTGGAGTCAGCCTGGAAAAATGACCTTTTAGCATCCACAATGGATCATCTATGATAATCTCTTTGTAGGTCTCACCCTGTTTAGGGACTGCTTTCAACATCCCTGGGCCTCTTCCAAAATCATGAGCATTGATTAATGAGTCATTATAAGAGGGGAGGAAAGGCTGAAAGGAAATTAATGCCAATGCCTGTCTGTTCTCCAGTCCTGAGGAAAGCTGAGGAATGTTTCCAAAGACCTGGATCCGGATTGAGGGTGGGGAAAAGGGGAGAATATGGAGGAAGAAGAGGAGGAGAAGAGGATGAGAAGGAGAGGGAGGAAGAGGAGGGGGAGAAGGGGGAGGAGAAGAAGATAAAGTAGAGGAGGAGGAGAGGAGAAAGGGAACTCAGAGAAGTAGTCGTAGGAGAACAAGGAGTAGAGGAAGAGAGTAAGAGGAGAATAAGAGGAGGAAAAAAGAGAGGATGAAGGGAGAAGAGAAAGAGGAGGAGAAGGAAGAGTAAGAGAAGGAGGTAGAGTAGAGGAGGAGGAGGGGAAGAGAGGAAGAGGAGAAGGAGGGGAGGAGAAAGAGAGAGGAGAGGAAGAGGAGAAGGAGGGGAGGAGAAAGAGAGAGGAGAGGAAGAGGAGGAGAAAGAGGAAGATGAAAAGTGGACAAGAAGGAAGGAATGCTGTGAGATTCAGTGCCAACCTTTCAGGTTCTGGAGCAGAGATCTCATTTGCTCATGGGATTTTTGCCCCCACCTGTGTCTGCAGCATGAAACACAGAGGTGGTGATCCACTGAGTCACTCTAATTCCTTTTATCTGCTGATGAGGAAGCTGACCTTGAGTCACCTGCTGGACTCTATGTACAATCTACCATTGCCATTAAAGAGAGGAAACAGGACTGGGCTTACATGTATGGTGTTTGCATGGGATGTGAGCACATGGGGGACAAAGGTTTCCTGAAAATGCCAGAAACACAACCATGAGGATTGTGCATGTAGGGATACATACAGAACACATAAGCATCCCACAAAGAAATACTGAGAGGACATGCAACAGTGCTATGCACCGATATCCCCAGGAGACCTGGATTAATTGCTTTCTCTCTTGCAAGCTGGCCCTATCTCCACCTACCATGCCTGGCTCTACGTGAAGAGCCTCTGACCACTGCTGGAGATAAAGCTTATTCTCCATGTCCGTGGTCCTGTCTCCTACACAGAGCCAGGCATTGCTGCTCCCCACTGACCTTGTCAAGCAGTTGCACAGTGGATGAGCAGGACCTTGATGGTAAACCACAGACTTTCAGAGCTAAAGGACCTTTCTGTTGAGTTCAGCCTGCCACATCTAAGGATTTCTTCTGCAATCTTGAGTTCAACCTGCCACATCTAAGGATTTCTTCTGCAATCTTCCTCACCGATGGTCAACGTTCCTAAAGCTTGAACATCTCTGGAGATGGACAGCTCATGACAGCACAGGCAGCACACTGCAGAGATGGCAGCTTTGATGGTCTGGAAGTCTTTCTTATATTGTGCCTCACCCTGCCTCTGTGCAATTTCCACACACTGGGCCTGGCTCAGCTCCTGAGCCAACACGGAGCATACCCACCCTGGGATGTGGGAAATGTGCATTCGTGTTCATGTGGCAACTCCAATGTCGCCTCTGTGGACAGGAGAGGTCCTGTCCAACCACTCTATCAGTCCTTGTGTTCCTTCCCCTGACCGGTCATTCCTTATCACACTATCCTGTTTGATTTGCTCAGGCCACCTATCATATTTAACATTACCTAGTTACTTAATTACTTGACTATTTTCTGTCGCCCCCAACTAAATGTAACCCCCTTGAGAGTATCCACAGAACATATAAACGTTTCTGACACATAGTAGATGCTAAAAGCTTTTGTCGGATGAATGAATGAATGTACATTTCTTATCTCTAACCTCTTCCTCCTCCATAGGGCAAAGAGAATAAGAATTGAAAAGGCCAGTTGGATGTGGTGAAGTTTTAAGATAGCACTTTGTGTATTGTAGGGAAAAATATGGAGAGCCTATTGAAGGGGGCAGAGAATGGATGGAAAAGATGGGAGCAGGGGCTGTGGGTAAAACCACGCATTTGAGATGCCTGGAAGAGTGGGAGTGGGGAACTGGTAGCACAGTGACCAGCAGGGTCAGCTTCCTCATTTCCCAGCTTCTCCCGAAGCCCCACAGTCTGACCTCTTTCCTCTTGTCACACATAGTGAGCCTCATCATGGATAATCTGGCCAAATCTGTTTTTTTTTTTTTTTTTTAATTTTCTATTTTCCCTCCTGTCCTGGTCTACCTTGCTCCTTATCAGAGAATGAAAAAATAATGTTTTCAACATAAAATAATAAAGGCTGACAAGAAACCTGGACCCAGCGCTTGAGGGGCAAGGTTCATGGTGTCTCAAGAAGAAAGGCATGATGAACTGCAATAGGCTTCTGTAACCATCGACCAATTGGTTCTTCTTTCTCAAAATTCTTCCTTCCTTGGTGCGATTTCCTGGATTATTTATATTTTGGGTCTTGTCCTTCTCTCTTGGATTACTCTGATTTTTTTTTCTTTTCTTTTGGATGGAGTTTTGCTCTTGTTGCCCAGGCTGGAGTGCAATGGCGCAATCTTGGCTCACTGCAACCTCTGCCTCCTGGGCACAATATTGGCTCACTGCAACATCTGTCTCCTGGGTTCAAGTGATTCTCCTGCCTCAGTCTCCCGAGTACCCAGGATTACAGGTGCTTGCCACCACACCTGACTAATTTTTTGGTATATTTAGTAGTGATGGGGTTTCACCATGTTGGCCAGGCTGGTCTCAAACTCCTGACCTCAGGTGATCCGCCCACCTCGGCCTCCCAAAGTGCCCGGATTACAGGCGTGAGCCACTGCGCCCGACCTTGGATTACTCTTTGTTACGAATTGAATTCTGCCTCCAAGAAGATATGTTGAAGTCCTGACCCCCAGTAACTCAAAATGGGAACTTATTTGGAAAGAGGGTTCCTGCAGATGTAATTAAGATGAGGTCAAAGTGGAGTGGGGTGGGCCCCTAAATTCAATTTGATTCATGTCCTTATAGGAAGAGATCCGGCTGGGCATGGTGGCTCAACGCCTGTAATCCCAGCACTTCGGGAGGCCGAGGCGGGTGGATCACGAGGTCAGGAGATCGAGACCATCCTGGCTAACATGGTGAAACTCCGTCTCTACTAAAAATACAAAAAAATTAACCAGGCGTGGTGGCGGACGCCTGTAGTCCCAGCTACTTGGGAGGCTGACGCAGGAGAATGGCGTGAACCCAGGAGGCGGAGCTTGCAGTGAGCTGAGATCGCGCCACTGCACTCCAGCCTGGGCGACAGAGCGAGACTCCGTCTCAAAGAAAAGAAAAAGAAGAGATTCATAGGAGAAAACACCATGTGAAGACAGAGACACAGCCTTGTGTGAAACATCTATCGCCAAGGAAGAACGAGGGTTGCCAGCTGTCACCAGAAGCTGAGACAAAGACGCTAGGCAGATTTTCCCTTGGAGCCCTCAGAAGGAACCAGGTGTGGAGGTTTCTGGCCTCCAGAACCATGAGAAAATGAATGTATCTTTTTGTTAAGCCACCAAGTTTGTGGTGCTTTTGTACAGTAGGCTTAGCACACCAAGACACTATTTCTTTCCTTCCTTGGTTGATTTCTCTTCTTCCTCACATGTCCTGTCTTCATTCACCTGGGATTTTCCCACTCCATCCTTTCAAGAGACGCATCATTCATTCCTTCAGTGTCTCGCTCATCTCTCTAAGTCTTCCAAGCCTCAATTTTTTTCTTTTTTTTCTTTTTCTTTTTTTTTAATAGAGATGGAGTCTCGCTCTGTCACCTAGGCTGGAGTGCAGTAGCACGATCTCAGCTCAGTGCAACCTCCGCTTCTCAGAGTCAAGCAATTCTCCTGCCTTAGCCTCCTGAGTAGCTGGGACTACAGGCACATGCTACCACGCCCAGCTAATTTCTTTGTATTTTAGTAGAGACGAGGTTTCACCGTGTTGCCCAGGCTGGTCTCGAACTCCTGAGCTCGGGCAGTGTGCCTGCCTGGGCCTCTCAAAGTGCTAGGATTACAGGCATGAGCCACCACGCCCAGCCCCAAGCCTCAATTTCTATTGCTAACTTTGGCCCCGACTTCCTACATATCATTCATGTCAATGCTTCATGTACCTTTCAGACTCAATGTGTATCATACAAAAATCATCTTGTCCTTTCCCCACTTGTTATCACCTTAAGACTGCAGAACAAATATAAAAGTGGGGAAGTGACAAGCATAAAATATAAATATAAAACTTTTACTTAGGGAGTAGAACATAGAAGTCAAACATTTCAGATCTGGGAGAGGAAAAGAATGACAGTGGCCCATGGTAGAAAGTGGGACGTTTGGAAACAGAGCTGGGCTGAAGAGACAAGATGATTTTTTGCTCAGACAAGACGGAGTTTTGCTCTTGTCACCCAGGCTGGAGTGCTGTGGCATGATCTCAACTCACTGCAACCTCCACCTCTCGGGTTCAAGCGATTCTCCTGCCTCAGCCTCCTGAGTGGCTGGGATTACAGGCACTCACCACCACGCCCGGCTAATTTTTGTATTTTAGTAGAGATCAGGTTTCACTATGTTGGCCAGGCTGGTCTTCAACTCCTGACCTCATGATCCACCTGCCTCAGCCTCCCAAAGTGCTGGGATTATAGGTGTGAGACACCACGCCCAGCCTATTTTCTTTTTTCAGAGGCAGGGTGTTACTCTGTCACTCAGGCTAGAGTGCAGTGGTGTGATCACAGCTGACTGCAGCCTCGATCTCTTGGGCTCAAGCCATTCTCCCACTTCGGCCTCCTGATAGCTTGGACTACAGGCATGCATGCCACCACCACGCCCGGCTAATTTTTTATCTTTTTAGAGCCAGGGTCTCACTATGTTGCCCAGGCTGGTCTAGAACTCCTGGCACAGGAGATTCTCCTGCCTTGGCCTCGAAAAGTTCTGGGATTACAGACTTGAGCCACCACACCCAGCCTCTTTATCGTTTTAAAAGATTAAGCCCGCCCCAAAGAGCACTTGTGAGAACTAAATAAAATCATGTAGGGGAAGTTCCCAGAGCTTAGGAGATACTCCATAGATGTTAGCTCTTCCCTTTGCTTCCCCCTTTTCCCTTGTGCTCCCAGCTCCCAGGGAGATTATAACAAGGCAGTTATTATATTTTCATTGTGTGCCCTGACATGCCAGGTCCTGGGTGAGTCACGATCGACTGTCACATCAGAGAGTCCAGCTCGTCTCTACAAAGTGGAATGCACAGTTGGCGGCGAGGAACTCCACCACGGAGTGCCCGTACCCACTGCCCCTCCAGCCCTGCCCACTGCTGTCTGCAGGTTGGACAAGCTTCCACTGGCTTATAAGCCCCTGAGCTCTGTACCAAGCCCCCTCCCATACATGTGGGGTATTTCCTTCCATAGCAAAACATGCCAGCCACCAAACAGTTGGGTTTAGAATGGAAGGAAACGGGCAGAAACTTCATTGAGGAGATGATGACAAAGCTTATGAGAAGGCTTTAATGAGGCAGCTCTGCTGTCAATCCATCCGAGTGAACAAAGCAGGAATCTGTCAAATCAGCAAAGGTATTATACGTGGAGAAATAGAAAATGACTGCCTCCTCTCTGAAAACGTTTAGCTGGGTGTGGGGTAGAGGGTGGGACACAATAAAACCAAACCTGTGGAGGCTGAAGTAAGGCGAGCTGTTAATGAATCTGGCATTAAAAGATCTGTGTTAACTCAAGGAAGGTGGCTCCATTCCCAGGTTTGATTGAGCCAGTTCCGGGAAGCTGTGGGGGGTCTTCTCTGAGGTCAGCAGCAGTTAAGCTAAAATGTTCAACCACTCATTATTCCCATAGATTACACCATGTTCCCCATAGTATTTTGGGAACTCGACAATAGCCTCACATTGGGTGAATTAGTCCAGCCCTGAATTTCTGAGATCATCCTTAATTCAGAGACTACCTTCTTATTTCTTTCTTTCTTACCTTCCCTCCTCGGAAAACTGTGAAGACTGCAGGTTACTCTGGTTCTGAAAGTCATCCTGACACCATTTCTTGTGTTCTAATGTGTATCATTTGTTAAACACACCCATGGCTTTAATGACACCTGGAGATAGCTCATTGTTATTGAGGCAAAAGCAATGGTTCTGTCTTCTTTGGAAGAAACAAGAAGATGCCTGCTCTGAGAAAAGACAGGTTCAGGAGATACTCTTGAGAGTTTAGATAGGAGGAAAACCACAGAGAGAAGGTTCTTAGTGGGGCAAAAGTTGAGGAATAAAATTATACTTGTTTCTTGGGATGATTAGACTGAAAGAAATAGAATATTCCATAAGCCCTATCTTGCTGGCTTCTCCCATGTCTGTGGGAGATGAATAGGTACATATCACTCCTGTTTCCAGACAAAGAACCCACAGCTCAGAATTTAAGTGATGTGCACAAAACCACAAAGGCAAACACAAGATGAAAAATTTTCTGGGCTCCAACCTTGGAAGCTGGGCCAGGAAAAGCCAGATCAGGTGGCTGGTCAGAGATATCTGGGTAGAAAAAGAAGGATGAATGGTTTCCCAGGTTGGACATGGCAGGAGGAGACCATGTCTACCCACACACCTCTGCCCAAAGTCAGATTTCATCTTTTCATGTCTGCAGCAATTTCTTTTCACTCAATATTTGTCTAAGAGTATTTTGCTGACAGCTGCCTTTCTGGGGAGAAGTGTTGGGAAATTGGATTAGAAATGTTCTATTCTAAAGGTCAGAGCCACAGTAATTAGCACAAACAAGCTTGAAGAGGGGCAGCCAGAGGCGGCAGGGCCAGAGAGCTGCTGTGTCTTCGTAGTTCCTAAGGCTCTGAGTCTGTGTCTTTGAGGACGATTCCACCATAGATGAAGGTCTAGTGTGTGTGGTGTGTGTGTGCTTCGTTCTATGCATTTTGATCACATGTAGAGTCATGGGACTACCACCAAAGTCAAGAAACAACAGTTTCATCCAAGTATACTGCTTTGACCTACGCTCTTCCCTCTGCATGCAGAGTCCTCCTTCACTTGATCTTCCTTGGTTTGGATAACTTTTGTGCCTCTTTCAAGACTCAACCCACACATCATTGCCTTTAACAAGCATGCTGCGGTGGCTCAAGCCTGTAATCCCAGCGCTTTGGGAGGCCGAGGCGGGCGGATCACGAGGTCAGGAGTTCAAGACCAGCCTGACCAATATGGTGAAACCCCATCTCTACTAAAAATACAAAAATTAGCTGGGCGTGGTGGCACCTGCCTATAGTCCCAGCTACTCAGGACGCCGAGGCAGGAGAATCGCTTGAACCCAGGAGGCAGAGGTTGCAGTGAGCCAAGATTGCACCACTGCCCTCCAGCCTGGGCGACAGAAGGAGACTCTGTTTCAAAAAATAAAAGAAAGAAAGGAAAAGAAAAGCCTGCTCTGATCTCTTGCCCACTTGTGGAGGCCTTGCTCCCGGCCCCCGGGCTTCCAGTGATTACCTCCTTAGAGCTTTCCTTGTTTGTTTGTAGTTATTACCTCCCCTACCCTGTGACTGTCTTATGGTCAAGGACAGTGTCTTTCAGATCTCGGCATCACCAATACTTAGCATAGTGCTCGACACTTAGTAGGAGATCAACCATTGTTTACTGAATAAGATTGGATTTTATAGAGAATAATTGTCTCATGGCCTACAGCAAAACCATACACAAGAAAAGCTATCGTTTAATTAGGATTTAATATACTTGACTAATACTGATATAGTTGCATTGCTAAAATACATTAATATTTAATTAATCTGAGTTATTTTGCAAGGATATATGTGTGAGTGTGTACAGTGACGGTTTGCATGCAATTTCACCTCTTCTTTCAGAAGTACTAAGTATATGCTGCAGTGGACTAAAGGTTTGTGCTCTCTTGCCCCCAGTTCAGATGTCACCATTCTAAACCTCAAGGTGATGGTATTAGGCAGTGGGACCTTTGGAGGGTAATTAGGTCATGAGGGTAGATCCCTCATAAATGAATTACGGCCCTCATAAAAGAAGCCGAAAAGAGCTCTCTTGCTTTTTTCTGCCATGTAAGGATATGGAGATGTCAGTTGTCTACCACCGGGAAAAACGTCCCTGATCTTGAGATGCTTTCCTAAACATTTACACTAAATTTTGCTTTAGTGTCACATCCAGCTTCATCAAAGGCCATCTTTTAAAAGTCACATGAAAATCACCTCTCTACAGCTGCATTTTCTAGAAAACAGTCACTCAGTGCCTCTATATAACTTATCTGCATGGTACAATAACATTATTTTAGAATTTAGCATCAAGAAAATTGTGATCTCCTCTGTGGAACTTGTAAGCTTCTCTTTCTGATAGCCAGATGTATACAACTGACCATCTTTTTCTTTTTGAGATGGTTGCCAGGACGTTCAGAGTCCCATCTGAATCTTGTTTACCAATTGTCAATCATTCTGTTAACTGTTTGGTGACCTGTATATCTTGAGAGAATTATAAACCATTGTTAAGTAAATAAATCTCGGTTCCTTCTTTCCTTGGTGTAAGACTCAGGGAGTGGCCTATTTGAGAAGGAGCTCCATCCAGCTAGAAGCTTCTCCTTTAGTGATTTTAGATTTGGGGCTCAAATTATTATTATTGTTGTTGTTTTCATTTTTGTATTTTGTTTTTGTCCAAAGCATCTGGATTCACATAGCCCATCCCTCTGACCCCTGGTGAGTGACCTGTACTGGAGCTTACTTTGGACTGCTCTGGTGGACCCTGGTCTCATTGAAGGTTTCTCCATAATCCCTCAAAGGGAATTTCACATGTGCCATATAATGTGGGTGAAAATTCCTTATGGGTGTTTTCATAAAATATGGTAACAGCACAACAGACAAAAATTTAATTTTCTCCTTCCTTTCTTTCTTTTTTTTACTTTTATTTTTTATGGAGTCTCACTCTGTCACCTAGGCTAGAGTGCAGTGACACGATCTCAGCTCATTGCAACCTCTACCTCCCGGGCTCAAGTTATTCTTGTGCCTCAGCCTCCTGAGTAGTGGGGACTACAGGCGTGTGCCACCACGCCTAGCTAATTTTTGTATTTTTAGTAGCGATGGGGTTTCACCATGTTGGCCAGGCTGGTCTCCAACTCCTGACCTCAAGTGATCCACCTGCCTTGGCCTCCCAAAGTGTTGGGATTACAGGTGTGAGCCACCGCACCTGGCCTCTCCTTCCTTTCTTGATCTTGATCTTTCTATTCCTCTTTTATTTCTCTGACTTTATTTTATAAATATCACTTATGGTGAAATGCCTTAAATCCTTTACAGACAGAAAAAAAGATCTCTATGTCCAGCTCTGACCAGAGACATCAGATAGCATATTTTTACACATTCATTTTCTCAGTATTTATTCTGCAGATATTTATTGAGCCTTAAACTATGGACTAGACACTGCTAAGCACTAGGAATATCAGAAGTAATAGCACTACTTCTACTTCTATTTTTAATAATCTTAATACCACTACTATTACTACTACTACTAAGAGGTAATATAAGCAAATATTCATTGGGTGGTTACTCTGTGTGCCAGACTTTATATGACTTAATCTCTTTCAATCCTCACAATGATAGCACCATAAAGTAGATGCTATTATTATGTCTAGTTTTCAGATAAAGAAACTGACGCACAAAAAGTGTATCTAACTTGTCTACAACCATGCCTCTACTCAGCCCCAATGTCTCCAACCCTGTGAATCTTGCCTGATCTTAGCCTCCTTCCACTCCCTTCAATGGGCAAAATAGATAACTCCCTTCTCTTTGTTCTTGGAACCATTTTATCTTATTATTGTTTCTTTTGCAGCACAAATCATAATATATTGCAATTATGTGTTCAGATGGCTAAGAATTGCCTTGGCTTTCAGTCTTCTTGAAGACAGAGACACACTTCGTTATCTTCATGTTCCATGGGCCCACTCTTACAGAGGGATGGATGTGCAAATTCCTACTCATACACTTTATGTTGAGATGTGCAGCCTTTGACTGAAAGCTCAGGCAGCTGCGAGAAAAAAAGAAAGTCTTCAAATCCCAGGGGTGTCCTTCGAGACTCCTGAAGACAAGGCTTCTCAGGCCGGGTCAAGTACGTGTGTCACAACTGTCAAATGCAACCTCCACTCAAATACCTAAGACTGCCAGGGGGAGAGAGAGCAGCAGACAGCGTAATCGTTGGCCCTTCACCTTCAACTCAACTTTAATCTAGTTCTTGGCTTCCTTTTTCTGCTAAGAACTACCAGGATGGACAGGATTTAGCCCTATTTCATTTCCCTCCTTGCCTGAGCTCTGGAGGAAGTGCTAATGAGCAGTGGCTTGGCTAAAAGGAAGGCTGCAGAAGTCAGGTGAGACATCATTAAACTGGACGCCCAAGGCCAGCCCAGTCCCACATCACTGCACTGCCTATACTGTCCATCTACATGCCCAGGGCCCTGCAGCCTTATGGTCCACAGCCTTCCTCCCCCACTCCCACAGGTAGTGAGAGCTTTATCTATAGGAGCATCCTGTCCAAAGGCAAACTTAGATCACTGGAATCTATTAGCATAGATTCTACTAGCAAACAGTGCTGAGTCTTTACTGTGAGCCAGGCACTGAGCTAAACATTTCACATGCTATTTTGTTTAATCCCCACAACAGCCTTCTAAGGGAGGTACCATTATTAGTCCCATTTTCTGTTCAGGAAACTGAGGCTTAGAGGGGTTAAGTACTTTGTCTAAGCTTGTGAAGGCTGAGCTGGGACTGGAACCTGAGACCTGCTTTTCATAGCACAGTGCTTTCTCTGCCGGTCTCTCAGAAGCAGGGCTCTGATGGAGTGACAGGAAGGATAGATAGGTGTTTTGGAGGAAGTGAGGGATGTGAGGGAGAGGGAAAGGCCAGAAACCTAAGGGTCTCGATTGGCGGGTAGACCCAAAAGGATCAGGTGCTCACTGACTCCAGGCAGGGTGATTTGTTGCTGGCAGCCCAGCATTCACTTACATTCATGTGCCCATAAGTCTGAGACTCCACTTCTTTAGCTACAAAACAGGGACAACCATACTAAGACATGATAGTATTACAAGTGTCAAATGCCAAAATGTTGGTGAGCAACCTCAAAGCATGGCACCAGGTCTGTGAGGCTGATGACAGTGAAGAAGGCTCTATACACCCAGAAAAAGGATAATGGAAGACAGAAGGGCTCCACTAAAAGGAGAGGGGCAATGCTGCAGTTTTCCTGCTTCCTGGCTTTGCCCATGGCTACCTCTGAGGAGTTGCTCAGGACACTGTGCTTGTTAGGAACAAAGGGCCTCCAGCACTCTCTCATTTTGCAAAGGTGAAGTGTCTGCAGAGCTGCTCACTGCTCACAGAAGGCCCCCTTGGAAGTTTCAAATAAGTAGTTCGCAGCGCTGGGTCAGTGCCCTTCGTCATGGCACCAGACACAACTCAAGGTCCATCTGAATGAAGTTAGTGGGAAAAAGTGGCAGGATGCTGGATATTCCTCAACTTAATGCAGGCAAAAAGGTCTAACACTATGAGCCTCATAGTGGGTATAAATACATTTTGGGCTTCAATCTCAAATCTAGAACTATCTTTTCCTCCCCACTCACTACTAACAACATCTTGTAGTTCTCAGTAGAACTGCAAAATGGAGAGTAATTTTAGTCTTTCTTTTCCTGATTACAGATGTTTAAACTAAAAGTGACTCTTAAAATGTTTAATGCCATCTCTCACTGGGTTCTCACGAAGCATATGTTCTAGTGTGTCTACTGATGAGCATTTCATTCCTGATGGAGATGGCTCATTCCAACTGAGGACAGCTTAGATGGTTTCACACCTTCCTTATGCTAAGTCATCCAAGTAGATTCATGTTCCTGATGGTTCTAGAATGTCCAGTCTCACCTTAAAAATGAAGCAGATTCACACTTCTATCCCCAAAGCCTTATATTTTCAAACCTTCCCATTGCAGGTGGTTTGAAATCTGTTCTGTTTGCTCTCCTGATTTTGTTTACCATGTGTTGGCTGTTTCAGAGAAATCAGCCTTTGGACTGCCCCAGTCTACGCCTTTAGCCTGGCTTCCTGACAGCAGAAGAACTGAGAAGGGCTTGAGATGGGCCTGGAGTTGAAGTCATGGAGGGAAGAAGGTTTTTTTTGTTGTTGTTCCTCAGGAGAGGCTGATGCTCTGTGAGAAGGTGGCAGTGAGTGACTACCTTCTTTTTCTTCTTCCTTCCTTCCTCTCTCTTCTCATTTCCATGGATGTCCTCTCTACTTCACCAAGTCTTTACCTTCCTCCCTCCTTTCCTCTTGCTCAGCCATTTCTCTTGGTCCCAGGCTATCTTTATCCCACCTCCTCTCTCCCATCTCTCAATGGAACTGTAAGAAGAGCATGGCTGGGAGTGTCTGCAGTAGCAAGGGGCCATACCCACATCTCCTATTATTAACTCCATTTGAATGTTGGAAGCAGGCCAGTGATAGCAGCGGTCACAGAGGTTGTGGTGGTGGTTTTGGCAGTAAGACTAACAAGAGTCTCCATGCATTATGTAGCTATTACTTGTCCTAGATTATCCCCGATTTAATTTCTCTAAGCATCCGTTTGCTCATCTACATTGGATGATGGATCATCCAATGTAGATGAGCAAACGGATGCTTAGAGAAATGAGGGCTTGTCCAAACCTGTGGGACAGGCAAGTGATAGACTAAGAGTTAGCCCTAAGGCTATTTGGATCCAAACAGAGAATCCCCATTCTCTGTCCCATACTCCCCTGGTTCTTCATTCACTCCCGGGGCAAGGCCAGATGCAGCAAAAATGCATGGAGGAGCAAGGTCAAAGGTGAAAGCAGGAATTGAGGACTGGTATGTTCTCTGGTTACAAATTGGATTTTCCTCTATACTTCCTTTATATCCCCTCTACTCTCCAAGAAACTCTAAAAGTCACTGGATGGCTTTCATTGTTGGCTAAAGTTTGATGCAAATTATGAAGTAGCAAACATTTCCTTCTGATTCCTACCAATCTTCTATGTCTGCACTTTTTAACATTTCCCACAGCCTCTAACAGACAGGAAATACCTGTAGGGCAGCGTCCTCATCTTGGTCTTTCTTGTTTCTTGGGGACCTAGTACAGTGCTCAGCACTAAGCAGGTTCTAGATAAATATGGAATAAGTGAATGAATGAATGAATTGAATTAACTGTGTTAGCAGACCCAGGACCCTCAGGCTGCCTCCTGTTTATTTGGGGTGCACCCTACTATTCCCCACCTGGGTTGTCTTTCCCTTTCCTCCACCAAAGTGCAATTAGGGTCCATCCCCATAGTATGTTGCAAATTAAAATAGAGAGTGAATGTCCTCTCTTCTTAATAAAGGGACAAAAAACACGAAAAGAAAGCTGTCATCAAGACCGTAAAACTCTCTCCCCAAAGCGCTAAAAGCACTAGACCAAAAGAGAGACAGGAAGAGGCAGAGTTGCATTCAGAAGTTTTCAGGAGCAAGCATGTGATTACTTAGAAGAAAGGGAAGAAGAGGGTGGAAGGAAGGACTTATGTTTCTCAAGTTCTACTAAATGCAGGGTAATTTTTTTTACCTGCTTTATTTATTTGATGTCTCCGTCTTGTAGATGGCATTTAGAATTAGTTGGACTTAGTTACTTAACTTGAGTAACGGTGTCAGTTGCTTAAGGTCACACAATTAGTAAGTTGTAAATTCATGATTCAACTTGGAAATGCTGGACTCCACGCTACCCATTTTTCCCCCAGAAGTCTAAGAAGCCATTAGTTTTTGAAGTTTCCACGCTTGAAGTCTGTGACTCTTCACTGCTGCATGCTAAGGCTTTCCAATGTTACTATCTGAGCAGCATGGCTTGGGGGAAGGCTGAGTGCTACTCAGAAGGCTGGCCCCTGTGACAACTGCCCCCCACCCGTAGATGTACGTTATTCTAGCATTCTGAAGTGGACACTACTGATGACCCACCCAGAGTCCTCCGACCCCCTTGACCGCATCTATGCATTCCTCTTCGAGGTTACATGTGCTTTTTTCTCCAATGCACAAATGTGCCTTTCTTCTTTGAAGGATTTTCTTGGGTGTAAAAAACTGAAAATGCTTGGAAATTGATGTCCCTCAGGCATACCCTTAGCCAATGACTGAGGTACAGGAGTAGGAGAGCCCAGCCCCCAGGTCAGCACAACTCTGAGGTGTAATTAACTCCCCAGAACCCCCTGTAATATCAGTCCTTGGGGCCACTGCTTGAATCTTTATATTTACTTCCCGTCTCTTTCCCTGCCCTTCATCCTTGCTCTGCTTCCCCTATTCCCTTACCAGTCTCCCCTGAGACTTGCTATAAATCAGCTGCACATGAATCTTCGTCTTGGGGGAACCCAATCTTGCCATAACTCCTACCGCATCATCTGTGACTTAGATCCCTAAAGGTGAGTCATACTCTAGCCCATTGCTTTCCAACAGGATTAATTAACAATGTCTTTAAAATAGAGTGAGTTCACTCCATAAGGTTATTGTTATGGACTGAATTATGCCCCCTCAAAATTCACGTGTTGAAACCCTAACTCCCAGTGTAACTATATTTGGAGATAGGGCTTTTAAGGAGGTAATTAAGGTTAAATGATGTTATAAGGGTAGGAAAGTCTGATAGGACTGGTGTCCTTATAAGACACAGAGCTGGTGTGCTCTCTTTCTCTCTCTCTATCTGCCTCCCAGCACAAACAGAGGAAAGTCCAGGGGAGCACATAGCAAGAAGGTGGCTGTCTGCAGGTCAGGAAGAGAGACCTCCACAGACACCATCACTGCTGGCACAGTGATCTTGAACTTTCAGCCTCCAGAAGTGTGAGAAAATAAGTTTCTGTTGCTTAGCTCCCCCAGTCTGTGTTATTTTGTGCCCAGTCTGTGTTATTTTGTTATGGCAGCCCTGGCAAACCAATACAGTTACTAATGAAGCACTCTAGGTTTTTAAACATAATTTGATGTTTAATGTTTGGATAAAAGTGAGGATGCAAACATGGTCGAAATAGTTTAGTTTGTGAAAATAATGCTTGGGTCAAAACAAGTCATGAAATAATTAGGAATTAAACAAAATCCATGTACCAAGCATCTGTCCTGTACCAAGAAGGCAATGAGTAATATAGCAATGGGCAATGCAAAGTGCTGGCCCTCAGTTGGCAGGGTAGTATGAGACAATCTTGGAGAAGGAGTGGACAATAAGTCTGGCATAAATCCTTATCCACCCTGACTCAACCTGCCGAGGCTCAAAACATCACCATAAGCAGTGACATTATGGTTGGAGTCATCTGATCGCTATCTCCAACATCATCATCACCAGCCCCACCTTCATCAGCAGTGGCCCTAGCTGCAGCCCCAATGTCGAAGAGACTCTGGTGAATCTCCCCAGGGATGCCTAGGCTGTGTTGGTTGCTCTTCAAACCAAAACCACCACTACATCTGCTTACAAGAACCTTTTACGCATTGGGACACATGCAATGGAATAAGAAAATGAGTCAGAGAAACACATGGCATTAAAGAACCATGTAAGCACCAGAGTGCAATGTGCCTCAGGAGCTCTGTTTTGAGAACTTGGAAAAATAATGGATTGTTTTCTACTTATTTGGGGAATCTTCCTATCTGACTGCTAAAGAGCCCTACTTACTGTTCCATCCCTCCATGCCAAGCATGCTCATGGAACAGAGAACAAGTGTATCAACAACTTGAACCTGGGATAAAGAGCAAAGAAAATGTGTTACTGCAAAAACAAAAAATGCTGCACTGAAGTTCGTCACAGTAGCAGGCACTTGTGATATCCCACTTCTGATTTCAGACACTGTTATGAGGGGACAGTTCCCTGCAAGTGTAGGCTTATGCTGACCCGTGATCCACTTCGAGAATGTTCTGTGTTTATTTCCTGTTTATGCCTCACTCTCAAATCCCTGGGAGTCCTCTCAGTCCTCATCCAAAGGCAGCCTGGAAGTCTGAAAGTGAATGGTCCTGGGGCAATTCTCAGCAACAGGGAGGTGACCAGCCTCTCATCCTTCAGGGCATCAATTAGATTCTGCACACTTTCCAGAGGTCACGGCTCATTCAAGACCCTGTTGTCTACAGCAACAACCTTGGCAATGCAATCCTATATTATCTTTGTCTCTTTCCTTCTCACTCTTGCATCTCCCTGTCCCTCATTCCTTCCTTGGAATAAGCTTTCTGCACCCATGTCTCTCCCTCATCCTCTGCTTTCAAGGGAATGGGCTAAGACAGCCACTATTAAGCAACACGTGATATACACAGGAGCCTAATGATTTTTCTCCCAGGCCTTTTAGCTTTAGTTGGGTGGTAGCCATAATTTAGACAGCCATTGATGAGTTTTGCCTTTTGGTTGAAAAAGCCACATTTCCAATAAGGGTATCACTGAGTTAAAGATAGAATTTTACCACTCTATTAGGCTCTTCAAAAGTCTAAAATAGAATGCTTTACTAAAACAACGAAGTAAAGTAAGTTATGGATAAGTAATATTCACTAGCATTGGGATTCATCCATGTGTTTATACATTCAACAACTATTTCTCAGTGTCTACTGTGATCAGCCCTGAAGATATAGTGAAGTTCATGAGAGTGCCTCCCCTCATGGTGTTTAAAGTCGAGCAGAAAAAGCACATTAAACAAGTAGTTAAATCGATTAGTATGAGTACAATCAAGAAGAAATAAAGGGATGCTGTTAAAGTGAATAATAGAGATCTGATAAAGAATAGGGATGTGGTGGAGTCAGAAATCCATAAGTAGTTGTGAATTAATATTTCCAAGAGAATAATATAACTGTACAGCTGATAGAAAACCACAGGGATACATAAACAGAAAGGTACAAGCCAGTGTCTGTATTAGTTTGCTTGGGCAGTCATAATGAAGTACCAGACTGGGTAGCTGAAACAAAAGGAATTTATTTTCTCCTAGTTCTGGAAGCCTGGAAGTCCAAGATCAAGATACCAGCAAAGACAGGTTTCATTCTGAGGCATCTTCTCTTGGCCTGTATAGACTGCCATCTTGCTGCGTGCCCACATGACCTTCTCTTTGAAAGTGCAAGGGGAGAGGGAGAGACAGAGAAAGAAAGAGAGGGCCCAGACCCAAGAGGATTCTTTCCCCCTGGAAGAGCTCCCCAGGCATTCAGCCTATGGCCCTTGACATTCGGTTGCAGGTTACCCTCAGAATCAACATCTATCCTGAGAAGCTCTGGTGTTTCCCCAAGTCTGCCTATGTATTAGATACTCCAATCAATGCTAACACAGTTTGGTTTTTGAGGGAAATAGTTTTGTCATAATACTACATCCTTCTGTTGTTTTTAAATAAAAAGGAAAAACAAAAAGAAAGCCATCCATCAGGTAAAGCGATGGTGCATGTTGGCCTGATGCTTTATGAAGTTTTGGGAGGTAAGCATGGAGGCACCTTAACACCAGTTTTTGAGCAAAATTTCTAGAAGCTGGTTTAGAACTGCACAGCTATGGATACACTTGATGAAAACTGCAAAAGGCTATGACAGGCCCAGAAATATGACCAGCAACCCCATGAGCCTTTGGGGCATCCGAAGGAATTTGAAAATGATACCCCCTTCAGATGAACAGTAAAAACCAAGGTACTGGAATTCTCTTTGTTCTGTCTGGCATTTGGGGGTGTCCAAGGATCTGTGTTTTTTAACAAAGATGACTTTATGACTGTTCTAAGGATTGAACAGATTCCTGCACAGGGTGCCAGGTTTCAAGTTATGTCCTCTTAGTATAAGCTCTGTTTTCTGAATCTAAACCTATTTGCATTGTCATTTCTAAAAATCTAGTAGGCTTCTGGGTACTGTACAGATACTGAGGACAGATATAATTGTGTAAATTTCATAGTATTTTATTTTGAGGTGAGACTTTTGTTATAGTTTATAAAAGATATTTTCCTGTTCAGACCTCAGGGCTACTTAGGGACCTACAAGTAAATGTGATTCCTAGCAGCTTCAATTTTTGATATTCAAAAAGTTAATAATCTTTAAGTTAAATATAATGTGATATTATTCAGCAAAAAGAATGTTTTTCCCTTTTAACTTCTAACAAATTCTTATGGTTAAAAAAGAGAGAGAGAGAGAGGGAAACAGAGAGAGAGAGAAAGACAGAGACCACACTCATAAGCTCTCAAGCCTCTTTTTTTAAGACACTAATCCCATTATTAGGGCCCCACGCTTGTGACCTCATCTAACCCTAATTATCTCCCAAAGGTCTCATCTCTTAATACTATCACTTTTGGGGTTAGGACTTCAACATATGAATTTTGAGGGGATACATTTAGTCCATACCAGTGCTTCTTCCAACAACTTTTAACTGTTTGCCAATCTCTAAAACCCGTGAAATAGGCTAAGGTAGGAAGATTTAGAAATGTGGTCATACATTCTCCCTTCCCTGTCCTCCGCTTTGGATATTTCTTTGCATTTCAGATTCAAAGACCATTTAAATACACTAGATGATAGAGACTAGAACAGTGTGTTGGACAGAAACATCTTAAAACATAAAAGAAAATGGTAATAGGTACCAGTTAAATAACACATAAAACTTATATGTCTTATGTAAGTCTCTCTTGTACCTAGAGAAAAACTCTAAATGTGACACAAGGGACACCTGAAAAAACTAAAAAAGAATTTGTCTAAACTTAGTTGCACCTCTTGTTTTATGCTCAGAAACATGGGAATGCTATCTTTATAAATCTGTAAAAGTAATTGATTTTAGGGGCCGTCAAATGGCTGGGGAGATCATGCCAAGGACAGCGTGCACTGGTATTAGACACCACTCCAAATATGAAAATAACACAGATTTGTGAGAAAATTAGGGAGGAAAAATATTTAACCCAGGTGATTAGAAAAAGTGTTGCCAGCCAGGCGTGGTGGCTCACGCCTGTATTCTCAGCACTTTGGGAGACTGAGGTGGGCAGATCATGACATCAGGAGTTCAAGACCAGTCTCGGCCAACATAGTGAAAGCCCATCTCTACTAAAAATACAAAAACTAGCTGGGTGTGGTGGCACGCATCTGTAATCCCAGCTACTCAGGAGGCTGAGGTGGGAGAATCACTTGAATCCAAGAGGCAGAGGTTGCAATGAGCCAAAATTGTGCTACTGCACTCTGGCCTGGGTGACAGACCGAGACACAGTCTCAAAAAAAAAAAAAAAAAGAGAGAAAAAAGAAAAAATGTTTCCAAACAAGGAGTGTCCTGGGATATACCGCATGTGGTTCTGGGCATGCTGCGGGCAATGTGCACTGATTCTGACCTCTCACAACCATTTTTCCTTCTTTGAAAACAACCTCCTGATTTCATCTTGGGAAATTACCTATTTTTCCTTTGATGCAGTCTTGTTTGGATGGCAGATCCCCAGGTAAAGTCCCTAGGATGCTCTCCTGGGGCTTTGCATCTTGAGTGGAGTAAGCAAACAGCGGAACAAGGATGGGTGAATGTCATTCAATCCATCAGGTCTCTCTTACAAGTGGATTCTCTAGAGTATCCAGGGTCCTGAATGTTTCTAAGCCAGGATTTTAGATCATTTTTTGGAGGTTTTCTGAATGTAAACTTTTTAAAAAATATATAACAGCTGGGTATATACCCAGTAATGGGATTTCTGGGTCAAATGGCATTTCTAGTTCTAGATCCTTGAGGAAACGCCATGCTGTCTTCCACAATGGTTGAACACACACATGTATGTTTATTATGGCACTGTTCACAATAGCAAAGACTTGGAACCAAACCAAATGCCCATCAATGACAGCCTGGATAAAGAAAATGTGGCACAAATACACCATGGAATACTATGCAGCCATAAAAAAGGATGAGTTCATGTCCTTTGCAGGGACACGGATGGAGCTGGAAACCATCATTCTCAGCAAACTAACACAGGAACAAAAGACCAAACACTGCATGTCCTCACTCATAAGTGGGAGTTGAACAATGAGAACACATGGACACAGGGAGGGGAACATCACCCACCGGGGCCTGTCGGTGGGTGGGGGGCTAGGGGGAGGGATAGCATTAGAAGAACCATTTGATGTAGATGACGGGTTGATGGGTGCAGCAAACCACCATGGCACATGTATACCTATGTAACAAACCTGCACATTCTGCGCATGTACCCCAGAACTTTAAGTATACTAAAAAGATATATATAATAGCTGTATTGAGATACAATTCACATGCCATACAATTCACTCATTTGAAGTATATGATTCAATGGTTTTTTGTGTATTCACAGAGTTGTGCAACTGTTACCACAATCAAATTTAGAACATTTTCATCACCCACAAAGAAACTCTGTACCCATCAGCAGTCACTCTCCATTTCCTCCTGCTCTCCAGCCCCAGGCAACCAATAATCTACTTTCTGTTTCTATAGATTTGCCTATTCTGGATATTTCATATGAATGGAATCATACAATACGTGGGTTTTTTTTTTTAATACAACACTGGCTTCTTTCACTTTGCATAATGTGTTCAAGCTTTGTGTCTGTTGTAGCATGTGTTGGCACTTCATTCTTTTTATGGGTAGACATATGTTATTGTATGAATGTAGTATATTTTATTTGTCCATTAATCAGTAGATGGATTGACACAGATAAAGTGGTTTCTCCCCTTTGTTTTTATGAGTTATTCTATGTCCTCCCAATAAATTCCTTCTCTATTTAAGTTAGGCAGGGTCAGTTACCATTGCTTGAAGCTAAATAACTGTAACAGATCAAATTTTCTCTATAACTGCCCATATAGAACATATATTTCAGATGCAGTGGCCCTAGGGTTTAGGTGGCACGAAGCCCTGTGCCTCATTCAACTTCAGACTTTCTTTATAGGACTTTCAATGAAGTAGGCTGAGTGTAAACATCATGGCAGCAAAGCAGAACTTACAGATAATTGAGCGTTTTGACTGTTGATTCAACTGTCCCATTCTCACTGACTCAGAGGAGTCCACCCTACTGAGAGTTGCAAGAGAAAAGCTCATGGCCAACAGCAGAACCCATCCTATGCAGAAGCATGAAGTCACAGAAATCCATTTTTATTTTTAATCCTTGTGGCTTCCTCTCAATAAACCATTCTTCCACCACCATCTCAATGCTTTTATCCTTTCTTCTCTGATCTCTCAACTTCCATTTTCATGGAAGAACCCAATATTGGTTTTATAAACCTTCAGGGTGAGTTTGAATCTTTTTGTTCCCTCTTACAAGCAAATTTGCTTTTAGGATTCTAGTGTACCTGAAGAGCACTCTGCTAATGGCAAGGCATTTGGCCTCAGTTTGTTACATCTATATAATGGGAGTGTGGGGGTGGTTGGACAGGCCAGTGATGTTTCAACTTTTCTTAGCAACAGAACCAATTCTTCAAGTGCTATCATAGGTGGAAGCCAAAACACAGGTGAGCCCAAGGAAGAGCTACTCTGTTTTTGTTTTTGTTTTGTTTTTGTTGTGTTTTTAACTTAGAATACCTAAGTCTACCTTTCAAGGGTACCCCATGCCCGGGTGTGTTTGTAGACTGAATAACTTAGGTTTAAGGAAACCTGCTGTTGGAGAAACAGGGAACGGATAGCTCTTGGACAAGATCAATCGCTACAGTGGGGTTTTCTGAAACATGGGTACCAATTCACATGCTGGAAGTTTGAAGAAGGAATGGATCTGAAAAATATCTTGGACTTAAGAGATTAAAGAAACAAAATTAGCAGCTGGCAGTGTCCACAATATCATTTCCTCTAGAAGGATGCTTCCTCCTTGGACCATGGGAAAAGCTAGATTCGGTATGCAGTTGAAAATATTACATCTTTTACTCAGTTGGTATACCTTCATCTTTGAGCAAAGTCTAAGGCAGCCACACAAACCTGTGTGGTGGTGGGTGTGGGTAAGAGGGACAGAGCCATAAAGGGCAGCTCTTCCTGCTCCACACTCCCCTCTCTGCTGTTTCCTGTGTGGAGGGTGCAGCTGTCTACCAAGGGGACTGTATCCACCTAGGAATTCTGGACAGTCAGCAGCAGCGAGGAAGTACAATCCTCAGTGGCATGGAGGAGAGTGGGGAGACATGAACAACCAGAAGAACAAGCTGCTGGGCTGATGACTCAGGGGGGACATGAGAAGAGAATCCCGTCTTTCCGACGGAAGAAGATGTGGGAAACTCATGCCAGGTGGCATCATAATCTATGCTTCAGTCCCTCCCCAGATTATCCCAAACCTTGGCACCCCAGCCCTGTGTCAACCAGTCCCCAGCCCAGTGAGGGGAGACTAACTTAGCAAATGCCCATTCCAGCCACAAAGGCTCCTCCGTGACAAGCTGCTCTGATGTGAGGATGCTGCTTCCGTTAAGCCTCTTTCAAAAGCCTCGTGCTGTGCTATGTGTGTCAGAACAGGCTTGGGAAGGGATAACACTTCTCCTGCTCTCTTTGTGTTCTTTGCTGTTCCAAAGTAAGAAGCATTCAGAATGAATGAGGCAATGGGGTTCACACCCTACCTCTGAGTAATGCTGTAGGTGCCTCTGGTTCTTATTATGCCCAGGTGCATCCAGAAATAGAAGTCGGTTGGTAGGCAGACACCATGGAGCCCAGGTCAGCCAAGGTAAAGGTGAGCCCTCATGCTGCCATAAGACATAAATAGGGCTCTCTTGAGGCAGCCTCTACACTCCCTTACTCCCTTCTCCTTCGTCTTCAGTGATACATCAGTCAGGATAGGGTGGATTATGCTGGAGTAACAAACACCTCCAAACCCCCCATGACTCCAAACAACAAAAGTTGATTTCTTGTTCGTGCAACATGTTCATTGTGGATTTAGCAGAAGGCAGGATGGGAGCATCTGTTGATCATAGTCCCTCAGAGACTCAAACTTTGCTGGTGCCATGCCAGGGGCCTCTTAAGGGTCTTGCGGTAAAACACTTGATCCTGGAAGTAAGACTTCAATTCTACTCACAACACATGGGCCACAACCAGTCTCGTGGCCTCGTCCAATCACAAAAGGGCCAGAAACTGCAGTTCTCCTATGGACTCAAGAGTGGGGAGAACCAGAAACGTTCAACAAATGGCCCTAATGACTAAAATCGATGGAAAGAATGTAGTTTTAGGGTCAGAAAAACTCTGGCTTGTAATCTTAACTCTTCTTAGCTGTGTGACACTTAGCAAATTATTGAAGTCTGTGATCCTCAGTTTCCTCATCTCAAAAGTGAGGAGATAATACCTTCGTTGGGGCATCTACTAGTATTTACCACAGAAAATGGGTCATTGACAAATGTTAGTTCCCTTTCTTCCTTTTCCAATTCAAATACCTGATTGTAGGTAACTATCTTGATGGCCATGATGTAATAATCACTTTCAACCTGAAGGCTAAATGCAGATAAAGTTTAAAGTTTATTGTTTTTTTTTTTTTCAATTCCTATGAGGGATATTTGATTGACTGATTGATTGATTGATTGGATTTATTTATTTATTTATTTTTGAGACGGAGTTTCACTCTTGTCACCCAGGCTGGAGTGCAATGGCACAATCTCAGCTCACTGCAACCTCTGCCTCCCAGGTTCAAGCGATTCTCCTTCCTCAGCCTCCTGAGTAGGTGGGATTATAGGCATGCGCCACCATGCCTGGCTAATTTTTTTTTTTTTTTTTTTTTAAGTAGAGATGGGGTTTCTCCATTGTTGGTCAGGCTGGTCTTGAACTCCCAACCTCAGGAGATCCACCCGCCTTGGCCTCCCGAAGTGCTGGGACTACAGGTGAGAGCCAAGGCGCCTGGCCGGATATTTGAATTTTAATGGGTAAAAAGTTCAATTGGACAGATGGACTTTGAACACTATGGGATGAAACTTTCTGAACTGGCTCCTATGGTTCCCTCCCCCAACATTAACACCTGTGTGAAATGCCCTCCCACTGAATGTACCTTGTGACTTGCAAAAGTGATGGGATGGCACTTCTGAGATTAGGTAATAAAAGACCGTGACTTCCATCTTTTTTGTATTCTCTCTACCTGGCCCTCTCTCTTGACCACTCTGACGATGCAGCTGCCATGTTGGAGGGGCCCATGTGGCAAGGAACTGAGGGCAGTGTCCAGATAACAACTGGCAAGGAACTGAGATCCTCAGTCCAACAGCCCACAAGGAACTGGATCCTGCCAGCAAACACTGAGTGGATTTGAAAGTGGATCCCTTGGCCGGGCACGGTGGCTCACACCTGTAATCCTAGCACTTTGGGAGGCCGAGGCAGGCGGATCACGGGGTCAGGAGATCCAGATGAGACCATCCTGGCTAACATGGTGAAACACCGTTTCTACTAAAAATACAAAAAATTAACCGGGCGTGGTAGTGGGTGCCTGTAGTCCCAGCTACTTGGGAGGCTGAGGCAGGAGAATGGCATGAACCCGGCAGGCGGAGCTTGCAGTAAGCAGAGATCGTGCCACTGCACTCCAGCCTGGGCGACAGAGCAAAACTCTGTCTCAAAAAAAAAAAAAAAAAAAAAAAGAAAGTGGATCCTGCCCCAGCTGAGCCTTCAGAAGACTGTAGCCCCAGCAACTGTGTGATTGCAGCCCTGTGGGAAACCATGATCCAAAGGCACACAGCTAATCCATATCCAGATTCCTGACCCAGAGAAGCTGTGAAATCATAAATGTGTGTTGCTTTAAGCCACCAAGTTTTGAAATAATTTGTTATGCTGCAATAGATAACTAATACAAACACTACTGAATGCCAAGCATTCTGCTTAGCGCCGTAGCCACAGATGTGTAGAACATATCCCTGCCTTAAAGAGACAACCTTGCTATCACCACCCAGTCCTCATGCTCAGCCTCCCTCCTTCAAACAAGGACAGACCTTGCATTAAATCTGGTGTGGCCATGCTCAGAGTGGGCCTTTTCAGGACGTACGTGTTCCTCCTTTGACTGCAAATTTGCTCATGCCGAACTCTGCCTTCGCCGTTATAAAAGACTGAGCACATCCACATTTCTCATCTCCATTTCCAGTTCTTTGATCAGAGACAATTTGGTGTGGTGCTTAAAATCACAGATTCTGTCATCAAGCTTGGTCCCATCACTAATTAACTGCGTGTCTCTGGGAAAGTTAACTCACCTCTCTGTGTTCAGCGTTGCTGTGTGTAAAAGGGGATAAAATAGAACTTGAGATGTGAGAGGGTAAAATGGGCATAGTCTAGTGTAAAGAGTGTAGCCCAGTGGCTGGGAGATGGGTAAGTGCTTAATAGATGTCAGCTGTCACTAATCTCAGACTTCATGCTTCATTCTACATGCAGAGTGTTTGTCTGGTGAGTATCTATACTCTCTCGTTGCTATTCTAGTCCCAGCAATTACACTCCATCTAAATTAGTAGACTAGGGGCAGCTGGAGCCAAGAATGGTCACAATTCAGTTCAACTCTATTTATGAGCTGTCCCCTCGCCTCCACCCAAGAACAGGGTGCCATGAATCCATGCCAGGCATTGCATGTGAAATTTTTTTTTTTCTATTCATGTGGTGGATTTGGGTTTTCTGTCCTCTCCACCTCCTTTTGGCCCTTATACCACTCACCTTTTGCGGGAAGCAAGTCCTTTAGTACATTAATCCACCTAAGTAATGTCATAAACACAGCCCATGAGAGGCAAGTTGTGCAGAGGATATTTTAAGTTAATTAATTAACTAATTAGTTAATTAACTTGAGGATGTTTCACCCTGAGCAGTGAGGGTCTAAGGTGAGACAGGTCTGGCCAGTTCAGCACTGAGGGTGTCGGTATAATGGTTTGGGATGGAAACTGGCAGAATAAAGCTTAGGCTGGAAGGTGGAGGAGTGGACAAGGGAACAGGAAAAGATATGAAAGAGGAAGGGCCGGGCGCGGTGGCTCACGCCTGTAATCCCAGCACTTTGGGAGGCCAAGATGGGCGGATCACAAGGTCATGAGTTCAAGACCAGCCTGGACAACATGGTGAAACCCCGTCTCTACTAAAAATTCAAAAAATTAGACAGGTGGTGTGGTGGGTGCCTGTAGTTGCAGCTACTCTGGAGGCTAAGGCAGGAGAATCGCTTGAACCTGGGAGGCAGAGGTTGTAGTGAGCCGAGACTATGCCACTGCACTCCAGCCTGGGCAACAGAGCAAGACTCTGTCTCAAAACAACAACAACAACAACAACAAACATACGAAAGAGGGGTTGTTCTGGGTGTCTCTGACCGAAAGGCACCAGAGAGGAACTTTAGAAAAGTTTTGCATTACCCCCAGGGTTCTGGGGCACATTTCTAATTTATAAACATAACACTAAGTTATTTCTGGTTTTGTCTTTCCAGTACCTACAGGGGTGGAGACAGGATGGCAACGTGATGTTGTTATTGTTGTTTTCTGCAAAGAAGGGTTGTGGAAAAACAAGATGGAGAAGGTGAGAAAATGAAAGTGGAAGATCTGGAATATCTGGGTCAATGGATAAAGATGGAAGGATAGAGAAAGGCTTTCTAATCCTCCCCAACTTTCCATGTGGTACCCTCCCCGCAACTTCCAGAATTATTTAACACCGTGAGAGTCGCATCCAACAAATATTTGTTGCTCATTGATCATGTAAAAAATCTCTATTTACTCTAAATTTATTAAGATGTTTATCTAGACGTATTAAGTTTTGAGAGTGGTTCAAAAATAAATATAATATTTTCTTGCAGTGCTGTGACAATAAATGGTTTACACAATCTCATATTCTATTTCCAACAGAGGTGCTCTGGGCAAAGTTGTCTGCCTTACACAGCATCAATCTCTGTAGGTGTGTACTGCACCCATCATCTCTTGCTAAGACATCATGCTTTACCTTCTACAAATCTACTTAACTTCCTCTTAAAGCACTTACTTTTCATTTTTGCTATTGGGGAACATCACATGGTTCATACTTGCCATGATTATTCTCTGTCATTCCAATTAGAACTGCCTTTGACTGATTCTAAAACTACATCTTTCAAGCTACATAAGCTCCTGCCTAGCTCATGAATGCTAGAATTGTGGCTAATAGATATTTATTCTTACATGGCCCCTTTCTATGCTTAGAATGCTTGGCACTTTTAGGATTTCCCTTTCACCTTCTGTCACTATTTAAGAAAAAGACTGAAATTCTTAGACTGTCCTTCTTGGAGGGTCACTCATGTTTTTGCTGGTTGGTGAACATTTGTTTTTGCCATCTAATATCCATGCATCCTTTTTCTGGTAATCACTTCCTGGTTTCCTTGTGGGAGGTAACACTCACCCTTACTCTTAGCTTATATGGTTGAGGTGAATTTGTGCTCATTCCACAGTGGGAGCATGTTCAAGGCTCAAGTTGATCAGTGCATAGCTCTCCCCTGTCTACAATGAGTGGTTCAGTGTTGGGCTTAGGACTCTATAAAAGCTAAGGAGATACAATGGGTGTTGCACTGGGGCTGCAGGGGAAGAGATTTTTGCTTTTCTTGCAGTACAAAAAACTTAGGGGATTTAAGGTCTGGAGCTGCCATTGCCATCTGGCTACAACCACCATCTGGCTTATCACATGATGTCCGCGAAGAAAGCCAATGTAACTGAAGACACAGTACAAAATATTTTTAAAATTACCTGAGGTTCTTGATAGTATTTTTGAGGTCCAAATCTAGTGTTGCCTAAAACTGGATGTAGCCCTGAGGTTTTCATCTTATATAAACCAATAATTTTTCACTTTAATTAAGCCAATTTGGGCTGAATTCTCTGTCACTTGAAGCCAAAGGAATTCTTTATTAGTGAAAAGGCATTTTTAATGTCTGAAAATGTGGCTATCTGAAAAATTGGAGGCAGAGGAACAAAAGCTGGAAATGGAAATGATATGGTAGAATGACTACTGCCAACCCTATTAACTATAAGATGAGGAAGCTGAGGGCCAGGGAGGGGAAGTCTGTGCCTGTGCTCACATAGGCACTTAGTGGTAGAGGGGAGCATGATCTAGATTGGCCATCCAGTTCTCTTTGTCACCCCCTCCCACTAAAATTGAAATGGGCTCTCATTTTCTACAAGGGTTGGAAACAAACCTTTCTGGTTTGTTTCCAACCACCCTCAAGAGCTTACCATGTTGAGTTACCTCTTTTGTCCTTCTCTTGCTTCTCCTTGGTTTCTTCTCTCTCCTATTTGATGTAGATATATTTCTTTAAAAATTTTTATTTTGAAAGATTTCAGACACATAAAAAGAACAGAAAATCACAGATACCATGTGCCTACATCTAGATTTAACAAATGTTAATATTTTGTTATTTCCTCATTTTTTTTTTTTTTTTTTTTTTGAGACGGAGTATCACTCTGTCGCTCAGGCTGGAGTGCAGTGGCGCGATCTCTGCTGACTGCAAGCTCTGCCTCCTGGGTTCATGCCATTCTCCTGCCTCAGCCCCCAGTAGCTGCAACTACAGGCACCCGCCACCACGCCCATGCCCGGCTAATATTTTGTATTTTTAGTAGAGACGGGGTTTCACCATGTTAGCCAGGCTAGTTTCCATCTCCTGACCTCGTGATCCACCTGCCTCGGCCTCCCAAAGTGCTGGGATTACAGGCGTGAGCCACCCTGCCTGGCCTGTTTTTTTTTATTTTAAAAAAAGATAAGACATTTCAGTCACAGGTGAAGTCCCATTGCTTTTTCCTTCCCTTCTATCCTATCCAGCAATAACTACCATCTTAAGTGTGGTTGTATTTTTCTTAATTGTGCTTTGCACTTTAAATCACAAAGAGTTGATACTTCAGTATTGGGCTTTATAATTGCAGGCCAATAGTATTGTACATATCCTGTTGCAGCTTGCTTTTCTCGGTGTTACGTTTTGAGATTTATTTATGTTGATGGAGGTAGATGTCTCAGTCTTTATTTGTGTTATAATGTATCTATTTTGTCATCTCATGAATGATAGTTTAGCTGGTTATAAATTGATGGTTGATGATGATTTCATACACAAAATCCTATGTTGATGGTAATTTTGCCTCATCACAGCATCATCTGGCACTATCGTGTATGTTGAGAAGTCAGCTGCCAGTCTGAATTTATTTCTATGTAAGAAGCCTATCATTAATTTCTATCTGCTTTAAAATGTTACATGTGACATTGGATTTTGATTATTTCACTTCCTCCATGGTCATTCATCAATGTTGAAAACTACTCTACCATCATCTATTTAAAGACTGTTTCTTCCATATTCTTTTTGTGTCCTTTCATTCTGAAACTCTTATCAGATATATGTGGGATCTACACATTCTTCTAAACTATTTAGCCTAATCTTTTCTTTTATACTTGCTTGCTGCTTTGCAATCTAATTTCCTCACATATATTTTCTGACCTACTAATTCTTTCTCCAGGAGTGTTTAATCCATTCCTTAATCTATCCTTTGGGCTTTTAATTTTATTTACTACTTTTCCCATGTCTAGATGTTGTATTTGGTTCTTTTTCAGTTACCTGTTTTTTTTAATAGGATCTTCATTTTTTTATTAATAGCTTGAATCCCTTTCTTTACATTTTTATTGAATTACAATTCAACAATTTTAAATACACTTTTTATGTTCCTTTTCAGCTTCTTCTGTTCAAGTGCTAGAAGTCTTACTTATTTTGCAGTTTTGGCGGCTGTATGGTGAACTGATCTTTTGTGGAACGTTCTTTTTTCTTTCAGAGATTCTGTGGCTTGCCTTTCTAGTATATTTCTGCTTTTGCTTCTACTGAGCACCCTGGGAATATCACTGTCAGAGAATCAATTTTTTTATTATTTCTTTTATGATATATTTTCACTTTGACATTGATGGTTACCTGACAGTATAAAAATCAGACTTGAGACCTTTAAGAAATGCAGCCCTGGGTTTGATTTCCAGAAAAAAAAATTTTCCCCAAACAGTTGCAGTTAGCGAGAGCTCTTACTTGTCACTGCCTTGCACTGATAGGCATGCATATATCTATCTATCTATCTATCTATCTATCTATCTATCTATCTATATATATGTTACAGGCATATATAGATATATGTTACAGGCATATATATATGTTACTGCCATATATATATATATTATATATATATATATACACACACACACACACACACACACATACATATATGTTACACAGAAATGCAATCCTTTTAGGGTTCTTGTTTTATGCTTCCCACTTTGCTCAGGTCCAAAATTTTGTGTCTTTTCTCTATATGGGAGATAAATAAAATCTAATCCTGTAGGTTATTGGCATCAAAAGCACTCACTCCTTTTATAGCTACAAAACCCATGCAGACATTTACTGGTCTGGTTTTAATTCCCTCTGTTTTTTTTTTCCTGGAATCTAGGAATTTCCCCTTCTTTCTAGTGACTGTAGCCATGCGTTTTAATCTACCTAGCAATTTTTGGTGTGCATAGGTTAAGGGATTTCAAGCTATCTTGGTGTATCTAACCCAGCTCATGCTCCTTCCTGGATTCCCTTGGCCATGTTTTCCTGTTGAGGCTACTGACAAGTCTCTGTGAAGTCTGTGAAGATCTCCTGGCCTGGATGTACTTTTTTTTTTTTTTTTTGAGACAGAGTCTCACTCTGTTACCCCAGGCTGGAGTGCAGTGGCGGGATCTTGGATCACTGCAACTTTTGCCTCATGGGTTCCATCGATTCTCTGTGCCTTAGCCTCTTGCGTAGCTGGGACTACAGGCGTGCACCACCACGCCCTACTAATTTTTGTATTTTTTAGTAGAGATACACTACCATGAATTTCACTATGTTGGCCAGGCTGGTCTCAAACTCCTGACCTCAGGTGATCCGCCCGCCTTGGCCTCCCAAAGTGTTGGGATTACAGGCATAAGCCACTGCACCTGGCCTAGATGTACTCTTGTAGGTACAGGGGGAATGTCTCAATCTTGGTTGAGCTCTGAGCCCTCCTTCCTGGTATTCCACTGGCTTAGCTGACTGGGCTCGGTAGTGGCTTGTCCAGGTCCCTCAAGTCACTCACAGGTATGGTCTTGCACCTCCCTGTGCATCCCTCTTGCCTCTCATTTTTGTTGCTCCGGAGGCATGTGACAACTGTAAGGCTCTCTTGACTCATGCAGTTCATTGCCCCACCAGCCCAGTCAGGCTGCAGGTGGAGCGATGGGGAATGCCACTGCTTGCTTTCATCACATGCTCAGCCTGAGAGTGTGGCATATGTCACAGGTGCTAGCCTTACTATCCTGGGATCTGGCTTCCCAGGTGGCTGCCGGAGAGGCTAGCAGGTAAACCCAAAAGTGCAAGAGAGTTGACGTCACACAGAATAAATTTGGCCAAAGGGAGACAAGCGCTGACATAATAATTCTTCTCCCCTCCTCCCCTCAGATGGACTATTCAAAGATGCAGTGGTTTCAGACAGCCTCTTTGAAAACATCCTGAGAAACTGAGCAACCAACTGTGCTTATTACAAAAGCTGTGAGATAACCCTTTCAATTTGCTCCTCTGCCTTCCCTGACTCACTCCTATTTTTTCTACACTCTGGCTTTTCTGGAGTCATACTCTCCAATCTACTCTTAACACCTAAGAATCTGCCTCATGCTCCATTTGCAAAGAAACTCAGACTAGGATTTGCTATCTTACTGGAACCTGTAACTCCTCTTTGTTTCTAATCAGGCAGCAACTGAGGGAAGACAGAAGGCCTCTGAGGCAAAAGTATGTTTGTTCCATTTTTATTTTATATGGATGTCAGCCTTGAACAGACTCTCAAAGCTTGCACACTTCCCACCTCGTGGTGTATCATGTCTTCGTGCTGGATATGGGTAAAATGGAGACAGCGAATGGTAATGGCTAGGAGTACAAGACCTAGGCAGTGCTGCAGGGACCAGCCTCTAGATTCATGGTATGAGCTGTAAGCCCTTGAACTGTACAACCCCTTATTTGGTTTATATAATAAACTTTAACAGTAGACATTGATGGGGCCCAAGAAATCCCCCTGGTGCTGTTATTTCCTCTTTCTTTTTGTTGAACAAATTATCTTTTTCAGCCATGCCTCTGCTGAATCTGCAGGATTTGTCTGATAGTAATCTTTGTTTTAAATTTAAGGCTCTCTAAAATTTCATTGTGAAAACAATGTTCTTAACACAGTACTTTATCACCTGAAAATGTTATATGGAAATATTTAATCATAAAATCTCAGAATATGAGAGGTAGAGGAACGCTGCCATAGAACAGGGTATACAGGAGAGATTCAATATCCACTACAAGACTGAACAAATTGAAATGAAGGCACATAAAATGGTGAAAGGTCTAGGAGACTGGGATGAGGAGAAATGGGCTTCAGTCCCGCCAGCAATAATCTGTGTCTCCTGAATAGGCCATTTAGCCCATACAGTCCTGACATGGATATCTGAGTACCCTTTCTTTTCCTGTGAGGAGAAGTCCCAAGAAAGTTAAGAGACAGAATCCTACCTCCTGCTATGGAAGCTGGGAAGGGTCAAACATACCCTCTGTCAATATCCTGGTAACCAGAGTGTAGGCAGGTAATCTAATCTTAGCCAATTGACTGGTTCCCCCGGGGACTTTGAATCTAGAGCCAATGTCGCTATAAGGCAAGTGATCCTTTGGAGTTCATTTGGATGGTGGCAGTGTCATCTCCTCTTGGGGCCAGTGGCGGTGACAAAGGGGCCAGCTATTGGAACAGCGGTGCCCAACCTCACCCTTCCTGTGGCGTGTTACAGATTCAGTTCTGACCCCTTCCTTCTATTAATGCCTGCATCTTTTTTGAACCTGGAATTTCATTATTGCTGCGGAGGCTGTGACCTATGTGGTGTTATTCCAATATGTGCCTCTGCTGCTTAACTTAGTTTCTCTTGTAGGAACAAAAAACTCTACCACTGGAAGATCTAAAATTTCTCCTGTGTTCATAAAATCCTACAAACTGCTGTGTGACTCTTTGGAGATTGCAAAGTACTTTTATAGGCACGGTCTTATTTCATCCTCCACATAACCATGTGGGAATGCTTTATTCAATGTTTTACATGAATAGGGGCAAACGAAGATCACAGGGATTGATGGCCTCTTTAATGTTATACAACCAGTCCCGCGGGGGCAGGGCTTAAGCCCAGATGAATTCCTTGTACTTTTTGTTTGTTTGTTTGTTTTGAGATGGTGTCTCCCTCTATCGCCCAGGCTGGAGTGCAGTGGCGCAATCTTGGCTCACTGCAACCTCTGCCTTCTGGGTTCAAGTGATTCTCCTGCCTCAGCCTCCCAAGTAGCTGGAATCACAGGTGCCCACAACCACACCCGGCTAATTTTTGTATTTTTAGTAGAGACAGAGTTTCACCATGTTGGCCAGGCTGGTCTCGAACTCCTGACCTCAGCCCATCCACTTGCCTCAGCCTCCCAAAGTGCTGGGATTACAGGTGTGGGCCACCGCACCCAGCCCCTTGTACTTCTTCTATTTCACCTTTGGAACCATGGCTGGGTTCAGATGAGATCATGAACACAAAACTGCAAAATAATTTGAAGAGCACTATATGATTGTTATTACTGTTCAAGGTCATCCAGGGAAAAGGTGGTGGAAATGGAATGCAAAGGATGATCTTCCCAATCCTAGTTCATTGTCACTTCTATTATTCTGTACCCCCTCCCTACCAAGGAATGCTTTTATCTGATTACATGTACAGCTTACCTTTTTTGGGGTACTTATTTTTACAGTTGGTTTGGCATAGAAATAAGACATTCCTTGGCTATCTTTATTCAAGAAATCTTTGCATGCTGTTTTTAAGAGCCACACAAAAGCATTTCCACTGCCTGCCTAAACTCCTAACGGTTCACTCAACGTAATCTAACTACAGCAGAAATTTAACCACATCTCTTTAGTGAATTTATAACATTGAAGAATTTTTTCTAATTACCCCAACACCCTCCAAATTGTCCTAAAACTTTTCCCTTCTCAGTGCCTATCTCTCCTGTCCTTTCTTCTTGTTAAACCTAGTGACTTAATCACACATTTTTTTTTTAATTTTCTGTAATTTTATATTTATTAAAGGATATAATTTAAGAAAGGAACTATACATTGACAGTTGTTGGTATTTTTGTTTTGCTTTGTTTTCTTTTTTTCTTTTTTCTTTTTTAAATTTTATTATTATTATACTTTAAGTTTTAGGGTACATGTGCACAACATGCAGGTTTGTTACATATGTATACATGTGCCACGTTGGTGTGCTGCACCCATTAACTCTCGTCATTTTGCATTAGGTATATCTCCTAATGCTATCCCTCCCCGCTCCCCCCACCCCACAACAGTCCCCAGTGTGTGATGTTCCCCTTCCTGTGTCCATGTTAATCACATATTCTTGACCTTCCTGGAAGCCTCTCATCTTCCAGTGGAAAGAACAGACTAGATTAGTTTCTCAGTTAGCGCCAGGTAAGCAGAGGAATGGAAAGACAGGCAGCACCTCAATTAGTACAAACTGGTGAGCAGATGGAAATGGAATAGAAATAAAATGATCTCCACAGACCATACAAGACCCAAGTAACTAAGAAAGAAAAGAACAAATTCATTATAAATACAACAATGTGATGACAGCAGTAGGCAGGTGGGGTGGCAGGGAAAGGTGATTCCTTTCACATCAGCCTTTTCAACAAACCAAATGACGGACAGTCTTATCCAGGAATATGCTTACGCCAATGCAGGGAAGGTAGGGATAGGGCAATGATAGCCATGATACTAAACTTATATTTAGATAGCACTTTACAGTTTGCAAAGTGTGGTGGATAGAGTTACTGTTTCCCTTTTATGTATGAGAAAATAGTCTCCAAGGTGTTAGTTAAGAGGGTTGCCAAGCATCTCATCGCCATTAAGTGGTGAAGCTAGGAATCAAGCCAAGTGCTGTTGAGGGGCAGGGTGCAGAATGAAAACAGAAGGAAAAAAATAACAAAAAAGTAAGGAGAGATGATCAAGAAGGTAAGTGGGAAGAAATGTAACAAAGAAATCTCTCATGACAATGCAATGGAGTGAAAAAGAAGGATACTGATCAAATATCCACCATGATAACATGACTTACCCTGTATGGAGTGGAGACAGCACAGTTCCAGCCAAGTAGAGATGGGACAAATGATATACCATCAAAACTTGGACACCAAGATTTTTTTAAAAAAAATTCTCCATCATAACAATTAAAAATAAACCCACAGAGCATAAAGAACCATTACTTACTTTTCACATTTTTTGGTGCTACTTTTGACATATTCTGTTCTGATTCTAAAATTTGGAAGGCATTTGTTATGAAGTTTGAGGGTTAGGGAAGAACACATGTGAGGTGTATTCCACATGTACCTCTGCTCACAAGATACACTAATGTGTGTTTCTTCTTACTATCTTCTAACTGACCAAGTACCTTGAGTACTTCTTTTACCTTCTTTTAAAACTGACCAAGTACCTTCAGTACATCTCCTTATCAACTTCCCTTTAAAACGGACTAAGCATTTTCCTAGATCGACTAAGCATTTTCCTAGATCTCTTATCTGATAACAATGGGGACAGAATTTATTCAGTTGGACACATACATCCTGACCTCTGATATGTTAATCACTTTGCTTCAATAAGGCTCCAATGCTAGCTCCAATTCCAGAAGCTCTGTTCCTACCATGTCCGAACTACCAGCAATGGCTCTGCTGAGAAGATGGTCCAAAGCAGCCTTCTATGTTTGTTTTGTATGTTGTAAAGCAGAGCTGTTTTCAGGAGAAGAAGCCTGCATCAGAAGGCTGCATCTTAGCTAAATCTTAGTCCAAGTGAAGATTACATCTCTAAATTGTCCCCGATCTCCAAAAGGCCAGCGCTGTCCTGGAGAATGTCCACTGTGATTGTCAGAACCCCAGGGTGAGGCCACGTGCTCCCCATACAAAACACCATCTAGCTGGTTATCGGGTGGTAATAAAGGGTGCATTGCCAGTGAGGATGGTGTATTACATAATCTTGAATAAAAAATTCGAAACATAAATTACCCAGTAATGGATCCATTTACTTCTTCAACCTACTTGTGTTTTCGGAATCAACCATTTCTTGGTGGTAATTTGGTTAATAATTACTTGTTTTGTTCATTAATAATTTGATCTTTCTGAAAAAACCCAGTCAAACTTATATTCCCTCATTTTAGACTCTGGTGAACAGACTAGTTCCTCAGTCACCACTCATGGTTTAATATAAATGAACTGTTATCTCCTTTTAGCATTTTCTGTCTCATGGAAGTAATATAATTGTTGTTGTTGTTGTTGTCAGCTTGCCAGTCATATCTGTTTTCAAATGGCAGATTTCATATAATTTTATTTTAATTATTTCATTTGATTTTTAAAATAATAGAGTATGAGCTTTCGAGTCAGATGGTTTTGGGTTCAAATCCTGACTCTCACTTTACTATCTGTGTAAACTTAGTTTTGATTTCTCTGGGATGAAGATTTTGTGTTTGCATAGTGAATACTTACCTTAAAGGGTTGTGAAAGGGTTAAGTCAGACATAAAAATGACTTACATCAGGTAAACACTCCCAAAATGTTAGCTTTCTCCCCCAATTCAGTTTTACTATGTCTTTCCTGAATCTGACTTCAGACCAGAAGTCTGAAGTAATATTCAAGTGAGGATATGTTGTATTTTTTGACATAGTCAATATACATAAAGAATATAATGAATATTCTTTGGTGTTTAAAAGCCAACGCATAAATTATGTTTTATTTATTTTTCACTAAATACAGAAAGTCCTAAATCTTTAAAATCCAAGTAATTTTCATTCAAAATGACAATCATTTTTAGAAGGCTAAGAATAATTTTAAAATGCACTACACATTATTATATTCATAAGTGGATTTTGAGATCCATACAGTTCTGCAGACATTTGTGAATTTCGACCAACAACTATGAGATGAGATGGACCAGCCACTGAATAGTTCTGCAGTTCACATCATCCCAAGTAAGTATGGCCAACAATGAAAATAATACTGCCGTCTTGGAGATCCACCATGCAGATTATAATGTGTAAAAGGCTCTAATATGCCTTGCAGTAAACAAACAAATATACTTTAAATGTTAATGAATATTACATTATATATATTTACTTGACTCTGGGACCCTTTTTGTTCATGGGACATCTATGAGCAATGCTATGAACTCAATGCCTGGGTCCCCACCTCTCAAATTCCTATGTTGAAGCCTAAATGCCCAATGTGATGGCATCTGGAGGTGGGGCCTTTGAGACATAATTAAGTCATGAAGGTAGAGCCCACCCCCCAAATGGAATTAGTGGTCTTATAAGAAGAAACATGAGAGAAATAATATCTCCCTCTCTTTCTCTCTCTGCCACGTGAGGATATAAGGAGACGAAGCCTATCTGTAAACCAAGAAGCAATCCCTCGCCAGACAATGGATCTATCACCTCGATCCTGGGCTTTTAGCTTCCCAAACTGTGATAAATTAATGTCTTTTTTAAGCCATCAAGTCTACGGTATTTTGCTCTAGCAGCTCAAACTCACTAAGGCAAACATAACAGAGGTCATCTCCTAGGAAATACAGTTTGGAAAACACTAACCTGTTAGATAATACCAAAATCCTATAGCAAAAAAAAGAACAACAGCAACAACAAAACAATAAGGAAAAACAGCAAAATCCACAGCAAAGCCTCGACCTATCAATGTAGTTTAATAGACGTAAGTGTCATTGTGAATGAACAACCTCATTAATAAAGATCTTGTTTACACCTTTTAAAATTATCAATAATCGTCTGGCTTAAGTAATGTATTCTACTTCATTAAACAACACCATGGTCATTAGAGCTGGTGAGTAATTGTAAATTCATTTGGGTTTTAATTATTTTGGCTCTCACACAGGGACATAAGCCCAGTGAGTCAAGACTGTCAGCTGATACTTATGAACCATAAATTGTATTTTAGGTTCATTTATAATTACTTTCACACCATGGATTATAAATAAATAGAATGTGGTGTGTTCTAATGGTCAGAAGCAGGGGTTTGAAGTCAAATGGAGGTGAATTTGAGTACTGATTCTCCAAATGAAGATCCCTAACTTCAATTATCTGTGCCTCAGTTTTATCAGATATAAAATGGGGATATTTCTTACTTCATTGGACTGTTTGAGGATGAAATTAGATCACATACAAATACTTAGTACACCACCAGAACACATAATAATGCTGAATAAATGCTCCCTATTATCTTATGAACTTTGGATCATGAGTTTATTCATTGTTTTTTTCTTTCTTTCTTTTTTTTTTTTTAGATGGAGTTTTGCTCTTGTCGCCCCAGGCTGGAGTGCAATGGCACGATCTCAGCTCCTCCGCCTCCCAGGTTCAAGCGATTCTCCTGTCTCAGCCTCCCAAGTAGCTGGGACTACAGGCGTGTGCCACCACGCCCGGCTAATTTTTGTATTTTTAGTAGAGACGGGGTTTCACCATCTTGGCCAGGCTGGTCTCAAACTCCTGACCTCATGATTCACCCGCCTGGGCCTCCCAAAGTGCTGGGATTACAGGCGTGAGCCACCACACCCGGCCTGTTTTTTTCTTTTGAGAATAATAACCTTCTTTAGCCTCAGCATATATATAGTCACTGAAATACCAATGTGGCCAGCAAGTTTCTGCATCCAGACTGATATTTGCCTACATGTCATTTATAAATCGTTTCACTTTCAAGTAAAAATCCTAAGGGAGAGTATTATTATATGTGGGTTTTTGAAGGTCTCCTTTCATACCTTATCACAGAGTGTGTTTTTGAGGACAGCTACAAAAGCCACAGGGAAGCAAAGCAGCCACTTTGTACTCACGTGTACTTTGCAAGGTTTTGCCATGACTGACATTTCAATGGCAGGGAGGGGCAGGGAAAGAATAGAAGCATAGTTTCTGTATCATTTAAGCCCCTTTAATGCCTCAACAGGAACCCAGTGGCATTCTGAGGGCTGCCTGGGTCAAGATGAATGCCTCCCAGGATATGCCAATAAGAGTGAAGCAGGGTTGAGGTTTTTGAGAGTCTGGTAGGGATATCCATCCAATAACTTTCTTAGCAAAGTCAAGAATGAGATACTGCAAAGTGGTGTGTCCCAATACTGTTTTGCAGCATTTTCTTCCCTGGCCTGTCTTTATTTTAGGGTCTGGTAAAGATTTCAGAAGAAAAGAAGCAGGAGCAGGAGGAGAAGGAGGAGTACAGAAGAAAGATGAGGAAGGGATAAGGAGGAGGAGAAGGAGGAGAGGAGGGAAAGGAGGAGCAATGGGAGGGGAGAGGAGGAAGAAGAGGGGAGGAAGAGGAACTGGAGGAGAAGGAGAGAGGAGAAGAGGAAAAGGTAGAAGGGAAGGAAGGAAGAGAAAGGGAAAGAATAAAAGTCCCCAACCTCCCAGTTTTAGTTTTTGCTAATAAGTCCCTGGCAGATGGATGACCTCCATCTTCAGCCCTCCCTGGGTGCACATCTCTTTTCACTGTGACTGCGCAGCGCCTCCCATCAGGAGATGGGATCTATTTTTCCACCTCTTAAAAGCTGAGCTGGCTACGTGTCTTACTTTGGCCAACAGAAGGAGGCAACGCAATGTTCCAGTTCTGAGGCTGAGACTCAAGAAGCGGAACATGGCTCTGCCCTCCTTTGGAAACACGGCTGGAACACTTGGGCTTGGCCAGAACAAGCCCAAGTGAGCCTGTGGGGTGATGAGAGGCACGTGGTCCTGGTGCCCCATTCACAGAGGCTGATCCAGTCTGCCAACCTCCAAGAACCAAGCATAGCCACATGAGAGAAGAACCGGCCAGCTGAGCCAGCCAGATTGCCTCCTCAGGTAGATGGTGGTCGTTGCATGCCCCAGTTCTGGGGTGGTTTGGACACAGCAGTAAAGAAGGGACAGAGAAACAGAAGCCGGTGTCTGGTGGTATTGTCCTCCCTCTGTTCTGGCTTTTCCTTGAATGTCTGGGCAATGGCCTCTGAGCTTGAATGTCATAACTGGAGCTTCCCAGCCATCAAGCAACTATGAGGGTGAACACAGACATCTTGTTCTATAGGGCAGATAAACTCTGTTTGTTTATGCCTGGTTTTCTGTTACTTGCAGCTCAACACTACCCTGACACGAAATGACGTATCATCGAAAGTCTGACTGGAGTTAGGGTGATCTGTGATGGCAATCACAGAATGACATGCCGGAAGGAGATAGTGTCCTGGGATTTATGGAATCCAAGTACATGCTTTCACTCATTCCTGAGTGCCCATCCACAGATCTGTGTGTGGAGGAAGCCACGTGGGTAGGAATCACAGCCTATGGGCTCTTACAGTTGGGAAGTGTGTGAGGAGTAGCAAAGTCATGCCTTTCCCCCAGTAATCCCCTTGATGGCATCTCTGGCAGGATCCTCATTACAATGCAGCCTCTTCACTAATGTTAGAAAGTGACTTCCACTTAAGCCATAATCTACCTACTTATTGCATGCATGCCCTGGCCACAGCCCTACTTTCTAGTGCTTCCCAGATTGTTCCTTGGAAGCCTGCCAGCATGTAAAGGAAAGAAAGGCCACACCCGGGCCCAGGGGTGGTGGGGATGGTGGAATGCACGGAATACAAGCCTCTAACCAAGTTCATAGAAGTCTAAGTGTTCTTCCCCCGTCTCTACTAAAAATACAAAAAATTAGCCCGGCACGGTGGCCGGTGCCTGTAGTCCCAGCTACTTGGGAGGCTGAGGCAGGAGAATGGCGTGAACCTGGGAGGTGGAGCTTGCAGTGAGCCAAGATCGCGCCACTGCACTCCAGCCTGAGCGACAGAGTGAGACTCTGTCTCAGAAAAAAAAAAAAGAAGAAGTCTAAGTGTTCTTCACAACCATGCTTCATTTCAAGAATGCAAAAATGTAGGAGAGTAAACAGAATCTTGGTTGGTTTTAACATGAAAATCATATTTATGTTTCTTACCAAGAAATAAATGTGGTCCTTGAGGGACCTATGCCACATTTATTTGGTGGCTTCCATATCTTTACTCCAGAGTATGTAACACTGTGCCATTTTCCCCAATAATAATAGTTATTTGCTATTTACTTAACACTACAGTATGCCAGTGTGTGAGGTACTTCACTTTCACTATACTGCCATATAGTTCTCACAACAGCCCTAGTTGGTATTATTTTCTTCATATTAAAGATGAAAAAATTAAAGTTCAGAGATTTAAAATGATTTTTTCCAAGGACTCAAAGCCAGTAAAGTGGAAAGGATATTTAAACCCAGTTCACAAGATCTTCAAAGCTCATCTTTTACACTACAACTTGCCATTAATAAGCAACCACTTCACATTTTCAGAGACAACCTTATTTTTTTCAGAGACAACCTTTTTCTTATCTTCCCCAAATATCCTTGGGGGAAAAGGAAACTAAATGAAAACCACCTTGCCTTTTCTAAAAACAATCATACATTGGTAGGCATTTATGAATTAAGGAAAATAAAAGGAAGAGGCCCATTTGAACACACCTATTAGAATCCTGAATGCACGTGCGTGGTCAATAAAACTCCAGCTACCCAGACGAAAATCTTAATCACCTGCAAGGTCACATCAGCAAGTTAAGGAAACAGATGATGCTCCCTAACATGCAGAGGTTCTCCATGCCAGCCTTGGGCAATCTGTGATACCCTCAGTGAATTAGAAGTGATTTTGGAGGCCAGGCACGGTGGCTCATGCCTGTAATCCCAGCACTTTGGGAGGCCGAGGAGGGCGGATCATCTGAGATCAGGAGTTCAAGACCAGCCTGACCAACATGGTGAAATCCTGTCTCTACTAAAAATACAAAAATTAGCTGGATGTGGTGGCATGTGCCCATAGTCCCAGCTACTCAGGAGGCTGAGGCAGGAGAATCGCTTGAACCTGGGAGGCGGAGGTTGCAGTGAGCCGAGATCACGCCACTGCACTCCAGCCTGGGCTACAGAGTGAGACTCCATCTCAAACAAACAAACAAAAAAGTGATTTTGGAAAACAATAAAATAAATATGTGGGCCTTCAAAGCCAGCCTACATTTCTAAAATACCTGAGAAACAGAAAGTTAGTGAGAGAGAGATCAAGAGTGGGAGAGGCTGAATAGACAGAATTGAGGCCAGGCGCGGTGGCTCACACCTGTAATCCCAGCACTTTGGGAGGCCGAGGTGGGCAGATCACGAGGTCACGAGATCGAGACCAACCGGGCTAACAGGGTGAAACCCTGTCTCTACTAAGAATACAAAAAATTAGCCGGGCGTGGCGGCAGGCGCCTGTAGTCCCAGCTACTCAGGAGGCTGAGGCAGGAGAATGGCATGAACCTGGGAGGCGGAGTTTGCAGTGAGCCAAGATCGCGCCACTGCACTCCAGCATGGGCGATAGAGTGAGACTCTGTCTCAAAAAAATAAAAATAATAAAAAAATAAAAAAAATAGACAGAATTGAGTTTCTGTTTCACTGTTTCCATCTATACTAAGAAACAGGCTAGACCAGTGTTCTGAGCTCTTATGCAACAGAGCCGCCTGGATGAGCTGTTAAGACACATTTTCTGGGTCCCAACCCCAGATTTTCTGATTCAGTGGGCCTGGGGTGGTACTGGAAAATTTGCATTTCTAATTTGTTCATAGGTGACACTGGCACAGCAGGTCCAGGGACCACACTTTGACAACCTACTAAGTCTTGAACTATTCCTGGAGCCAGCCAGATTGGGGAGTGGATGCATGGGGCGTCCTGGACCTAAGGGATGAAGGGGGCGTCCAATATCCATAGTGACACTATCAGTCAGCGAGGTTATTGCAGGGCAGCTTATCAGTGTGATCCAATTTCATAACAAGGACCAAAGGAAGAAGTTAGATTTTAGGGTTCAACCTTACCCTAACCCTAACTCTAATTGGACCTGAATTCAAATACTAGTTCTGCCACTTAATAGCTGTGCATATTTGGGTAAGTCACTTCATCTCTCCAAGCTTCCTTTTCCTCATCTGCACCCAGAAGTTCATAGTACCTACTTTGTAGAATTATTATGAGAATTAAAGAAAACATAGGCGAAGGACCTGCTGGTACAAGATAGATGCTCAAGGATTGCTATTGCTTCAGTGAACTGGATAACTCATCCAACCTCCTCCGAGGGTTGTTGATTGAGGGCATTAATACTGGAAAGATGAGGTCGCAGCCAACTTGATTATTACTTCTAGCTTTAGTCTTACCCTAGCAACTGTAGCTTCAGTGAGTCAGGGCTGGCTCAAAGAGCAATCTGAGATTCAGGGATAATTATTAAGACTCCTGGAAGACTGGGAGGCATCTGGACTCACAACTTGTGGCTACTGCCAACAGAAAACGATGACAAGACCTGAACTCTTCCATTAACACAAATAATTCTGTGAGCCTATGACTCTTACCATTTTCTTTTCATCTCCATATAACCTTTCATCTTCATGCCACTGAACTCAGGCAATGGAAAATGACCAAAGATGCATGTATCAGAAGCAACATGTTAGGTCATACCAATGGTCTCACCAGGTAAATTTTGGTGGTGGCACTATTCCAGGTAAGTTCTTGCCCTGGAACACTGATCCTTTGTGATATTACCTGTATGTGGTTGAGATGATATCCCAAGAACTCCTAACTTTCTCCAACAGACATGACACTGTCATTTTCTTTTCCTTTTTTTTTTTTTTTTTTTGAGATGGAGTCTTGCTCTGTCCCCGAGGCTGGAGTGCGATGGCACGATCTCGGCTCACTGCAACCTCCATCTCCCTGGTTCAAGCAATTTTCCTGTCTCAGCCTCCTGAGTAGCTGGGACTACAGGCAAGCGCCACCACTCCTGGCTAATTTTTGTATTTTTAGTAGAGACAGGATTTCACCATATTGGCCAGGCTGGTCTGGAACTCCTGACTTCGTGATCCGCCCGCCTCAGCCTGGGATTACAGGCGTGAGCCACCACTCCTGGCCCGACACTGTCTTTTTCTAATACAGACAACACTGGACAAGAGCCCCATGAACTAGAATATTGCTTCCTTCTGAGTTTGATGACCTTCTATTTTATTGTTAATCTTGCATGTGAGTCCATACCCCAATTTTGGGGGGGAAAGTGGGGAAAAGATAATTATAACTAGTATTCTCTATAGAACAACATTGGAAAGTCAAGTTAGTTACTGTCTGACTTAATTAGGTATGTGTCTTTTAGAAATTGTACTGGCTTCTTCAAAAAGAAAAGCTAAGGTTATTTTAGACACTGCAGCTATAATGACACAACGATACATGGATCTAGTAAGTAATTTTATCAAATTAATTATTTCTGAGAGGATAAATTTTTATGCTTGAAAAAATCATTTCAGTTTTTTAACGTTTTGATCTTTGTAACTAATTTTAAAGATGACACTGTGCTGGTTCCATTTGCTCTGTGTGTCTTGCAACGTTCCCAGTCAAAAGCAATAACATTTGAATTTGACCAAAGCTCCAGTCTTTATAGTGTCTTGGTGTGTCCTATCACCCTGGTGATTAAAGTCAGTTGGTTGAATTAGCTTTCAGAAGTTTCACAGTTTTAATATCATCACGTCAATAAGGCAGCTGTGAGCAAGGGGAACAGCTGAGCTCTTCAAGTAAGAAACACCTGAATTAATCATCAACCTCCAACCACATCCCACCTGCCTTGATCAATGGGCAAAGGACAGTCAATACATTGTGGAGGCATTTTTCTGGAGTTGGCAATGAATAGATGGCTTCAATATCCCAGCAGTTTATGTCTAGCTTCTTACAATTTGGATGACACTTCATGCCCGCTACAGAACTACATTTCTAGGTAGCATTAGTTAAGATATCCCTTGAGGACAAGATACTTAAATGATGTATCCTCTGCATCAATTTTGGTACGGTCATATATTAGGAAGCATGTTTTGATTAAATGTCTTAATTCTTTATGACAGTGGTTCTCAAACTTTGGCACACATCAGAATCACCTGGAGGGCATATTAAAACACACACTGCTGATCCCACCCCCAGAGCTTCTGATTCAGTAAGTCTGGGATAGAGCCCAAGAATTTGCACTTCTAACAAGTTTCTAGGGAATGTTGATGCTGCTGGTGTGGGAGCCACACTTTGAGAACCACTGCTTTAGAGATACTGATACTACTTTTATTTTTTTTTAATTACATTCTAATAGTTTCCCATGTGGCATAAGGAGGAGTGAGAACATAGAAACTATTGTGAAGTTCTTTTCTTGCTAACTTTTTTTCGAAGAAGTACAGTCTGCTCTACTTCTCCTTAGCAATGTAGAGAACTTCATTAAAGACACAAGCTCCCAGCTTTTCCCTCTGGCTTCAGAGATGGGAAGAGGCAGTGTGTTTATCTGGTCCAGGCACATCAGATCATATTCATTTGATGGTGTCGGGGAAGAAATGACCATGCAGAAATATTGATTCTAACTCTTGGTTTTTCAAATGTGAGGTCACCAATGAAGCCACCTTATACAAAAGGTGAAAACTGCAGTGATGAGGACAGACGCATTTCACAGGCAGGTCCTCCAGTGTGACACAGGGAGCTCTCTAATTTTCCTCATAAAGCCAAGGGGTTGGACCACATCCCCAGAGAGCACAGGAGGGATCTTAGGTTTCTGGTAGATCCAAAAAAAGGAGCCGTCAAATAATGACTAACAGTGGTATCATTAATAGGAGTCTTAGACTCAGAAACCATCAACCGAACTCCTCATTCCAGCACCCCAGTCTTATCTCCAAAAGCAAGCAAAACTCGAGGAACACAACAGCATTGCTCTCATTCAGAATTACTTTGTTTTTATAAGTAAGTTAGCTATTGAAAGTCCCTGTGTCTATTTTCTAAGAGATGGGTATGGCTCTATGTGTGTATATTTAAGAGAGAGAAAAAGGAAAAAAAAAACAATATGCTAAACTTTGAGGACTGCTACTTCAATAAGATAGAGAACCCTGATGGTCCATTCTGCTTCCGGGGTCGAGTTAGGTCTGAGAAATTTGATTATGCTGGATCTTGAAAGAAGCCCATTCACTAGGGCAGCATAGACTAGAGCACAGTTCCCCACAGCGATGGGGAACACAGACCTGGAGCTCCTAATCTACCTGGTCCCAAAAGAGGCTCCACCACTTACCAGGTATATGTTGGCCAGGTTACCTAACCTCTTTGTACCTTAGTTTCCTCACCTATAAAATTCAGATACTAATAGTGGTTATCTTGTAAGACGGTTATGTTGTATAAATGAGTTAATATATGTAAAGTACTTAGAAGAGTGCCTGGCACATAGAAAACGCTCTATAAGTGCTAGCTATTATTATTTATGTCCAAATACTGTGCCATCCTTCTCCTTTTGTTCTATTTAAATTCCTCATGCTAATGCTATTTAGATTGGCTAACATCCAAAATTTAGACTTCTGCCATAATTATCTACATATGGCAGCAGGATCGTTCCAGAACCACCCTAATGACTTTGATTAGAACCAATCACCTGTGCCTATTTACACAGAAGAATGATTGACAGGGTTTTGGAAGGACTGGATATTCCAATTATACTCTCGTGGGGTGTGGACTAGTTTGAGCAAATATGCCAGTCAGAATCATGCTAAAACAGATCAGTTTCTGTACATTTTATACAATCTAATAGAGAAAGCAGGAAAAAAAGAGGAGAGGGACCATTGATTAATTCAATAAAATGTCATGTAACCTGCTGCTCTGTTCTGGGCATTGTGCTCAGAAAGTAGCATTGTGGTATAGATTGAGAGATTGGCAAGACACTCCCACCAGTAAGGAGCTCACAGTCTAGTGGGGAAAAGAGATTCAGAAATCAATAAATACTTCACAACGTGCTAAGGATTATAGTAGACATTTCCACGGAGCAAAGAGGAGTTGCCGAGAATTGTGGTGCCTGGGAAGGTGATGTCCAAAGGCAAGAAAGAAAGAGCTGAAAGACAAGTGGGAACCAGCCATTTCGCAGGGTGAGTTAGGATATTCTGGTGAGGACTGGCGAGTTAAGACAGTCTGAGCAATGCTGCACAGTGTGCAAGAGCTCAGAGGTACAGATGACTTGAAGAAGGTGGAAGAGGTGGAGAAGTATGATATTAATTCCCTAGTGTTCTTAGGGAAGGACCAGGGAGTATAAAATGACAAAAAGTGGAAGATAGAGGGGATGTGTGAGTGAGAGGTTAATCTCATGCATGTGGTGTGTCCACGTACCACTGCCTATGTGGTTGTGTAAATGTACCATGCAGGTTGCTCCAGGAGAGAGACAGAGAAGCCAAGAAGCCATTAACCAACAACTGAGAATTAATTTTCTGTGCAAAGGGAATAGGGTGGATGTATAGACTTTGCTAATACTGCTATTGGTTATCTCTAGAAAGGGATGTGTTTCAATGAGCTCTTCTATGATGAAAATATGTACTGTCTAGCTGTCTGGAAAAACATATGCAGTGCAGCTGCCTGGAAAACAGATTTTGGAGAGAAGGTAGCAGGCCTGTGGTTGGGTTTGGAGTTGAGCAGCTGAATCACAGACCGACTCTGGTGTAAAACAGCTCCCAAAACAATGGTTCTCAACTAGAGCTGCACAATTTTTTTTCTTTTCTTTTTTTTTTTGAGACAGAGCTTTGCTCTGTCACCCAGGCTAGAACGTGGTCTCGACTCACTGCAACCTCCGTCTCCTGAGTTAAAGCGATTCTCCTGCTCAGCCTCCCAAGTAGCTGGGATTACAGGCACCCGCCACCACGCCTGGCTAATTTTTGTATTTTTAGTGGAGACAGGGTTTCACCATGTTGGCCAGGCTGGTCTCGAACTGCTGACCTTGTGATCCACCCGCCTCGGCCTCCCAAAGTGCTGGGATCACAGGTGTGAGCCACTGCGCCTGGCCCAGAGCTGCATAATGTTATTACCTGGGAAGCTTTAGAAATTAGTGATGTCTGAGTCCCAGCCCCAGAAGTATGATTTAGTTAGCAGTGCAGCTGGAGCAAAGGGATTTTTTTTTAAGTTCCCCAGGTGATTCTAACATGTAGCTGGGATGGAGAACCATAGCTCTACACCTTGGCTACCTCAAATTTACTCCGGGACCAGAAGCAGCCCCAGGGGTTTGTTAGAAATGCTACATCTCAGGGGCACCCTAGACCTACTGGATCAAAATCTTCATGTTGACAACATCCCCTGGTGATTTAAATGCATGTGACATCTTCAGAAGCACTGATCACAGTTGTGTATCAGGATTATCTTGGAAGCTTATTGAAGTTACATAGCCTTACTTCTATAGATTATGATTCAGGAAGTCTTGGATAGGGCCTTCCTTTTGCATATTTTTTTTAAGTTTTGCTGAGTCAGATTTGCAACTGGGGTCAGAAACTACTGTCTCGCTCTGCAGATAAAGTTGAACAGAGGGCCCAAGATGAAGGGATTTTGGGTAAGATTGCTCTTGTGCAGAAATCAGGGAATGGAGGGAGGCAGACAGTACTTCTTTTCACATAAAGGGAGTTCCACACTGAGAAGGGGAATGCTATGTAATCGGCATCTGTTGGAGGGCTGCATTGCCTCTTGTAGTAGCAGAGTCAACAGATGAAGATAATATATGAGCCCAAAGGCGAGGTCATCCTTCTGTTGTAAAATGACTCACAACTTCAGTGTGGTCCTCCAGGAAGGAAAGTCAAGGCGCGGAGTTTAAATCTCCTTGCACTCGTCTGTACGTGGGGGTGTAGTGTACATTACTGTGTGTGCTTGGGCGTTCTTCCATTCTTACAGGAAAGTTTCACCTGTTCAGGAGTCCCTGTGAATCATGCCTCACACTGACTTCCTTCACCACCTGGCCTGCAGTCTATAATTGGTAGAGTGCCAGGCCCTTATAAACAGTGAGAGGGCAAATGGGGGTGGTCAGTCAAACAGAAGGAAATTGCCATGTGAGTCAGCCACAACCCACAGATATTTTCTTTCCTCTGTCTCCATTAAGAGGGAGCTGGGAACAATTTGGTGTCTAGACAAACAGTCTTGGGATATACAGGCATGAAGTCCCTAGACTGTCTCCCCCCTCACTCCAGTCTTCAGTGGGCCAGATAAGGACTTCCAGTTCACGTCTCCCGATGCCATTTTCTGCCCAGTCAGATTCTTGCCAATAGACTCTCTCAGTGCCTAGCACAGGATCAAGTCACAGATTGAACGAATGAATAAATAAAAATATGTTATTTTTCTTGCAATTATTCTTTTAATTCAAAAGAGCAAAGACAGGAGTTTCAGAATTGCCTGCATCACGAGCTTTTACTGAGTCTCTGGCTTTGATCTCCCTAAAAGCTGCCTGATATTTTTATTTTGACTGAACTTTAGTTGAAATGTGTAATTTCCTACCTAGTTCTTGAGCAGTACCTCAGCCCTCATGTGCAGGAATAAGACAGCAGGTGTGAGAGCTTCATGTGCTTGGGGTGTGGCCTCAGGGCCCTGGGCATGTCTGAGCCCTCTATTCCATGGGGCATCCAAGCAACTGTGTTCCTGAGTGGCCCCATGGGGACATGCCTGGGCTGACTGGCAGGAGGTCTCTGAGGAACACCACCCAGCCCTCTTTTCCCTCTGCCTCCAATTATCGAGGGAGGGAGGCGATTGAGAACATATTTGGAAAATGTGTTCATTGTTGCTTTTTTAAAAGTATCCTATGTAATTAGGTACTACAGGGGTAGTCAACCACGAAAAGCCACCACCAGTGCCGTCAAGTTCCATAAAACAAAAGAGAAACAAATTAATCAAAACAAAGAAGAGGCTGGCTAAGCGCCAGCACCTGTTTCCACCATGCCATGCTGACACCCACCCAGTGGCCAGTCTTGACTATTAGGCAAGCCCCACTTTGCCTGCATGTTTCCAGAGCCCGTGTTGATGTGGAGTCACTAAGTCTTCGACCTCCCTCCCAAGAACCCATCTCATCAATAATGGGGCCAGCAATTTTGTTGTGTTCCCCTAGAAAAACTTCCAGGGTGGGTCCCTGAATCTGACAATTGCAGAATAAAATACATCAACAAAGCAATCAGATTCCCAGCACTTTTTTGCAGTGTAGTGGCTCTGTGGTAGTATTTGCATCCATGCAAAGAGATGAAGGATACAAAGTCCTGCTCAGACTCCATCCTGTTCCCTGATGGCTTTTGAACCTCCCCCTATCAAATCTGAGTCTTGAGAGCAATTACTCCCTAAAAACTTGAGTGATTCTAATCATGTACATTTATTGGAAAGGATTCTCACTAAAGTAAGGGGAAATTAAAGTAGGCTACATTATGAAGTCTTAGGGATATCCCTTGGTACATTAGCATAATCTCCAAGAAATGTGGTCTTTCAAGGGGCTCTCTGGGATCCCAAGCCACATGGGGAAGAATTTTCCTTCAACCCTCCTCCATGACAAAGGTGCTTCAGGGTACCAAGGTCAAAGAATGAGAGGCTATGAGGCAGCCATTGCAGAAGGTTCCACGAAGAGCACCAGAATTATTTCCACAGTGTGCAATTACCATCGCTTCAGCTATTTGTCTGACCCTGGCCCAAAGGGAGAACCTACACCTTTTGGCATCTTCTGGTCCACACCATTGCTGGTTCCCTCGCTGAGGCCTGCCTCAGTGCCTCACAGTTTCCACAAGGAAGTGATGTATCTCATCATATCCACTAATTGTTTTGGCTTTCTTTCTATCCCAGTGCATGAAAGAATATGTTTCCTTGCTCTCTTGAAACTTGGCAGGTCCATGTGACTTGCTGTGGCCAATGACATACACATGGATGTCACATGCATCAAGTCAAAGTAAAAACATTTAAGAGCCATTTTCTATAATCCTCATCCTCTGCCACATTAGCTGAGAAGGTTAATAGTTAGATTGGACAAAGTGACTCAGAGCAAAGAGCCTAAGGGTGTATTCCCTTACAAAGGCTGATAGGCTGAGAATGCCTCTCATTAAGTGGAAAAGAGGTAAGGGACTGGAAAGCAAAGGAAACAGGAGTTTGGAGAACTATATTTCAAGAACTGTGTATGTTGATTAACATCTAGAATTATTATGGAATCAAATAAGAAACCTAATTTTTTACACAAACTGCCAAGGGAACAGAGACCCTGATATTCTCCAGGACTTTAAACAATCCCTGGGCCTCTGACTATGGCAGGTTGGTGGGCTGAGAAAGCCGTGTAGTTCCTAAGGAGGATATATTCCCCAACACCCATTTGAAGTATGGCCAGGAAGGATAATAAAAAATAAGGAACCTCCTAAATGGTGGAGCTAGGGGCCATGCTAAACAATGGACAAGGAAGCCCCTTCAGAGAGTAGAACTGCAGCCTAATCACAAACATTCTCCACCCCAAGTTAGGAGCCCCTTACAATGTCTGCCAAAAGAAATTTCAAAATTGCTAAGGACCAGTGCCTGCTGCGTGCCTCCCTTCTGTCCCTTTATGAAAGGGAGTGTTCATTGTGGTTTCCCTGTCCCTATTCTACTGCAATGCGTATGTGTGGAGGAAAGCATGACTTTTTACTTTATAGATTTGTAGTTTATAAATCTGGAGAAAGATTAAGAGCCCCTCTGTAGACCTGATGTAGAGACTACAGCATATCACTCCATGATTGTGTCAACAAGGGAGGTTGCATGTTCTGTGCAGCTACAGGATGGCAGAACCTCCGTTAGTATAAATTTCTGAGGTACCACATGGAGGATATTTGCTTTAAAGGATTGTCCATATCGGCTATAAACTTAGTGTGAGAAAAATAAATAAATCTTTGTTGGTATCCAGACACCAAATTTTTAAATTGCTCTCATTCCAGTGTAGCCTACTATTGTGATGACTATAGAACCCCATTACATGAAGTTGGGTCTAAGATGACTTCTTCCGAACTCTCTCATAAAAATTCCAAAAACTCCTTCTAAAATCAGAGTTAAATATATACATGTCTGAGGCTGGTGGCTCATGCCTATAATCTCAGCATTTTAGGAGGCCAAGGCAGGCAGACTGCTTGAGCTCAGGAGTTTGAGGCCAGCCTGGGCAACATGGTGAAACCCTGACTCTACCAAACAAAATACAAAAGTTAGCTGGGCATGATGGCATGTGTCTGTGGTCCCAGCTACTCAGGAGGCTGGTGTGGGAGGATCACTTGAGCCTGGGAGACAGAAGTTGCAGTGAGGGGAGATTGCACTGCTGCACTCCAACCTGGGTGACAGAGTGAGACCCCATTTCAAAAAACAAAAACACACAAACAAAACTTACATATCTGGAATAAGGCCAAGTGTCCAGGTATAGGAAGATGCCAATAATGTAAACAAGTATTAGGTATAGAGTTCCCAGGTAAGGCCTAGTCTCTGTGCTCCATAAAGCTAGTCTAGTCAGAGAGCCAACAATCCCACTAGAAACACATGACATATATGCAAAAATAACTAAACAACATTATAAAGCAACAAACAGTTTAAAGACTAGGAGACCACAGACAAGAACTGTTCCAGGATTCAGGTGTGGAGAAAACTCGTGGAGGGTGAAGTACACAGAAAAATGCAAGACTTGTATAGAACCATAAAGTATGAGTAGTATGTAAAGTAAGTGAGTGAAAAGTCAAGTCGGTGAAAAACATTTCAGTCCTTATGGATGCAGAAAAACTATTGTGCATTCTGTGAAAGATTAAGTACACCAGGCAGGCTACCCACATATGGACAATCAGAATGACTCTGAAGGTGGAACAACCTGAATGCCTAGAAAATGAAAGAAATATAGGAAATGGAAACCACTACAAGATTCTGATCAGAAGTATGATTTGATGAAAGTCATATTGAAGAAAGATTAATTTGACAATAGACAGTTGTCAAAGGGGTAGAGCAGAGAGGGTGGAGGCAGGGATTCCAGTGAGGCAGCTGCTATATTAAATTGGAAATGAGTTGACAGAAGCTCATACTGGGGGAATGGACAGATACAAAAAAGTCAAAGGATGTATTGAAGGAGAATCCATAGAACAAGGATGAGGGGCAAGGAGTGTGTATCAAAAGAATGAAGCAGAAGTTATGTTCAAGGTTTTAGCTTGAGCAACTAGAGAAAAACAATGTTAATGACTTTTCATCACAAAAAGAAGTTGGTTTTGGAGAGAAGATGCTGACTCACCTTAGGAGATGCTGGGTTTGAGAGATGGCAGAAAACGAACGTCAGTTTCTCCCTTTCCCACTCTCAGTGCCACTTCTCTGCTAAAAAGCTTTATTACTGGAGT